>NC_000005.10:110109807-110412837 GCF_000001405.40 Homo sapiens
CAACCTAGCCAGGGAGGACAGAAGTTTGAATTGTGTTTCCACACAGCCACCCGATCAGTTATTGAGCAAATATGACCCTTTCTGCTGCAATGGTAAGGTCACAAAAGTCACCTGAACAGCCTGAAGAAATCAATCCTACGGTGATCGAGGAACCACCTCTGACTTAGGGCTTTCTGAATGCACAGAATTTCTGACTCTGCATTGATAAGGTCATACATATGTGTGTACCAGACCTCAGGACTCCCTAGGGTTCTGGTTTTCAAAACTCTGAATAAATAGAAACTGGAACACATTTGGAGTGAGACTGAAGTCTCTGGGAATATTGAATCTTTGTACTTTTATTTTTTAAGTAGCAAGTATGTTTGGGCCGATAGATAAATCGGAATGTAATCATGCAGAGACAGTGAGGTAATCCTTCCATTCATCAGACGCAGGGCCATGCAAAGATACCAAGGTTGTCATTAAAACGTGGAAGCTTCCTACTTCTTGGTAAAATAAGTAGAGGAGGTTTGTTTTTACATTGATAAAGGAAAAGGAAAGCACTATCAGCAAAGAGGAGACAGGCAGTACCAAGATGAAAAGAATACAGGTTGAGAGTTATAAGACCTATACTTAGTTCAAATGCTGCATGATTTTTAGTTAGGACCAAGTCAGAAAACTGAAGTCAAGCTTTAAAAAAAAAAACAGAGTAAACATATTTGTTCTACAGATTGTCTTGATCTGGGGATATAAGAAGCCGTAATGTACTCAGCCGCGATTCACCTCTCAGCTTTGTTATTCTCAGGCTCCACATGGTGGTATAATGGCTGCCAAAAGCTCCTGTCCTTCCAGGCTCAAGGCTGGCTGGTAGAACAGCTTCTCTTCCTCTAAGAGTTCAAACAAAAGTCCTGGATGGTCAAGGGTCAAAAGTCAGAGAGCTCTTAGCAAACTAATGAGGTTACAAGGTGCTTGGTTCCCCCAAATTCATGAATGTCCAAAACAGCCTCTCAATAGGTATAAGGCTTTGGCTCACTTAATTTCTTATTGTTTTACTTTCCTCATTTGTAAAATATGGTTGAATTTTATAATCTTTGTGTCCTCCTCCAAATCTGAACTAATTTCCCTTCTTCCTCTTTTCCTTTGCTTTTCCACATTTATTGAGAATTTACTCTAGACGGGTATTCTACTTCCTATTCTTGATTGTTTATATTTTAATATGTATAAGAAATACATATGCGTCTAAAGAAGAAAACATTTCTAATCTAATAGAGATAAGTATAAAGAGCAATAGGAACACGGAAGAGGGAAGAATTATATCATTTATGGTAATAACATTTGAATACAGTTTGAAACTTGACCAGAGTTCCACAAGTTTGTGGTGTATACATGTTTGTGGTTGTATACAAGGAATAGAAGTGTGAAGCTGAAAATACTGAAAATGAGAAAAGTGCAGTGGTAAATTCACCCATACTTACATATTTATTTACTAGAGTCATCTACACTATTCTGGTAGTACCCAAGAGGATTGAGGACAGTACAGAGACCAATCAAAAGTCACTAACCAAATAATTAAAGAGTAGACAAGTATAGTTTCTGAGCAAGTATCACGGAAGTAAGTTAGAAAATAAATACTGAAGGATAATTAGGTAATAATTTCAGCTTGATTATAAAGGAACAAAAAAGAATTAACCGAACCAAACTAAACCACATCATCACCATCACCTCCCTCCAGAAAAAGTTCATAGTGATTTATAGTACATAGCCCAGTGAAGTGAGAAATTAGGGAGATAGGATTTTTTTTTTCTAAAATCTTGAAACATGGAAGTCTCTCCAGTGATGGATTGTGTATTCATATTGGAGGTCAGAGGAATGAATTAGAAGGCTTTCTAAAGCCCTAGAGTCCTTACATTCTCTAATATCTTTGTTTTACCTAAATGGCTGTTCTATGAGGTGACTTTATCCCAAATGAAAAATTGCTGCTACATAATAGTTGATACCAATTAGAAGGCAAATGTGGTGGTCCAGGGAACTATTTTAAATAATACAAAGGAATTCCATTCTTTCTAAATTCGGAGGAAAAGAACCAGAAATATCAGGACAAAACATTTACATTCTCCTCCAGAATGCCAAAAGGCACCATAGAAATGATCATTACAAGGACAGAAACTGTTGGAGTGGGAGGCAGTCAACCAGGGACCAAAGATTGAGTTTTCCTTTTCTACCTTTCCATCCTACCAGTTTTTCCTCAAGTGCTTTCTCGAGAGAATATATGTACTCACTTTTCTAGGCAGACTTAATTACAGTCTTATTTAGAAATAAGACTGGTTTACTTTATCCTTTTAAATTCCTTCCAGGACTAGTGTAGTTTCTATTACAATGCCTTAGGCATTAATAGTATCAGAAAACTAAATATGTAGTCTTGGTTCTAATGCAAAAAGGAAAGGTATGTTTCAAAAAGAAGAAAAGGGATGAGGGTGGGAGTGAGGAAGACTCTTTCCATTTAATGTTCACTTTTAGTAGGAATACAAATATTTGTGATTGGCATTGTGATTTTCACACTGCAGATGAACATCAGTTTTCTGCAATGATGTGAATTAATTCTTGAAGTAGTCTAACAACAAAAAATAATTTTTAAGCACATATTAGGAGGAATAAGTTGTGCTAGGCACTGTGGAGAATGTAAAAGACATAGTCATCACCCTCAGGGGGCTTCTATGCTAATGGGAGATGTGATTAGACTGATGCAGGCATTTGCTTTCCCTACCAAAACCACAATTCATAGCCTTAAGGCATGTCCTATTCACTGTCATGCTGTATAAATCTTCAATGATGCATAACAAATGATCACCTAGTTATCAACTTAAAACAACACACAGTTATTATCTCACAATTTCTGTGAGTCAAAAGTGTGTGCATTATTTATATGCTATTTTAAAAAGGTTGCAATCACAGTGTTGTGTGTTCTAGAGGCTTGGATAGGGAAGAATTGGCTTCCAAACTCATACAGCTTTTTATTGGCCGTTATCTGGAGACCACCTTCAGATTCTAGAAGCCACCTGCAGTTCCTGGCCATGTGGTCCTCTCCATAGGCAGTTCCAAATATGGCTGCTTACTTTTGCAAGGCCAGCAGGCTAATCTCTCCCTCCAGCCTGTTAAGATGGACACTTCTATAATAAAATATGATCATGAAAGTGACATCCCATTACCCTTGCCGTATTCTATTGGTTAGAATCAAGTCACATGTCACACACACTTATGGAGAGATTATACAAGGGTGTCATTCATTGAGAGTTATCTCAGGATGTATTCCCCATACATGGTATTCTACCAGATTTTGCTTCTGACAAAGGAACTCGTTTTACAGCAAATGAAGGGTGCCAATGGGGTCATGTTAGTGAAACTCACTAGTCTGATCATGTACCTAATCACCCTGAAGCAGCTGGCCTGATGGAACTGTGGAACCATTTTTTGAAGACTCAGTTAAGCATAAACTGGTTGGCAGTACCTTGAGGGTCTGGAGAAAATGTCCTCCAGGGTGCTGTATATGCTCTAAATCAGTTAAACTTCTGTGCTGTTTCTTCAATAGCCATATTCATGGGTCTGGGGATCAAGGGCTGGAAATGGGAGTGGCTCCTCTATTAACCCTAACGTTCCACTAGTGAAATTTTCATTTTCCATCTCTCCATCCCTAGGATTTGCTGGTCTAGAAGTTTTAGTTAACAATGAGGAAATGCTTCTGGCAGGAGATACAGCAATGGTTCCACAAACTGGAAGTTGAAAATCTCCCTGGAAACGTTGAGTTCTTTATGTCAATAAATCTACAATCAAAGATAAAGTTCTGGTACTGGTTCAGATATGTGATCCCGACCAGGTAGAGGAAATTTTGTTGCTACTCCACTATGGAGTAAGGAGGAGTATATCTGGGACGTAGCAGGTTTACCTGGGACACCTCTAAGCATTTCCATGTCCTGTGATTTAAGTCAGTAGAGAACTAAATAGGCCGATATAGGGAGGACTTCTAATGGCCTAGACCTTTTAGAAATGAATATTCAGGCCCCTCACCAGACAAAGGTGCTTGCTGAGGCCAAGAAATATAGAATAGGTAGAGGAAGGTAATTATAAATATGTAGTATGACCACACAATGGGTTGCTGTTATTATAAAATTATTTAATATTATTTGTTATATATATATATATCTCATAATTTTTCTCTCCTTTCCAATTTTCTTACCATACAACATATGATATATTAATATTAGTTGTGTGTGCCCTATTGCTGCTGTAACGAATCACCACAAATTTAGTGATTAAACCCAAATTTATTCTCATGTAGTTTTGGAGATCAGAAGTCCACAATCAGTCTCAGTCGGCTAAAATCAAGGTGTTGACAGGACAGGTTCCATCTGGAGGCTCTGAGGAGAGAATCTGTTTCTTTGCTTTCTCCAGCTTTTAGTGTTCACGTGTATTCCTATGTCTGAGGCCCTTTCCTTCATCTTCAGAGCCCATCACTCCAATCTCTGCTCTGGTATCCCATCACCTCCTTCTCTGCCTCTGTCTCCTCCTCTGTCCCTCTTATAAGGACTCTTGTGATTACGTTGAATACATCCAGATAACGTTGAATAGCCTCCTCATTTCAAGATCTTCTATTTAATTACATTTGCAAAGTCTCTTTTGTCATAAAACAACATTCACAGGTTCCAGGGATTAGGATGTGAACACATTAAGGATGTGTGTGTGGCAGGTACTAGTCTACCTACCACAATTGTTAAACTGGATTTCTCAGTATTTAAGTTTCAGGGTATCAAAGCAGATATGTGACTCAGCTAAAAGAGGAATAAATATTACCTAATGACAAAAAGGAATTTTATATTCTTTTATGGGGAAAAAGTCTGCTTTTGGCTGTATGAGATATGGTTCCATTAGTTAGAAGGAGACATGATTTTGCAATTGTTTTTGTTTGGAAGAGAAAGTAAGTTAAAAGATGTATTTGGATGGTAAGTGTATATAGATGTCAAAGTAGATTTTTGTCTCAGTTTAGCTAAAATAGAACTACATTTCCCAGAATCCTCTTTGTGTTTAGTTTAGAGATGGTGTGGACCACGAGAGATGTTTTGTGCGAGATTTGGCAGGCAGCAGTGGAGAGGCCATATTCCATTGCATGAGGACATGAGTCTAGGGCTTGAGGCACTGCATTCATGCTTATCTGCTAGCTCACCCAGTTGGTGTGGGGCAGAAGACTAGCACACTGCCCTTACAGCTCCTATTGGGCATTTTGTGTTTGCTTCTCCAACCTCTTGGCTAGGTACACGTTCATCTCTATGAAAAAGGACACAAAACTCTCCTAAAAGACACCTCCATTATAAAAGTTAACGTCTTAGAAGCTGTGAAGACCAGTGTGGCTTCTAGTCCATCACTGTAGGTTCCAGCTCAGTCTCACAAGCTGCAGATTGTTCTTGCTTCACATTCTTGATATATGTCTTCCTTTCCTGACTGCCACAAGTACATAAGGTCATATCTCTATATCACATTTTAATTTATTTGTTAGGATACACCTATATTAATATATACATTCAGATGCTGCATAACATTTCAATCAACAAATGACCACACATATGATGGTGGTCCTGTAAGATTGTAATTTCACATTTTTACTGTCCCTTCTCTATATTTAGATAGACAAATACCATTGTGTTACAGTTGCCTACAGTATTTAGTCCAGTAACTGCTGTACATGTTTGTATCCTAGGAGCAATAGGCTATACCCTATAGCCTAGATGTGTAGTAGGCTATACCATATAGGTTTGTGTAAGTTCACTCTGATGTTTGCACAACGATAAAATCACCTAATGACACATATCTCAGAACATATCCCTGTGGCTAAGCGATGCATGACTGTATGGTAATACATTAATCATATACATCTTCCAGTGGTTGTTCCTTTAATTGAATCCTGGCTCCTTGAGCAGAGGATACTTCTCTGCCTGGGATTGGTTTAGTCATATGACTGGTGTTCGTCTCTGGAATGTGAGTGGATATTATGCTAGAAGTTTTAAGTGTGCTTGTATAGTTTGGCTTGCTCCTTGCACCCCACTGGTCCTCCATGAGAAGTACATGTTCTTGTACTCTTGTATCTTTAGCTCCTGTATCTTTAGCTCAGGCCCCAAAACAAAACATGTGTCGAGCAGACATGAGCTGAATTCTCAACCTGGAGCTAAAGTTCAGCCAACCATCAGCCTCAAACAGAGCATGTTAGCTACGCCCAGCTGTATCAGTGGAAGTACATTCATTTTGCAGACCCGTGACTATGAAAATAAACAAAATTCTTCTTTTAGGGTAATGGTTTTTAACAAAGGATGAGGGGTAGGTTTTGTCCCCCCAGGGAACATTTGGCAGCATCTGGAGATATTTTTGGTTATTGCAGCTGGGCAGAGGTGTGTTAGTTTCTTATTGCTTCTGTGAACAAATTATCACAACCATAGTGGCTTAAAGCAACTCAGGCTTATTCTCTTACAGTTATAGAGGTTAGATGTCTGAAATGAATTTTAGAGGCGGACATCAATGTGTTGGTAGAGCTGCATTCCTTCTGGAGGCTCTAGGGGAGAATCAGTTTCCTTGACTTTTTCAGCTTCTAGAGGCAGTCTACATTTCCTTGGCTTGCAGCCCCTTCCTCTGTCATCAAAGTATATTACTCTGATTTTTCTTTCCATTGTCACATCTCCTCTCTTTGACTTTGGCCATTTTGCTTCCCTCTTGTAAGGACCTTTGTGATTACATTGGTCTACCTGGATGATTCAGAATAACCTCTCCATCTCAAGATCCTTAGCAGAATAACATCTTCAAAGCCCATTTTACCATGTAAGGTAATATATTTCTAGATTCTGTGAGTTAGGATGTGGATATATTTAGGTAGCTAATATTCTGTTTATTGTAGGAATTCTACTGGCATCTAGTGGGTAGAAACCTGGAATGCTGCTAAATATCTTACCATGAAGAGGACAGGCCCCACAATAAATAATGACCTGACATGAATGTCAATCTGTTAAGGTTGAGAAACTGTTTTAGGGCAATTTCTTGTAGAGTATTTTTTAACACATTTGCTGAATAATACGCTGATAATGATGATTCTTTAAAATTATCTCCATGAGTGTGTAAGAAAAAGCAAGTAACTAAGAGTCATAAGAGTCAGGCTTGTTTTTAAATACAAATTTGTTATATATTAACTATTTGGAGTGGGGAAAATCTACCCCTGAGCGTAAACATTTTATAATTGTTCTCATCTATTAAAAGGGAACAATAATACACTAGCTCATGGAGTTGCTCTATGTCGTAAGATAACTTTACATATGCCAAAGATCTCTGTAAAGAGACAGACAAAACCAACGTATGTTTTTATTATTAGGGTATCCAGAATTCTATTTTGATAAAAATTGCATTATAGTAATAAAACATGGTGGGACTTAAAAAACAGGTCACAATATTTACCACAAGATTCTATGGGTTTCCTAAAAAATAAATTTTATTTTATATATTGAAGGTACACAACATTATGAGATACATACATACTAAAAAGATTACTATAGTAGAACAAATTAACACACCCATCATCTCACTTTGTTACCCATTTTCTCACCTTTAACTAGCCTACTACATCTTGACACGGGTATGGATGCAATTTCATAGCAAAAATTGGTAATTGATTTAAAAAAACTTGTTTAATTTTTTCGGGGGCATATTTGTCAGTTACATAAGATTTTTCCATACATGTGTGCAAGTGTAATAATCACATTGTGAAAAAATGGGGTATCTATCCCCTCAAGCATTTATCCTTTGTATTACAAACAATCCGTGTATACTATTTCAGTTAATTTAAAATGTAATGTTAAATAATTATTATTAAACATAGTCACCCTGTTGTGCTATCAATATACTAGGTCTTATTTATTTTTCTAACTTTTTTTTATCCATTAACCATCCCCACCTACCTCCCCAAGCCCCCACTATCTTTGCCAGCTTATGATAACTATCTTTCTACTCTCTACGTCCATGAATTCAGTTGTTTTGATTTTTAGATACCACAAATAAGTGAGAACACACAAAGCTTGTCTTTCTGTGTCTGGCTTATTTCACTTAACATAGTGACCTTCTATTCGGTCCATGTTCTTGCAAATGACTGGATCTCATTTTTTATGACTGATTAGTACTCCATTGTGTGTAAGTACCACATTTCCTTTATCTGTTCATCTGTTAATGAACACTTCTGTTGCTTCCAAATCTTGACTATTGTGAATAGTGCTGCAACAAACATGGGAGTGCAGATAACCTCTTAGATATCTTGATTTGCTTTATTTTTGGTATATACTCAGCAATGAAATTGCTGGATCATATGGTATCTCTATTTCTAGTTTTTTGAGAAACTTCCAAAGTGTTTTCCGTAATGGTTGTACTAATTTACATTCCCAAAAACAGTGTATGAGAATTCCCTTTTCTCTACATCCTCACCAGCATATGTTATTGCTTGACTTTTGGGTAAAGGCCATTTTAACTTGGGTGAGATGATATGCCATTGTAGTTTTGATTTGCATTTCTTTGATGATCAATGATATTGAGCACATTTTCATGTGCCTGTTTGTCATTTGGATATCTTCTTTTGAGAAATGTCTATTCTAATCTTTTTCCCATTTTGAAATCCAATTATTAGATTAAAAAATAAAGTTGTTTGAGCTCCTCATATATTCTGGTTATTAAGCCCTTTCAGATACGTAGCTTGCAAATTTTTTTTTCCATTCTGTGGGTGATCTCTTCACTTTGTTGATTGTTTCCATTATGGTGTAGGAGCTTTTTAACCTGGTGTGATCACATTTGCCCATTTTTGCTTTGGTTGCCTGTGCTTGTGAGTTATTACTCAAGAAGTTTCCAAATGTCCTGGAGAATTTTCCTAATGTTTTCTTATAGAAGTTTCATAGCTTGAGGTCTTAGATTTAAGTCTTCTGTCCATTTTTATTTGATTTTTGTATGTGGTGAGAGATAGGGCTCTAGTTTCATTCTTCTGCATATGGATTTCCAGATTTCCCAGCACCATTTATTGAAGAGACTCTGTTTTCCCCCATGTATTTTCTTGGCATCTTTGTTGAAAATGAGTTCACTGTGGGTGTGTGGATTCGCTTCTGGGTTCTTTATTCTGTTCCTTTGGTCGATGTGTCTGTTTTCATGCCAGTACCACACTGTTTTGATTATTATTGCTCTGTAGTATAATTTGAAGTCAGGTAATGTAATTCCTCCAGTTTTGTTCTTTTGTTTAGGATAGCTTCGGCTGTTCTGGGTATTTTGTGATTCCATATAAATTTTATGATAGCTTTTATTTCTTGGAAAAATGGCATTGGTAATTTAATAGAAATTGCATTGACTCTGTAGATTGCTTTTGGTAGTATGAACATTTTAACACTATTTTGTTCTTTCAATCCATGATCATGGAATATCTTTCCACTTTTTTGGTGTCCTCTTCAATTTCTTTCATCAGTGTTTTACAGTTTTCATTGTAAAGATCTTTCGCTTCTTTGGTTAAGTTAGTTCCTAGGTATTTTTTTTGTGTGTGGCTATTGCAAGGGGGATCACTTTTAAATTTCTTTTTCGGATGGTTCACTGCTGTCATATGGTAATGTTACTGAGTTTTGTGTGTTGATTTTGTATCCTGCAAGATTACTGAATTTGTTTATCCGTTCTAATAGGTCTTTTTGGTGAAGTCTTTAGGTTTTACCAAATATAAGATGATATCACCTGCAAACAAGCATAATTTGGCTTCTCCCATTCCAATTTGGATACCCTTTATTTCTTCCTTTTGTCTGATTGTTCTAGCTGGGATTTCCAGTACAATGTTAAATAACATTGGTGAAAGTGGGTATCCTAGTCATGTTCCAGCTCTTACAGAAAAGCCATTCAGATTTTTCCCAATCACATGAGACTATCTGTGGGTCTGTCACTTATGGCCTATATTATGTTGAGGTATGTTTGTTCTGTACCCAGTTTTTTGAGGGTTTTTATCATGAACGGATGTTGAATTTTATCAAATGCTTTTTCAGCATCAATTGAAATGATTATATCATTTTAGTTCTTCATTCTCTTGATATGATGTATCACATTGATTGATTTGCATATGTTGAATTATCCTTGCATCCCTGGGATAAATCCTATTTGGCCGTGGATGAATGATCTTTTTAATGTATTGTTGAATTCAGTTTGCTAGTATTTTGTTGAGGATTTTTGCATCAATATTCATCAGATATATTAACCTGTAGTTTTCTTTTTTGATGTAGCTCTGTCTGCTTTTGGTATTAGGATAGTACTGGTCTCAAAAGATGAGTTTGGAAGTGTTTTCACCTCTTTTGTTTTTTGGAATAGCTTGAGTAGGATTGGCATTAGTTCTTTAAATGTCTGATAGAATTCAACAGTGAAGCCACTGGCTCCTGGGCTTTTCTTTACTGGGAGACTTTTTATTACAGCTTCAATTATGTTACTCATTATTAATCTGTTTATGTTTTTAATTTCTTCTTGATTCAATCTTGGTCGGTTGTATGTATACGGGAATTTGACAATTTCTTCTAGATTTTCCAATATATTGGCATATAGTTTCTCGCAGTAGCTACTAACGAGCCTTTGAATTTCTGCAGTATCAGTTTTAATGTCTCCTGTTTCATTTTTGACTTTATTTGTCTGGATCTTCTGTCTTTTTTTTAGTCTAGCCAAAGGTTTGTCAATTTTATTTAAATTTTCAAGAACCAACTTATTGTTTCATTGATCTTTTGTATTGTTTTGTTCATTTGAAATTCATTTATTACTGCTCTGATATTTATTATTTCTTTTCTTCTACTAATTTTGGGTTTGCTTTGCTTTTGCTTTTCTAGTTCTTCAAGATTCATTGTTAAGCTTTTTATTTGATGTTTGTCTTCTCTTTCAACATAGGCACTTGTAGGTATAAAATTCTGTTACCACTGCTTTTCCTTTATCCCATAGATTTTGGTATGTTGTGTTTCCTTTATTATTTGTTGCAATAAATATTTGAATTTCCTACTTAATTTTTTCATTGACCTACTGGTCTGTCAGAAGTATATTGTTTAATTTCTACCTTTGGATAGGTTCCAAAATTCCTCTCATTATGATTTTCTAGTTTTATTCCATTGTGGCCAGATAAGATGCCTGATATTATTTCAATATTTTTACTATTTTAAAAGTTGTTTTGTGACCTAACATAGGGCTAATCTTTGAGAATAATTCATGTGCTGGGGAAAAGGAAGTGTATTCTGCAGCCACTGGATGAAATGTTCTGAAATATTTATTATGTCCATTTAGTCTATAGTGAAGATTAAGTCCAATGTTTCTTTGTTGATTTTCCATCTGGAAGATCTGCCCAATGCTGAAAGTGTGGTGTTACTGTATTACTGTTATTGTATTGGAGTCTATCTCTCTCTTTAGTCCTATAATGTTTGCTTTATTTATCTGTGTTCTATAGTGCTGGATGCATATATATTTAAAATTGTTATATCCTCTTGCTGAAGTGACTCATTTATCATTACATAGTAATGTTCTTTGTATTTTCTTATAACTTTTGTCTTGAAATCAGTTTTGTCTGATATACATATAGCTACTTTTGCTCTTCTCCCAATCTTTTATTTTCAGTCTATGTGTAGGCAACAGGTCAGTGGGTCTTGTTTGTCTTTTAATTGGAGAGTTTAGTTCATTTATATACAATGTTATTATTGATAAGTAAGGAGCTACTCTTTCCATTTTGTTTTCTGGGTGTTTTGTGGTCTTCTCTTTTTTCTTTCTTTCCTTTTTGTCTTCCTTTTAGCGAAAGTAATTTTCTCTGGAGATATGATTTAGTTTCTTCCTTTTTATTTTTTGTGTATCTGTTGTATGAGTTTGGTTTGAGGTTACCATGAGGCTCACAAATACTATCTTATAATGCATTATTTTAAGCTGATAACAACTTAACACTGTTTGCATAAACAAACAAGCAAAAAGAATTAATCGAATTAAAATTAATTCAAACTCTACACCTTAATTTTGTCCCTTCTCTTTTTAACTTTTTGTTGTTTCTATTTCTATCTCATTGTACTGTCTGTCTTGAAATGTTGTTATAGTTATCATTTTTGTTGTGTTCATTGTTTCGTTTTTCTACTTAAGATAAGAGTAGTTTACACACCACAGGTACAATGTTAAAATATTCTGTGTTTCTCTGTATCCTTACTATTACCAGTGAGTTATTTACCTTCAGATGATTTCTTCTTGTTCATTAACATCCTTGTCTATCAGATTGAAAAACTCCCTTTAGCATTTCTTGTGGGACAGGTCTTCTGTTTATAAAATCTCTCAGCTTTTGTTTGTTAGGGAGGGTCTTCATTTCTCCTTCATGTTTGAAGTATATTTTCACCATTTGGTGCTCTACCTCCCCTGTGGCTGGTACCTAAGGTGCTAGACAAAGTTCCCTTTACTTTTCCCTCCACTTCTCTCAAACAGGAGTCTCACCTCATATCTACCACAGCTGGGGATCTGCTGAGTCTTACTTGAAGCCAGAAAATCTCAGAGTCTCATCCAAGGCCCTTGAGATAGTACCTGGGTATCACAGCTCTTATTCAAGGCCCAAGGCCTCTTCAGTTAGCGAGTGATGAAGCCTGCCAGGACTAGGTCCTTCCTTTCAAGGAAGCTGCTTTCCTTCTGTCTCAGGGTGTGTCTGGAAATGTCTTCTGGGAGCTAGGGCCAGGAAAAGGGGGCTCACAATTCTGACCAGTGTCCTACACTGCTGTGACTGAGCTGGTGAAATGGTTTGACTCTGTGTCCCCATCCAAATCTCATTTTGAATTGTAGTTCCCATAATCCTTACATGTCATGGGAGGGATATAGTGGGAGGTAATTTAATCATGGGGACAGTCACCCCCATGCTGCTCTCATGGTAGTGAGTGAGTTCTGACAAGATCTGATGGTTGTATAAGGGGCTATCCCCCCTTTGCTTGGCACTTCTCCTTCCTGCCGCCATGTGAAAAAGGACATCTTTGCTTCCCCTTCTGCCATGATTGTAAGTTTCCTGAGGCCTCCTCAGCCCTGCAGAACTGTGAGTCAATTAAATCTCTTTCCTTTACAAATTACTCAGTCTTGGGCAGTTCTTTATAGCAGTGTGAGAATGGACTAGCACAGCTGGTATCCAAGATTCAAGACAAAGATCTCTGCACTCTTTCTCTACTCTCCTCAAAGGAAAGGAAGGAGTCTCTTTTGGAGCCGTAAGCTGTGCATCGTGGGGATAGAGGAGGACTGATGCCACCACTCCATTAGCCACCTCAGCTGGGTCTCAGTAGTTTCTGTGCCCCCCAGTCCTCTGGCTCTGGGCCCAGTTAAGCATTAAGATTCACCTAGGAGTTGCATCCTTTGTGGTCTAGACTGCATTTCACATTTATTTAATACCCTAGAGCACTTTAGACCACCACAATGGTGAGGCTTGTCAGAACTCAAGTTCCCACCAATGGTATTGCCAGCATCTTCCCTCTGGCTTGGGCTGGTTTAAATGCTCCCTCAGTGGGCAGATATCAGCTGAGTTTGGTCTAGTTTTTCTTTCTGCTATAGCATAGCAGCACTAAGTTCAATGTCTCAAAATTGCTGGCTCTCCCTCTCTGCAGCACACAGAAACAGTCTCCACACCATGTTGTCACAGCCGGGGCATGGGGAAGGGTGGTGTCAGCAATTCAGGACTGTTTTTCTGCCTCTTCAGTGCCTCTTTCAGTGATATAAATTTAAAACCAGGTGCTGTGAATGCTCATCTGATTTTTGGTTCTTATGAAGATGCTTTTCTTGTATGGATAGTTGTTAAACTGGTGTCCTTGCAGGGGTGATGATTGATGGAGCCTTCTATTCCACCATCTTGCTCCATCTTCCATTTATTTTTTTATTAGAAAAAAATGGGAAATTTTTTAAAATTGAAAAGTCCTATTTTTACTAAAAATTGAAAGTCAGGCATATCTTTACTAAAAATGGATGCTGCTTTCAAAATTTTTAACCCTTATTCCTTTTTACTTGGTAATAGTTGATGGTTTTGATCAGAATAAAAAACTAATATAATATAAATTAAATACCTTTTTCAAAAATTTTATTTTAATTTCCAGGATACATGTGCAGAACATGCAGGTTTGTTACGTAGGTAAACATATGCCATGGTGCTTTGCTGCACCTATCAATTTATCACTTAGGTATTAAGCCTCACATGCATTTATCCTGATGCTGTCTCTACCCCCGCATCCCCAATAGGCTGCAGTGTGTGGTGTTCCCCTCCCTGTGTCCATATGTTATCACTGTTTGGCTCCCACTTATGAGTGAGAACATGGAGTGTTTGGTTTTGTGTCCCATTGTTCATTTGCTGAGAATGATGGTTTCCAGCTTCATCCATGTCCCTGCAAAGGACATGATCTCATTCCTTTTTTATGGCTGCATAGTATTCCATGATGTATATGTACCACATTTTCTTTATCCAGTCTATCACTGATGGGCATTTGGGTTGATTTCAAGTCTTTGCTATTGTGAATAGTGCTGCAATAAACTTACATGCATGTGTCTTTATATTAGAATGATTTGTATTCCTTCAGTTATGTAGCCAATAATGGGATTGCTGGGTCCAATGGTACTTCTGGTTCTAGATCCTTGAGGAATCACCACATCATCTTCCACAATGGTTGAACTAATTTACATTCCCACCAACAGTGTAAAAACTGTAAAAGTGTTCTTATTTCTCCACAGCTTTGCCAGCATCTGTTGCTTCTTCAGTTTTTAATAAATGCCATTCTCACTGGCATGAGGTGGTAACTCATTGTTGTTTTGATTTGCATTTCTCTAATGATCAGTGATGTTAAGCTTTTTTTCATATGGTTTTTGGCCACATAAATATCTTCTTTTGAGAAGTGTCTGTTCGTGTGCTTTGCCACTTTTTGATGGGGTTGTTTTTTTTTCTTGTAAATTTGTTGAAGTTCCTTGTAAATTCTGGATATTAGACCTTTGTCAGATGGGTAGATTGAAAAAATTTTCTCCCTTTCTATAGGTCGCCTGTTCAGTCTAATGATAGTTTCTTTTGTTGTGCAGAAGCTCTTTAGTTTAATTAGATCCCAACTGTCAATTTTTGCTTTTGTTGCAGTTGCTTTTGGTGATTTCATCATAAAATCTTTGCCCATGCCTATGTCCTGAATGGTATTGTCTGGATTTTCTTCAAGGGTTTTTATGACTTGGGGGTTATACATTTAAGTCTTTATTCCATCTTGAGTTAATATTTGTATAAGGTGTAAGAAAAGGGTCTGGTTTCAGTTTTTCTACATATGGCTAACCAGTTTTCCCAGCACCATTTATTAAATAGGGAATTTTCCCCCATTGCTTGTTTTTGTCAGGTTTGTCAAAGATCAGATGGTTATAGATTTGTGGTCTTATTTCTGAGATCTCTATTCTGTTCGATTGGTCTAAGTGTCTGTTTTGGTACCAGTATCATGCTGTTTTGGTCACTGTAGCCTTATAGTATAGTTTGAAGACAGGTAGCATAATGCCTCCAGCTTTGTTCTTTTTGCTTAGGATTGTCTTGGCTATATGGGCTCTTTTTAGTTCCATATGAATTTTACAGTAGCTTTTCCTTTAATTCAGTGAAGAATGCCAATCGTAGTTTGATAGGAGTAGTATTGAATCTATAAATTACTTCGGGCAGTATGGTCATTTTCACGATTTTGATTCTTTCTATCCATGAAAATGGAATTTTTCTCCATTTATTTATGTCCTCTCTGATTTCTTTGAGCAGTGGCTTGTAATTCTCCTTTCAGAGGTCTCTCACGTCCCTTGTTACCGCTATTCCTAGGTATTTTATTCTCTTTTTAGCAATTGTGAATGGGAGTTCATTCATGATTTGGCTCTCTGCTTGTCTGTTGTTGGTGTATAGAAATGCTTTTGATTCTTGCACATTGATTTTGTATCCTGAGACTTTGCTGAAGTTGCTTATCAGCTTAAGGAGCTTTTGGGCCAAGATGATGGGGCTTTCTAGATACAGGATCATGTCATCTGCAAACAGAGACAATTTGACATCCTCTCTTCCTATATGTATACCCTTTATTTTTTTCTCTTGCCTGGCTTCCCTGGCCAGAATTTTCAATACTATGTTGAATAGGAGTGTTGAGAGTGGGCATCCTTCTCTTGTGGCAGTTTTAAAAGGGAATGCTTCCAGCTTTTGCCCATTTGGTATGATATTGGCTGTGGGTTTGTAATAAATGGCTCTTGTTATTTTGAGATATGTTCCATCAATATGTAGTTTATTGAGAGTTTTTAACATAAAGAGATGTTAAATTTTATGGAAGGCCTTTTCTGTGTGTATTGAGATAGTCATGTGGTTTTTGTCATTAGTTCTGTTTTTGTGACGAATTATGTTTATTGATTTGCATTTGTTGAACCAGCATTGCATCCCAGGGGTGAAGCCAACTTGAGTATGATGGATAAGCTTTTCAATGTGCTGCTGGATTCAGTTTGCCAGAATTTTATTAAGGAGTTTTACCTTGATGTTCATCAGGGATATTGAACTGAAGTTTTCTTTTTTTGTTGAGTCTCTGCCAAGTTTTGGTATTAGGATGATGCTGGCCTTACAAAATGAGTAAGGGAGACATCCCTTTTCTTCAATTGTTTGGAATAGTTTCAGAAGGAATGGTACCATCTCCTCTTTATACCTCTGGTAAAATTCAGCTGTAGATCTGTCTGGTTCTGGGCTTTTTTTTTTTTTTTTTATTGGTAGGCTATTTATTACTGCCTCAATTTCAGAACTTGTTATTGGTCTTTTCAAGGATTTAGCTTCTTCCTGGTTTAGTCTTGGGAGGGTTTATGTGTCCATGAATTTATCCATTTATTTTTTATTTTCTAGTTCATTTGCATAGAGGTGTTTATAGTATTCTCTGATAGTTGTTTGCATTTCTGTGCAGTGATATCCCCTTTATCATTTTTTATTGTGTCTATTTGAATCATCCTTCTCTTCTTCTCTATTAGTCTAGCTAGCAGTCTATCTATTTTGTTAATTTTTTCAAAAAACCAACTCTTGGATTCACTGATTTTTTTGAAGGATTTTTTATGTCTCTATGTCCTTCAGTTCCACTCCAATCTTAATTATTCCTTGTCTTCTGCCGGCTTTTGGATTTGTTTTCTCTTGCTTCTCTGGTTATTTGTGTTGTGTTGTTAGGGTGTTGATTTGAGATCTTTCTAGCTTTTTAATGTGGGCATTTAGTGCTATAAATTTCCCTCTTAGCACTGCTTTACCTGTGTCTCAGAGATTCTGGTATGTTGTCTCTTTGTTCTCATTGGTTTCAAAGAGCTTCTTGATTTTTGCCTCAAGTTTATTATTTAGGAGTAATTCGGGAGCAGGTTATTCAATTTTCATGTAGTTGTGTGGTTTTGAGTGAGTTTCTTAATCTTAAATTCTAATTTGATTGCATTGTGGTCTGAGAGACTGTTATGATTTCAGTTCTTTTAAAATTTTATTTATTTATTTATTTTTTATACACTTTAAGTTCTGGGATACATGTGTAGAACCTGCAGTTTGTTACACAGGGATACATGTGCCATGGTAGTTTGCTACACCCATCAACTCATCATCTACATTAGGTATTTCTCCTAATGCTATCCCTCCCCTTGCCCCCCAGCCCCTGACAGGCCCCAGTGTGTGATGTTCCCCTCCCTGTGCCCATATGTTCTCATTATTTAGCTCCTACTTATGGGTGAGAACATGCCATGTTTGGTTTTCTGTTCCTGTGATAGTTTGCTGAGAATGATGGCTTCCAGCTTCATCCATATCTCTGCAAAGGACATGAACTCATTCTTTTTTTATGACTGCCTTGTATTTCATGGTGTTTATGTGCCACATTTTCTTTATCCAGTCTATCATTGATGGGCATTTGGGTTGGCTCCAAGTCTTTGCTATTGTGAATAGTGCTGCAATAAACATACGTGTGCATATGTCTTTATAGTAGAATGATTTATAATCCTTTGGGTATATACCCAGCAATGGGATTGCTGGGTCAAATGGTACTTCTAGTTCCAGATCCCTGGGGAATTGCCACACTGTCCTGCCCAATGGTTGAAGTAATTTACACTACCACCAACAGTGTAAAAGCGTTCCTGTTTCTCCACATTCTCTCCAGCATCTGCTGTTTCCTGACTTTTTAATGATTGTCATATTAACTGGTGTGAGATGGTATCTCATTGTGGCTTTTATTTGCATTTCTCTAATGACCAGTGATGATGAGCTTTTCTTCGTGTGTTTGTTGGCCGCATAAATATCTTCTTTTGAGAGATGTCTGTTCATATCCTTTGCCCACTTTTTGATGGGGTTGTTTTATCTTTGTAAATTTGTTAAAGTTCCTTGTAGATTCGGGATATTAGCTCTTTGTCAGATGAATAGATTGCAAAAATTATCTGCCATTTTGTTGGTTGCTTGTTCACTCTGATGATAGTTTCTTTTGCTGTGCAGAAGCTCTTTAGTTTAATTAGATCCCATTTGTCAATTTTGGCTTTTGTTGCAATTGCTTTTGGTGCTTTAGTCATGAAGTCTGCCCATGCCTGTGTCCTGAATGGTATTGCCTAGGTTTTCTTCTAGGGTTTTTATCATTTTAGGTATTACATTTAAATCTTTAGTCCATCGTGTGTTAATTTTTGTATAAGGTGTAAGGAGGGGATCCAGTTTCAGTTTTCTGTGAATGGCTAGCTGGTTTCCCCAACACCATTTATTAAATAGGGAATCTTTTCCCCAGTGCTTGTTTTTGTCAGGTTTGTCAAAGATCAGATAGTTGTAGATGTGTGGTATTATTTCTGAGGCCTCTGTTCTGTTCCATTGGTCTATGTGTCTGTTTTGATATCAGAACCATGATGTTTTGATCACTGTAGACTTGTAGTATAATTTGAAGTCAGGTAGCTTGATGCCTTCAGCTTTGTTCTTTTTTCTTAGGATTGTCTTGGCTATACGAGCTCTTTTTTGCTTCCACATGAAATTTAAAGCAGTTTTTCTTCTAATTCTATGAAGAAAGTAAATGGTAGCTTGATGGGGATAGCATTAAATCTATAAATTACTTTGAGCAGTATGGCCATTTTCATGATATTGATTCTTCCTATTCATAAGCATGGAATGTTTTTTCATTAGTTTGTGTCCTCTCTTATTTCCTTGAACAGAGGTTTGTAGTTCTCCTTGAAGAGGTCCTTCACATTCCTTGTAAGTTGTATTCTTAGGTTTTTATTCTCTTTGTAACAATTGTGAATGGGAGTTTGCTCATGATTTGGCTCTCTGTTTGTCTGTTATTGGTGTATAGGAATGCTTTTGATTTTTGCATGTAATTTTGTATCCTGAGAGTTTGCTGAAGTTGCTTATCAGGTTAAGGAGTTTTTGGGCTGAGATGGTGGGGTTTTCTAAATATACAATCATGTCATCTGCCAACAGAGATAATTTGACTTCCTCTCTTCCTATTTGAATACACTTTATTTCTTCCTCTTGCCTGATTGCCTTGGCCAGAACTTCCAATACTATGTGGAATAGGAGTGGTGAGAGAGGGCATCCTTGTCTTGTGCCAATTTTCAAAGGGAATGCTTCCTGCTGTTCCCCATTCAGTATGATATTGGGTTTTGGTTTTTCATAAATAGCTCTTATTATTTTGAAATATATTCCATCCATACCTAGTTTATTGAATGATTTTAGCATGAAGGGCGGTTGAATTTTATCAAAGGCCTTTTCTGCATCTATTGAGATAATCATGTGGTTTTAGTCATAAAGTCTTTGCCCATGCCTATGTCCTGAAAGGTATTGCCTAGGTTTTCTTCTAGGGTTTTAGGTCTCACATTTAAATCTTTAATCCATCTTGAGTTAAGTTTTATATAAGGTGTAAGGAAGGGATCCAGTTTCAGTTTTCTGCATATGGCTAGTCAGTTTTCCCAACACCATTTATTAAATAGGGAATCTTTCCCTATTGCTTGTTTTTGTCAGGTTTGTCAAAGATCAGATGGTTGTAGATGTGTGGTGTTATTTCTGAGGCCTCTGTTCTGTTCCATTGGTCCATCTATTTTGGTACCAGAACCATGCTGTTTTGGTTACTGTAGCCTTGTAGTATAGTTGGACATCAGGTAGCATGATGCCTCCATCTTTGTTCTTTTTGCTTAGGATGGTCTTGCCTATATGGGTTCTTTTTTGGCTCCGTATGAAATTAAAAGTAATTTAAAATAATGTTTTCTAATTCTGTCAAGAAAGTCAGTGGTAGCTTGATGGGGATAGCACTGAATGTATGAATTACTTTGGGCAGTATGATCATTTTCACGATATTGAGTCTTCCTATCCATGAGCATGGAATGTTTTTTCATTTATTTGTGTCCTCTCTTATTTCCTTGAGCAGTGGTTTAAATCCTCCATAAAATACTGGCAAACAGAATCCAGCAGCACATCAAAAAGCTTATCCACCATGATCAAGTTGACTTCATCCCTGGGATGCAAGGCTCGTTCAACATACACAAATCAATAAATTTAATCCATCACATGAACAGAACCAATGACAAAAACCGCATGATTATCTCAGTAGATGCAGAAAAGACCTTCAATAAAATTCAACACTCCTTCATGATAAAAACACTCAATAAACTAGGTTTTGATAGAGCATATCTCAAAATAATAAGAACTATTTATGACAAGCCCACAGCCAATATCATACTGAATGGGCAGAAGCTAGAAGCATTCCCTATGAAAACCAGCACAAGTCAAGGGTGCCCTCTGTCACCACTCCTATTAAACATAGTATTGGAAGTTCTGGCCAGGGTAGTCAGGCAAGAGGAAGAAGTAAAGGGTATTCACATAGGAAGAGAGGAAGTCAAGTTGTCTCTGTTTGGAAATGACGTTATTGTATATTTAGAAAATCCCATCATCTCAGCCCAAAATCTCCTTAAGCTGATAAGCAACTTCAGCAGTCTCAGGATACAAAATCAATGTGCAACAATCTCAAGCATTCCTGTATACCAATAATAGACAGAGAGCCAAATCATGAGTGAACTCCCACTTGCAATTGCTACAAAGAGAATAAAACACCTAGGAATACACCTTACAAGGGATGTGAAGGACCTCTTCAAGGAGAAATCTTTTTTTTTTTTTTTTTAATTATGCTTGAGTTCTGGGACATGTGCAGAACGTGCAGGTTTGTTATATAGTATACATGTGCCATGGTGGTTTGCTTCACCCATCAACCCGTCATCTACCTTAGGTATTTCTCCTAATGCTATTCCTTCCCTTGGCCCCAAACCTGACAGGCCCCAGGGTGTGATGTTCCCCTCCCTTTGCCCATATGTTTTCATTGTTCAACTCCTACTTATGGGTGAGAACATGCAGTGTTTGGTTTTCTGTTCCTGTGTTACCTTGCTGAGAATGATGATTCCCAGGTTCATCCATGTCCCTGCAAATGGTATGAACTCATTCTTTTTTATGGCTGCATAGTATTCCATCATGTATATGTGCCACATTTTCTCTATCCAGTCTATTATTGATGGGCATTTGGGTTGGCTCCAAGTCTTTGCTATTATGAATACTGCTGCAATAAACATACATGCATCTTTGTAATAGAATGGTTTATATTCCTTCAGGTATGTACCCAGTAATGGGATTGCTGGGTCAACTGGTATTTCTAGTTCTAGATCCTTGAGGAATCACCACATCATCTTGCACAATGGTTGAACTGATTTACACTCCCACCAACAGTGTAAAAGCATTCCTATTTCTCCACATCCTCTCCAGCATCTGTTGTTTCCTGACATTTTAATGATCGCCATTCTAACTGGTGTGAGATATTATCTCATTGTGGTTTTTATTTGCATTTCTCTAATGAGTGATCATGAGCTTTTCTTCATATGTTTGTTGGCCACATAAATGTCTTCTTTTGAGAGGTGTCTGTTTATATCCTTTGCCCACTTTTTGATGATTTGTTGTTGTTGTTGTAAATTTGTTTAAGTTCCTTGTAGAATCTGGGTATTAGCCTTTTGTCACATGAATAGATTGCAAAACTTCTCTCCTATTCTGTAGGTTGTCTGTTCACTCTGATGATAGTTTCTTTTGCTGTACAGAAGCTCTTTAGTTTAATTAGGTCCCATTTGTCAATTTTGGCTTTTGTTGCCATTGGTTTTGGTGTTTTAGTCATGAGGTCTTTGCCCATGCCTACGTCCTGAAAAGTATTGCCTAGGTTTTCTTCTAGAGTTTTTACGGTTTTAGGTCTTACATTTAAATTTTTAATCCATCTTGAGTTAATTTTTGTATAAGGTGTAAGGAAGGGGTCAAGTTTCAGTTTTCTGCATATGGCTAGCCCGTTTTTCCAGCACCATTAATTGAATAGGGAATCATTTCCCCAGTGCTTGTTTTTGTCATGTTTGTCAAAGATTAGATGGTTGTAGATGTGTGGTGTTATTTCTGAGGCCTCTGTTCTTTTCCATTGGTCTATGTGTCTGTTTTGGTACCAGTACCAAGCTGTTTTGGTTACTGTAGCCTTGTAGTATAGTTTGAAGCCAGGTAGTGTGATGCCTCCAGCTTTGTTCTTTTTTCTTAGGATTGTCTTGGCTATATGAGACCTTTTTGGTTCCATACGAAATTTAAAGTAGTTTTTTTTCTAATTCTGTGAGAAAAGTCAATGATAGCTTGATGGGAATAGCATTGATTCTATAAATTACTTTGGGCAATATGGCCATTTTCATGATATTGTTTCCTTCCATCCATGATCATGGAATGTTTTTCCATTTTTTGTGCCCTCTCTTATTTCCATGAGCAGTGCTTTGTAGTTGTCTTTGAAGAGGCCCTTCACATCCCATGTAAGTTGTATTCCTAGGTATTTTATTCTCTTCATAGCAATTGTGAATAGGAGTTCACTCATGATTTGGCTCTCTATTATTCATGTATAGGAATGCTTTTGATTTTTGCACATTGATTTTGTATCCTGAGACTTTGCTGAAGTTGCTTATCAGCTTTAAGAGTTTTTGTGCTGAGATGATGGGGTTT
This sequence comes from Homo sapiens, assembly GCF_000001405.40. NCBI lineage: Eukaryota > Metazoa > Chordata > Mammalia > Primates > Hominidae > Homo > Homo sapiens. Next base: position 110,132,831 of record NC_000005.10, read on the forward strand.
TCTATATATACAATCACATTGATATTCATCAGAAATATTGGCCTGACATATTTTGTTGTTATTGTTGTGTTTCTGCCAGGTTTTGGTATCAGGATGATGCTGGCCTCATAAAAAGAGTTAGGGAGGAGTCTCTCCTTTTCTATTGCTTGGAATAATTTTAGAAGGAATGGTACCAACTCCTCTGGTAGAATTTGGCTGTGAATCCATCTGGTCCTGCACTGTTTTTGGTTGGTAGGCTATTAATTACTGCCTCAATTTCAGAACTTGTTATTGGTCTATTCCGGGATTCAACTTCTTCCTGGTTTAGTCTTGGGAGGGTGTATGTGCCCAGAAATTTATTCATTTCTTCTAGATTTTCTAGTTTATTTTTGTAGAGATGTTTATAGTATCTCTGATGGTAGTTTGTATATCTGTGGGATCAGTGGTGATATACCCTTTGTCATTTTTATTGTGTCTAGATTCATCTCTTTTTTCTTTTATTAGCCGGGCTAGGGATCTATTTTGTTAATCTTTTCAAAAAGCCATCTCCTGGATTCATTGATTTTTTGAAGGGTTTTTCATGGCTCTATCTCCTTCAGTTCTGCTCTGATCTTAGTTATTTCTTGTCTTCTGCTAGCTTTTGAATTTATTTACTCTTGCTTCTCTAGTTCTTTCAATTGTGATGTTAGGGTGTTGATTTTAGATCTTTCCTGTTTTCTCCTGTGGGTATTTAGTACTATAAATTTCCCTCTAAACACTGCTTTAGGTGTGTCCCAGTGATTTTGGTACATTGTGTCTTTGTTCTCATTGGTTTCAAAGAACTTATTTATTTCTGCCTTAATGTCATTGTTTCCCCAGTAGTCATTCAGGAGCAGGTTTGTTCAGTTTTCATGCAGTTGTGCCATTTTGAGTGAGTTTCTTAATCCTGAGTTCTAATTTGATTGCACTGTGCTCTGAGAGACTGTTTGTTATGACTTCCATTCTTTTGCATTTGCTGAGGAGTGTTTTACTTCCAATTATGTGGTCAATTTTCGAATAAGTGTAATGTACTGCTGAGAAGAATGTATGTTCTATTGATTTGGGTTGGAGAGTTCTGTAGATGTCTATTAGGTCCACTTGGTCCAGAGCTGATAAAAGTCTCTTTTGTCAGAGACTAGGATTGCAACCCCTGTGTTTTTCTGCTTTTCATTTGCCTTTTGCTTGGTAAATCTTCCTCCATCCTTTTATTTTGAGCCTGTGTGTCTTTACACGTGAGATGGGTCTCCCGAATGCAGCACATTGATGGGTTTTGACTCTTTATCCAATATGCCAGTCTTTGCCTTTTAATTGGGGCATTTAGCCCATTTATATTTAAGGTTAATATTGTTACGTGTGAATTTGATTCTGTCTTTATGACGCTAGCTGGTTATTTTGCCCATTAGTTGATGCAGTTTCTTCATAGTGTCGATGGTCTTTACATTTTGGTTTGTTTTTTCAGTGGTTTGTACCTTTTGTTTTCTCCATATTTAGTACTCCCTTCAGAAGCTCTTGTAAGCCAGGCCTGGTGGTGAAAAAATCCCTCAGCATTTGCTTTTCTGTAAAGGATTTTATTTCTCCTTCACTTATGAAGCCTAGTTTGGGTGGATATGAAATTCTGGGTTGAAAATTCCTTTTTGTAAGAATTTTGAATATTGACCCCCACTCTCTTCTGGCTTGTAGAATTTCTGCAGAGAGATCCACTGTTAGTCTGATGGACTTCCCTTTATGGGTAACCTATTATTTTTCTCTGGCTTCCCTTAGCATTTTTTGTTGCTCTTCTCAAGGAGTATCTTTGTGGTGTTCTGTGTATTTTCTGAATTTGAATGTTGGCCTGTCTTCCAATCAAACATAGGTGGTTTTTTCACATAGTCCCATATTTCTTGAAGGCTTTGTTCATTCCTTTTCATTCTTCTTTCTCTAATCTTGTCTTCACGCTTTATTTCATTTAGTTGATCTTCAATCTCTGATATCCTTTCTTCCTCTTGCTCAATTCAGCCATTGATACTTGTGTATGCTTCATGAGGTTCTCGTGCTGTGTTTTTCAACTCCATCAGGTCATTTATGTACTTCTCTAAACTAATTATCCTAGTTAGCCATTCGTCTAACCTTTTATCAAGGTCCTTAGCTTCCTTGCGTTGAGTTAATATATGCTTCTTTAGCTCTGAGGAGTTTGTTATTACCCACCTTCTGAAGCCCACTTCTGTCAGTCCATCAAACTCATTCTCCATCCAGTTTTTTCCCTTGCTGGTGAGGAATTGTGATCCTTTGGAGGAGAAGAGACCTTTGCTCTTGGTGACCTTTGGATGGAGTTTTTGCGTGATCGTACTTTTTGTTGATGTTGATGGTATTACTTTCTGTTTGTTAGTTTTTCTACTTACAGGCCCCTGTTCTGCAGGTCTGCTGGAGTTTGCTGGAGCTCCGCTCCAGACGCTGTTTGCCTGGATATCACCAGCAGAAGCTGCAGAACAGCAAAGATTGTTGCCTGCTCCTTCCTCTGGAAGTTTTGACCCAGAGGGACATCCACCAGATGCCAGCCAGACCTCTCTTGTATTAGTTGTCTGTCGAGCCCTTCTGGGAGGTGTCTCCCGATCAGGAGGCCTGGGGTTCATGGACCCATTTGAAAAGGCAGCCTGTCTCTTAGTAGAGCTCGATTGCTATACTGGGAGATCTGCTGCTCTCTTCCGAGCTGGAAAGCAGGAACATTTAATTCTGCTGAAGCTGAGCCCACAGCTGGCCCTTCCCCCAGCTACACTGTCCCAGGGAGATGGGAATTTTATCTATAAGCCCCTGACTGGGGCTGCTGCCTTTCTTTCAGAGGTGCCCTCCCAAGAGAGGAGGAATCTAGAGAGGCAGTCTGGCTACAGTGAGTTTGCTGTGCTGCAGTGGGCTCCGCACAGTCAGATCGTCCCAGTGGCTTTGTTTACACTGTGAGGGGAAAACTGCCTACTCAAGCCTCAGTAATGGCAGATGCCTCTCCTCCCACCAAGCTTGAGCATCCCAGGCCAACTTCAGACTGCTGTGCTGGGAGCGAGAATTTCAAGCCAGTGGATCTTAGCTTGCTGGGCTCCATGGGATCCACTGAACAAGACCACTTGAATCCCTGGATTTAGCCTCCTTTCTAGGGGTGTGAACAGTTCTGTCTTGCTGGTGTTCCAGGCACCACTGGGGTATAAAAATAAACTCCTGCAGCTAGCTCGGTGTCTGCCCAAATGGCTGCCCAGTTTTGTGCTTGAAACCCAGGGCCCTTGTGGTTTAGTCATCCAAAAGAATCGCCTGGTCTGTGGGTTGCAAAGATCATGGGAAAAGTGTAGTACCTGGGCCAGATAGCATGGTCCCTCATGGCATGGTCCCTCATGGCTTCCCTTGGTTGTGGGGAGGGAGTTCCCCAACCCTTTGCACTTCCCAGGTGAGCCAGTGCTCCAGCCTGCTTCTGCTCACCCTCCATGAACTGCACCCACTGTCTAACCAGTCCCTGTGAGATGAAGCGTGTACCTCAGTTGACAGTGCTGAAATCACCCACCTTCTGCATTGGTCTTACTGGGAGCTGAAGACCGGAGATGTTCCTATTCAGCCATCTTGCCCAGAAATCAATTACCGTTCTTTTGCATTTGCTGAGGAGTGTTTTACTTCCAATTATGTGATCAATTTTAGAGTAAGTGCCATGTGGCACTGAGAAAAATGTATAGTCTGTTGTTTTGGGGTCGAGAGTTCTGTAGATATCTATCAGGTCAACTTGATCCAGAGCTGAGTTCAAGTCCAGAATATCCTTGTTAATTTTCTGTGTGGTAGATCTAATATTGTCAGTGGGGGTGTTAAAGTCTCCCACTATTACTGATTTGGAGTCTAAATCTCTTGGTAGGTCTCTAATAACTTGTTTTATGAATCTAGGTGCTCCTGTATTGGGTGCGTATATATTTAGGATAGTTAGCTCTTCTTGCTGAATTGATCCCTTTACCATTATGTAATGCCCTTCTTTTTTTGATCTTTTTTAATTTAAAGTCTGTTTTGTCAGAAACTAGGATTGCAACCCTTGCTTTTTTCTTCTTTCCATTTGCTTGGTAAATTTCCCTTCATCCCTTTATTTTGAGCCTGTGTGTGTGTGTTTGCACTTGAGACGGGTCTTTCAAATACAGCCCACTGATGGGTCTTGACTTTTTATCCAATTTGTCAGTCTGTTTTTTTTTTTCCCACTGGGGCATTTATCCCATTTAAATTCAAGGTTAATGTTGTTATGTGTGAATTTGATCCTGTCATTATGATTCTAGCTGGTTGTTTTGCTCACTAGTTGATGCAGTTTCTTTATAATGTCATGGGTCTTTGTACTTCAGTGTGTTTTTGCAGTGGCTGATACCAGTTTTACCTTTCCATATTTAGTGCTTCCCTCAGGACCTCTTGCAAGGCAAGCCTGGTGGTGATGAATTCCCTCAGCATTTGCTTGTCTGAAAAGGATGTTATTTCTCCTTCACTTATGAAGCTTAGTTTGGCTGGATATAAAATTCTGTGTTGAAAATCCTTTTTCTTAAGAATCTTGAATATTGGCCCCCACTCTCTTCTGGCTTACAGGGTTTCTGCTGAGAGGTCCCTTGTTATTCTGATGGGCTTGCTTTTGTAGGTGACCTGGCCTTTCTCTCTGGATTTCCTTAACATTTTTTCCTTCATTTTGACCTTGGAGAATCATGTCCTTGGTGAGCATGTGTCTTGGGGTTGGTGAGTATGTGTCTTGGGGTTGATCTTCTTGTGGAGTGTCTTACTGGGATTCTCTGTATTTCCTGAATTTGAATGTTAGCCTGTCTTGCTAGGTTGGGGAAGTTCTCCTGGATGATACCCTGAAGTGTGTTTTCCAACTTGATTCCATTCTCCGTGTCCCTTTTAGGTACTCCAGTCAGTCATAGGTTCAGTCTTTTGCATAGTTCCATAGTTCTTGGGGGTTTTGTTCACTCCTTTTCATTCTTTTTTCTCTAATCCTCTCTGCCTTTCTTATTTCAGCAAGGTAGTCTTCAAGCTCTAATATTCTTTCTTCTGCTTGATCGATTCAGCTATTGATACTTGTGTTTGCATCACGAAGTTCTTGTGCTGTGTTTTTCAGCTCCATCAGTTCATTTATGTTCCTCTGTAAACTGGTTATTCTAGTTAGCAGCTCCTGTAACCTTTTATCATGGTTCTTAGCTTCTCTTTGCATTGGGTTAGAACATGCTCCTTCACCTCAGTGAAGTTGGTTATAACCCATCTTCTGAAGCCTACTTCTGTCAGTTTATCTATCTCATCCTCTGTCCATTTCTGTGCCCTTGCTGGAGAGGTGTTGTGATCATTTGGAGGTGAAGAGGCACTCTGACCTTTTGAGTTTTCAGTTGTTTTTTTTTTTTCATTGATTCTTTCTTATCTTCATGAGTTGGTGTAGTTTTGATCTTTTAGGTTGCTGACCTTTGGGTGAGGATTTTGTGGGGACTGTTTTGTTGATGCTGTTGTTGTTGCTGTTTGTTTTTCTTTAAATAGTCAAGTCTCTCTTCTGTTGGGCTGCTGCAGTTTTCTGGGGTTTTAATTAAGACTCTATTCATCTGGGTCCCTCCCTCACCTGGAGATGTCACCCAAGGGGGCTGGAGAACAGCAAAGATGGGTGCCTGCTTTTTCCTCTGGGATCTCTGACTCAAGGGGCACTAACCTGATGCCAGTAGGAATGCTCCTGTATAAGGTGACTGGTGACCCCTGTTTGGGGGTCTCACCCTGTTGTGGGGCACAGGATTCAGGATCTGTTTAATGAAGCACTTTGGCTGTTCCTTGGTGGAGGGGGTGTTCTGCACTGGGGGGAAACCCACTCATCTGAGCTGCCTGGATTCCTCAGAACTATCAAGGGTAAAGACTAACTCTGCTGGTCCATGGAGGCCATGGAAACCTCTCCCCCTGTGGCTCAGGCCCAGGGAGATCAGAGTTTTGTCTCTAAACCTCTGGCTGGAGTTGCTGGAGTTCAGACAGAGAGGCCCTGCCCAGTGAAGAGAAATGGCTCAGGGTCTGGCCTAAAGAGGCAGTTTGGCCTCGATCTGCCGCAGCCAGTGTGCTACACCTCTTGGGACCAAGCCATCCAGTCTCCCCAGCACCAGCAGGGGAAGAATTGTTGGCTTGAAGCTACGGTAATGCTGCTGCCCGCTCCCCAGTGCCCCTTTAGCCCCCCGCAGTTCACTGTCTTAGGCAGCTAGAAGCACAGTGATGGCTGCTGTCCCTCTCCTGGGGAGCTCAGTTTTTTTAGGCATCAGGCAGCTGCAGTGATGATGGCCACCCTCTCTCAGGGAGCTCATTTGTCTTAGGCAAGTGGCAGCTGCAGTGATGGCTGCCATCCTTTCCCCAGGAGTTCAGTGTCTTAGGCCCCTGGGAGCCACAGTGATGGCTGCTGTTCTTCCCCTAGGGAGCTGAGATGGCTTAGACAGCAGGCAGCCCGAGTGGTGGTGGCCGCTCCTCCCTGGGGAACTCGGTAGTATTAGGCTGATTCCAGCGGAATATGTGCTGAGAATCTGTGTGGCTCCTATGGTTGGGACCCAAGGCCCTGGTGGCATGGGTTCATGAGTGGGATCTTCTGATCTGTGGGTTGCACAGATCCATGGAAAAAGTGTAGTTTCCCAGGACAGGTAACATGCTCACTCACCACCTTTGTTGGCTGGAGGTGGGGGATCTCCTTGCCCCATGTGGCTCTCAGGTGGGCCAACGCACCATGCTGCTTTTCCTTGCTCTCAGTGGGTTATGCCAATCACCTAGTCAGTCCTGATGATAGAACCTGGATACCTTGGATGCCATTACAGTATTGGCACAGTTTGGTTTCTTCTCAGTGGGAGCCTCTGACTGCTGCTGCTTCTAGTTGGCCATCTTGGCCCCACCCCCTCTATTAAATTTTATTAGGAAAAATAAATGATAGTAAGCTAGTGAATCCAAAAGAACATTTATAAGTTCCAGGACAGTGTGTAAAAGCACAGCAGTCACAGAAGGTGAGACTGCAGACCGCAGAATGTGTGCTTTTGTGACCACAAGTGTGGGCAACCAAGAACACAGATGGAGTTCGGTCAATTGTATTAGAGCATTAGAAATTACTAGGACTGAACTGTACAGACCTTCCCTCCTAGTTGCCTCATTACAGGTCCCTTCCCTATGTTAAGGATACTAGGATGAAAACAAGACTCATTCAAACAAAGTAAACATTAATCCAGAGCAGATCAACTTGTCCCGCAAGGAGTTTCATCTTGGAGAAATTGGTTTGGGGAGAAGGTTAGAAAAGGTTGTGTAGTTTAAAAGAATATGACAAAATATAGAAATGAATGACGGTTTCCAGCTTCATCCATGTCCCTGCATAGGACATGAACTCATCCTTTTTTTATGGCTGCTTAGTATTCCATGGTGTATATATGCCACATTTTCTTAATCCAGTCTATCATTGATGGACATTTGGGTTGGTTCTAAGTCTTTGTTATTGTGAATAGTGAGAACACATGGACACAGGGTGGGGATCATCACACATGGGAGCCAGTCGGGGGGTGGGGGCTGGGGGAGGGATAGAATTAGGAGAAATACCTAATGTAAATTACGAGTTGATGGGTGCAGCAAACCAACATGGCACATGTATATCTGTGTAACAAACCTCCACGTTGTGCACATGTACCCTAGAACTTAAAGTTTAAAAAAAAAAAGAAATGAAATTTAGTTTGCATTTTAAATAAGACCGTTCTTAGCTCACATGCTGGGAAACTTCTTATATGCCTTCATGTAAATCCCCTTGTATCTCCCACTGTCTTAATTGTCTCTTGGTTAAAGGAATCTAGCCTAACACAAGCACTATGTTTCTGGAACCCTGGTGCTCCTTGGAGAGTCCCTGTTAGTTTGAGTTTTCCATCCTGTGCTACGATAAAGGTGTTTGGGCTTTACCAAATGTGTGGAACTCGAGCCAACATTGAAAATTTTTAATCTTGTTGAATGCAAGTGTATTTCAAAAGCCATTCTCTTTGAGGTAAGGCAATATGTATAGATAGATTCCCTCCTCTCCTCCAGATGTGGTAAAAGCTCAGTGACAATATTATCCTCTTGATGAAATATTTTTCTCATTTGAGTTTATATTCACAAGTGATTAACATCCTTCTCCATCTACCCATCTTTATTCAGATAACCTTGATTGTCTGTATGGCTGGACTGGAATACTAAGTACTGTTTTGTGTGCGTAATCTTTTCTGGAATAACTGCTAAAGAGCATGTAAATTCATTTATTTTATAAATTCTTTGGGGTGACAGGCCAAAGATATGGAAATACTGATTATATTATTAACTTTTTGGATCATTTACATTTGAAGAACATGAGAAACTTAATATTGAACTAATTCAAGTTCTAAGGCTCTGAGAAAAACCATACTTAAGTAGGAAAGAGGCCAAGTCAAATTACATCCAAGCATTGGGAACTTATCTGGTTAAGACTGAGCAGAATGAAAAATTGGGAGGAAGTTCCTCGAACTTTGTGCTTTTAACTCTCAAGAGCAAGAAAATTAAATTTTGAAGTACAATTACTTTGGAATTGAATGTTTTTGGACTTCAACTTGCAAGGAAATTTAATCTCTGATCTCTTCTCTCTGGGAATTTGATAATAGAAAGGGGTTTATATTCAATTCTGGTGCATCTCTACGTTGGCATTTCATTATTGGAGTATCTTCATGTTGTCATTTAATCTGATTGCAGGATCAATGATGTGCTATTTTGGGTAATGTTGCTGGATGTAACTTGGGAACCAATATAAAAAAGAGGATGAGTTTGGTTTTCAGCTTTGGGTACAGAGTGAGATTGATTTAATTAATACTTATTTCTGAGAAAGTTCAGAATATGCTGGAGTAAAATCTAAAGTGTCTGCAAGTTGTCCCAGGATAATATATAATACATAAAAGAGCAGTGGCCAATCTTAGGAGAGTGGTTTTGTGAAGGTGGGAATAAGACCCTTCTCTGATAGATTTCTCATTTCCCCTTAAAGGGAAATTCTCAGCCCTAGTGACCACAGGCTTAATGATTAAGTTTAATAGTTAAGAGAACAAAAAACTGGTGAATGTTAGTAGTTAATACTCCTTCTCAATTTCTATTCTTTTTTTCCATGAGGAAGGAGGCCAAATAGTGTGACTCCTAGTCCTCCTCCTTTACACATTCTACTTCAGGACAGGGAAGAAGAGTTATTTATATAGTTTAGATACTAGTCCTTTCTCTTATATGTGATTTGCAAATGTTTTTCTCTCAATTTTTAGTTTGTCTTTTTATTTTCTTAACAGTAACTTTTGCAGAGCAAAATTTCTAATTTTGATAAAATCTAGTTTTTAATTGTTTTCCTTTATGGGTTATGCTCCTGTTGTAATGTCTATGGGCTCTTCACAGAACCCTAAGTCATGAGTATGTTTCCTATGTTTTCTTCTAAAACTTCTATTATTTGATGTTTCATATTTATATCTATAATTCATTTTGAGTTCGTTTTTATATAAGATGAGAAATTTAAGTCAAAGTTCATTTTTTATTGCACACTGATATCCAATTTCTCCATACCAATTTTTAAAAAGACTATTCTCTAGCTATTGATTTTTTTTACATCTTTGTAAAAAAATCAATGGCCATTTTTGTGTGAATGTATTTCTAGACTTTCTTTTGTGTTCCATTGCTTCATATGCTATCCTTCACTAATATCACATTGTCATAATAATGATATTTTTGGAAAATGTTAAATTCCCTTCCTGCAATACTTTTCCTTTTTCAAAATTGTTTTAGCTATTTTATTTCCTTTGCCCTTCCACATACATTTTAGAATCAGCTTGTTTATATCTATAAAATGATGTTTTAAAATTTTGATTGGTATTCCATTAAGTCTATGTTGAATTTTCTAATCCAAGATTACAGTATTTCTCTTCATTTATTTAGATTGACTTTTATTTGCATTTTTAAAATATTTCAATTTTGAATTCCTGTACATATTTTGTTAGATTTATAATGTTTAATTTTTGTTGCAACTATGAATTTTTTTGTTTTTAATTTAATTTTTCAAATTGTAAATTGCTAATATATATAGATTTTGTGTGCTGACTGTTTATCTTGTGAAATCATTAAACTCAGTAGTTTTAAAGGATTTTTTTGGTAGATTCCTTGGGATTTACTATGAAGCTAACCTTGCAGTTCTTAAATAGAGATATTCCTCATGTCTGTCTTTTCTATAGATATTCCTCTTTTTCCTTTTTCTCTAAGCAGAATTTCTGACAGACTCATGGAATTTAGGTTATTAAATTGAACTTTAAAACCTTCTAAGAGGGTGAGGCCTTTATCATCTCTGAGACTTTAAAAGTTTATACTTTTAGGGTAAGAGTGAACTGGAAACAGTTCTCTCCTTTCAGAGGTAAAGCACTACTTGAAATCCTCATATTCCCTGAAAGAATGAAGGTTATTAATTTGCTAGTGCCCTTAACCCCTTGCCAGGGAAAAAAATAAATTCTTCATGGAAGAAAACAAAATAACCATATACTTCAAGCTATCCCTAGCATATTTTTTTTCTTTATATATATATATATATGTATTATACTTTAAGTTCTAGGGTACATGTGCACAACATGCAGGTTAGTTACATATGTATACATGTGCCATGTTGGTGTGCTGCACCCATTAACTCGTCGTTTACATTAGGTATATCTCCTAATGGTATCCCTCCCCCCTACCCCCACCCCACAACAGGTCCCGATGTGTGATGTTCCCCTTCCTGTGTCCAAGTGTTCTCATTGTTCAGTTCCCACCTATGAGTGAGAACGTGAGGTGTTTGGTTTTTTGTCCTTGCGATAGTTTGCTGAGAATGATGGTTTCCAGCTTCATTCATGTCCCTACAAAGGACATGAACTCATCCTTTTTTTATGGCTGCATAGTATTCCATGGTGTATATGTGCCACATTTTCTTAATCTAGTCTATCATTGATGGACATTTGGGTCGGTTCCAAGTCTTTGCTGTTGTGAATAGTGCTGCAATAAACATACATGTGCATGTGTCTTTGTAGCAGCATGATTTATAATACTTTGGGTATATGCCCAGGAATGGGATGGCTGGGTCAAACGGTATTTCTGGTTCTAGATCCTTGAGGAATCACCACACTGTCTTCCACGGTGGACGAACTAGTTTACAGTCCCACCAACAGTGTAAAAGTCTTCCTATTTCTCCACACCCTCTCCAGCACCTGTTGTTTCCCAACTTTTTAATGATCACCATTCTAACTGGTGTGAGATGGTATCTCATTGTGGTTTTGATATGCATTTCTCTCATGGCCAGTGATGATGAACATTTTTTCATGTGTCTGTTGGCTGCATAAATGTCTTCTTTTGAGAAGTGTTCACATCCTTGGCTCACCTGTTGATGCGATTGTTTGTTTTTTTCTTGTAAGTTTGTTTGGGTTCTTTGTAGATTCTGGATATTAGGCCTTTGTCAGATTAAAATGTCTTGCATTCAACAGAAAATGTTCAAATATGCTAGAGAAAAAGAAGACATGGTCAAAACCCAAGAAGAATGACATACAATAGTCCCAGAATCATAGCTGATACAAGTCAAGAAGCAATAAAATATAGACTTTAAAATAACTCTGCTTAAATGTTCAAGGAAATAATTTAAAAATGAGAGTTTTGAAAGAGAATGAAAACAATACAAGTAGTGGATTAATGGATGTATTAAAATATACTATACAAAGCTGAATGAAGAATAAGAAATTGCAGGTCATTTCAAAAGGAAATCTCCAGATCAAAGCATGCAGCAACAAAAGAAGGAAAACACAGAGAATAGTGAATAAAGTGATGTATAAAATAGTTGTAATATAAGTTTACACTTTTTGGGGTTCCAGAAGGAGAAGACAGTGATTAGGGGCAGGAGCAATAATAATGGGATTTTCCATAAGGAATTGAAAGACTGTACGTTACAGATTCAAGACGTATCACAGTAAAACTGCTAAAACTAAAGAAAAAGCAGCCAGAATAAAGACAGTTTATCTAAAAAGAAGCATCAATCAAAATGTCAGCAGACTTCAACAGAAAAAGGGAAACCAGAAGAAGAAAAATATCTTTAAGGGGTTAAAATAATTCAAAATCTAGAATTCAAAATCCAGCACAACTTCAAAAAAATGCCAAAGAATTAAAGACATTTTTAGCCAAACAACAGCACAGAGTATAAAGCGCAGAGTATTTATTAACACAGAATAAGCAATTAAAAGGAAGGTTTTGGTTTAGGATATGTGGAACTTAGCATTTGTTAACTTCCAGTCCCTCTTTAATAGAAAAAAATTCAAGTTTTGACTGCAAAGTTAAATTTAAAAAAAGTGAATATTTGTTCGAATGAAAAATTAACAAAATTGCTTTCAAAAAGCTAAAAATACCACAAATATCTCCAAATTGAGACAAATTATATATTTAATTAAATAACTACTAAACACATCTATAGTTATTTTAAGTTCTTCTGTTATGCTGTGTTTAGCCAATTTTGCCCGCTGCTTTATTTAGACTTTTATTATCAGATAATATCAGGAAAATAGGCATCAAATACTCCCAAATATGATCCTTCCTATTGGGATGCATAAAGCATCACCCACATGTAAATTTGATATTTGTGGCACTACTGAAAGTTTGTAGTTAACAAACACAGGAATTCTGATATATTTGATTTCACACAATTCTCATAAAAAAGAAAAATGTATGTATTGTAGATTTATAATGCTTTTCAGTATATTCTTGATAAGGGAAAACTTCTACTTTTATTAAGCATAATTAATAACCTGATTTATGATCTTAAATGTCTGATGAATCAAAGAATTTCCCACATACTAGCTAATGCCTTTGCACATTTCAGTTTCCTTTTCTTTCTTTCTTCTTCCTTTCCTTTCCTTTCCTTCCTTCCTTCCTTCCTTCCTTCTTTCTTTCTTTCTTTCTTTCTTTCTTTCTTTCTTTTTTTCTTCTTTCTTTCTTTCCTCCTTTCCTCCTCCTCCTCCTTCTTCTTTTTCCTCCTCCTCCTTCTTCTTCTTCCTCTTCCTCTTCTTCCACAACCACATATTCCCAATGCTGAACACCATAGGATACATGTATCTGTTTTTTTCACACAGGCAAAAGCACAGCATATTTATTAACTACCTCAGCCTTCCATCTTCGTGTCCTGATGTCAGGTGAGTCAGCACAACAAAGGGTAGGAGTATCCAAAAAATAGCTAGAAACTATTTAGCTACACACAGAGGTGACAAGAAATTTAAAAATGTATTCTAAACCCAAGCCAAATGTGTGTGCAACTCCACTTCCCCTAGCTTATGTCCAATCAAGTATTATTTGTTATGAAGGGAAGTCTGATGAACAAGAAACCCTAGTGCAAAGGAAAGTGGTCTTAAACTCATTTCAGCTGAAATATCTTATTTTTCAAATTTTACAAAAGTATTTAATCATGTAAGCACACTGGAAAAGGGGTCCCTGTCAGAAAAATTTTATGGAACTTAAGTTTTAATATATTCACAGCAAATCAGCCTCTGATACAGCACGTTCTTCAGGCATTAAAAAATCCTTGATTTCAGGTGAAAATTCATAGACACGAGGAAGAATGAAGAGGTAAAAACAAGCATATATGAGAGTGATCCAGTGAATTTTTCTGTGTAAATCAATAAAATTAAGCTCTCATTATGAGTAGGTATGGAATTGAAGTACATAATAAGAATAGCTTGTAAGTCAAGAGGGGAAGATATGAGTTAGTGTTCTAATGTTCCTGAGTTGTCTGAGAAATGGTAAGAGTCGCAGGAAACCTTAGACTTAGTAAGTACAAAGGGCTTGTTTTCATCTAGTGAAATCACTAAAAGAATAGAAAAAGAGTGTACACAGCCATAAAGTGGAAGGAAATAATGTCTTTCTCAGCAACTTGGATAGAGCTGGAGGACAATATTCTAAGTGAAGTAACACAGGAATGGAAAACCAAAAACCATGTTCTCACTTACAAGTGGGAGCTAAGCTATGAGTATGCAAAGGCATGCAGGGTAATACAATATAATGGGCTTTAGCGACTCAGAGAGTAATAGGGGAGGAGGGCTAGGGATAAAAAACACCCATTAGGCACAGTGTATACTACTTGGGTGATGGTGCACTAAAATCTCAGAATTCACTGCCATATAATTCATTCATCTAACAAAAAACCACTTGTACTCCAAAATCTGTTGAAATAAACAAAATAGAATGGGAGTGAAACAGAAAAGAAAGGGGACACACAAAAAGAAGGAGATCCCAGATGCCTACCCAAAATAAACTCTTAATGGACTGAAAGTTAATAAAAAAAAGAGAGTGTAGAATTACTGAGTTAAAGGTAATGGAAAATGGCATACTAACAGATAATTAGTCCAAAATTAGGCAAAAAGGGAGAGAAAAAGGAATAAAGTATAAGCAAGACAAATGAAAAGTAATACGATGTAGATGTAATCACAAATACATGTTATGATGTTAAATTTAAATGAACTGTAGGAGACCACTTAAAAACAAATATTATGAGACATGACTAAAACACAACAACTATATGCTTCTTACAAGTGATGACCCAAGATGTAAGATTTCAGAAGTCTGAAGGTAAAAAGGGTAGGGAGATATAACAATGCAAATGTTAACAAGAAAGCTGATCTTGCTAGATTAATATCAGATGCAGACAAGAAACATTATTCAAAGCAAGCTGGGATACTTTGTAGTGATAATAATCATTTCATCAGAGAGAGATAATAATTCCAAATGTGTATGCTGCACAAAGCAAACATTGACAGAACTACAACGCAAACTTGACAAAATTATTATGTTCATAGGCAAAGACTTCAACATACTTTTTTTCTACTATATAATTAAGAAACAATACCATTCTCAAAAACATAGAAACAAATTATATGTTTCCAAGACTGAAAAAAAAAATGGGGAGAAATACTTCCCAACTCAGTTTATAAAGCCAGGAGTGTTGATATCAATACCTGATAGGGATGTTAAAAGGAAAGATTACAGATCAATCTAACTCATAAACATAGGTTCAAATCTTTTAAACAAAATGCTATCAAATAAAATCTAGAAATACATAAAAATGATAACATGTCATGACTAAGTTGCTTTTGTTTTAGGAATGTGAGTTTGGTATAATATATGAAAGTCAATCAGTGTAATTCACCATAGTAACAGAATAAAGACTCATATATAATCTAAACAAATGCAGAAAAGACTTTTGTAAAAAATATATTGTGTATTTATTATAAACATATATAGAAAACAATAACTAGCGAACGCTCTTAACTGATAAAATGTAATTTTAAAAATGCAGCAACTTGCCTGTAATCCCAGAACTTTGAGAGCCTGAGGCAGAAGTATCAGTTGAGCCCAGAAGTTTGAGACCAGCCTAGGCAACCTAGTGAGATGCTGTCTACCCACACACACACAAACACACACTTAACTGGATGTGGTGGCATATGCCTGTAGTCCCAGCTACTTGGGAGGCTGAGGTAGGAGAATCACTTGACCCCAGGAAGTTGAGGCTGCTGTGAGCTGTAATTGCACCACTGCTCTCCAGCCTAGGTGACAGAGAGAGGCCTGTCTCAAAAAAAAAATTTAAAAAGTTATTTTTAAATTTAGCTACTGCTATTAAATAAAGCAGCTAATTTAATGGTATGGATTCCTCTGAGATCAGGGTCAAAACAAGGAGGCCCAGTAGAGCTCATTTTATTCAATATTATTTTGCACATTAAAGCCAGTAGATTAAGGCAGGAATATATATATAAAAGGTGAGGTTGGAAAAAATAAAAGTAAAACCCACTATTTACAGATGATGGTTGCATTTCCACCTAAAATTTAAAATCTACTTGTGATGTTCCACAAAATAGTTGTTGGGATTTTGATTATGATTGCACTGATTCTTTAAATTAGTTTGAAAAAAAAGCAGCTTTAATGTACTGAGTATTCTAATCCATCTATTTATATAGATAATTATTTAGATCATGTTGTATTAGCTCTGTAGAGTCTTGCTTTGCTTATTTTGAGGGCATGACTTTAGGTACATACAAATATCTTCCAGGGGGAATTGAATTTATTTTGAAATACTCCTCTGTATCCCTAATGACACTTTCTAGCAATAGTCTGTTTTACCTAATAATGATCTAGCTATATCAATTTTTCTTTTGGTTAGTATTAGTAGAGTCCTTTTTTCTTTTTAAATTTTCTGTATATTTATGTTTTAGATGTTTTTTGTAATAGCACAGGATTGTGTTTTTCTTTATCCAGTCTGATCATATTTTTCTTATAATTGAAGCATTTAGTTCATTTATATGTAATATAGTTGCTGGTATATTTGAGTTGAAAACTACCATTTTTTAAAGTGCATGTATTTGCCCTGCTTGTTTTGTATTCCCATTTCTCTGCTTTCTTGCCTTATTTTGTTTGCATTTTTATAACTCCATTATTTTCTTTTTATTAAAGTGGAAATATACACTATTTTTTTTATTGTTTACCATAGAGATTAGTGTTTAAAGTTAATGGTACTTTCACTCTTCTAAAATAATATAAGGGTCTTGAAACACTTAAAAATTTATTTAAAATTTAACATAGTTC
The DNA here is from genome assembly GCF_000001405.40 of Homo sapiens. Lineage (NCBI taxonomy): Eukaryota > Metazoa > Chordata > Mammalia > Primates > Hominidae > Homo > Homo sapiens. The sequence goes on from NC_000005.10 coordinate 110,149,430, forward strand.
ATTGAATCATGTATTTCATTTTCTCTATTTTAAGCTCAAAGCATTATTCTTGTTGTTTTATAAATTCAGTGTTCATTTAGATATACCTACATATTTCTGATTTTCCTTGTTTTTTCCCCTTTCTTATTCTCTGACCTTCCATCTGGAATCAACTTTATTTTACCTGAATAACACTATAGTTTTTGTGTCAGTGAAATGTTTTGCAAAAAATTATCTTAGGTTCTGCTTGCTTGAACAAGTATTTATTTTACCTTTTTCCTCAAACAATGTTTTTGCTAGGAATAGAGCTCTAGGTTGAGAGCTGTCTTCTTTCAGTAGGTTGAAGATTTTCCTCCACTGTCTTCTGGCTTCCAGTGTTTCTGTTGAGGAGTTAATTGTCAATTAAAAAAATTAAATTGACACATAATAATTGTACATATTTGTGAGATACACAGTGATCTTGTGATACATATAATGTAGAATTATCCATCATCTCAAACTTTTATCATTTCTTTGTGTTCAGAACCTTCAATATCCCCTGTTTAGCTCTTTGAAACTATATATTATTGTAAACCATAGTCATCCAACAGTGCAATAGAACTCTAGAACTTATTCCTCCTAACTAGCTGTAATTTTGTGTTCTTTAACAAATCTTTCCTTATCCCCCACTTCCCTCTACCCTTCCCATCCTGTCATACACTTTGTTCTACTTTTTACCTCTATAGAAATCAACTTTTTCTTTAGCTTCTACATGTGAGTGAAAACATGCAGTGGTAAACTTTTTGTTCCTGGCTTATTTCACGTAACAGAATGTCTTCCAGTTCCATCCATATTGCTATGAATTGCAGGATTTCATTATTTTAAATGACTGAATGGTATTCCATTGTGTGTATGTATCACATTCTCTTTATCCATTCATCGGTTGTTAGACATCTAGGATGATTCTATATCTTGGCTATTATGAATAGTGCTGCAATAAACATGCGGGTGCAGATATCTCTTTGATATACTCATTTCGTTTTCTTTGGACATATGCCTAGTAGTGGGATTGCTGGATCATGTGGTAGTTCTAGTTGTAGTTTTTTGAGGAACTTCATACTGTTATTCATAATGTCTGTACTAGTTTACATTCCCACCGACAGTGTATAAGAGTACCCTTTCCTCTACATTGTCACCAGCATTTATTATTTTTATTGTTACTTCTTTTCAGATCATTTTTCATTCTTTATTTGCTTTAAAAAAACTTTCTCATTCTTTTTCCTTTGCAGTAGTTTTGTTATGGTGTTTGTGTCTAAGTGTGGATTTCTTTGAATTTATTCTGCTCTATGTTCATAGGATCTCTTGAAACTCTTGCTTCATATCTTTTTAAGTTTTGAACAGTTTGTCATTATACCTTCAAATTACCCATTCTCTTTCTTCTCTCATCCTAATACTCCAATTAAATGCATGTTAGAATAGAGTCACTGTATGCTTTATATCTCTTACATTATCTTCTTTTTTTTCCCCATCCTATTGTTCCTCTTTGATTCACACTAGGTATTTCCTTCTGACTTATTTTTCCTATGAGGTCCTTCTACTTAGGTGTCATTGTTTCTTTTAAATGGCAATTCCTTGTGATTCCAGTCTCAAATGAGAGAGTCCTACCATTTGGGACTTGGTTCTTACTTCTAAGTAAGAACCCTTGATGGGTTCTTGATGGGCCATGGGCCGCGGACTCTGTTCTTACTTCTAATACTTAGAACCTATCAAAAGCAGTCTTAACAGCCACCTCCAGAATTAACAAATGCTCCCAGAGAAAGAGTCACATTAAATGCCAGGTTCACATCCCTGAGAACCTTCCCTCCCTCAGTTGTGGTCCAAGCAATTCTTCAGATTTTTGATGACTTCCAACAGATTGTTTTGTTGTCTAGATCTTCAAGTTATATTCAGTGGGAGGAAATGAGTGGAATGAACTGGTCTACCATTACCCAAAGCAAAATTTCCATGACGTTAATATTTTAGAATATCAAAGACAAACAGCAAGTCTTAAAATTTAGAAAAAAAAAGTAGATCCCCCCCACCAAAAAAAAACAGTGAAAACCAGATTGATGTATTTTTAGCAGCAACACAGGATGCAGAAAGTTAATGAGATAAAGTTCTTAAAGTATTAAAGATATTATTGAGAGGTGGAACAAGATGGCAGAATGGAAGCCTACACTGTTCGTCTCTCCTACTGAAACACCAAATTTTAACAACTATCTGCCCTCAAAAAAAGCACCATCATAAGAACCAAAAATGAGGTGAACAATCACACTACCTGGTTTTAACTTCATATCACTGAAAGAGGCTTTGATGAGGGCAGGAGAGATAATCTTGAAGTGCTGACATTTCCTCTCCCTCATTACTTGGCAGAGATCCTGTGGCCAGAGAGAGAATCTGTGTACTTTGGGGAGGCAGAGCACAGTGACTGGGGGACTTTACATTGAACATGGTGCTGCACTGTTACAGTGAAGAATAAAGCCGTGCTGGGCTCAGCAAGTGCCCATGCACAGAGGGAGCATTTGGACCAGCCCTAGCCAGAGGGGAATCACCCAACACAGTGGTTGGAACTGCAGTTTCTCAGCAAGCCTTGCCACTGCAGGCTGGCATGCTCTGGGGTCATAGGTAAACTTGAAAGGCAATCTAGGACAAAAGGACTGCAATTCCTAGGCACCCTAGTGCTAGGCTGGGCTTAGAGCCAGTTAACTAGGATGGTACATGACCTAGAGAGACACCAGCAGGGGTGGCTAAAGGAAGGTGCCATGCCTCCCCCACGCCAGGCAGTACAGCTCATGGGAACAAAAGTAATTCCTTCCTTCTGCATAAGGAGAGGAGAGTGACGAGTAAAGAGGATTTTGGATACCAGCTCAGCCATGGTAGGATAGGGAACTGGGCAGAGTTGTAAGATCCCTGTTTCAGGCTCTAGCTCTCAGGTAACATTTCTAGACATACCCTGGGCCAAAAGGAAACTCACTGCCTTGAAGGGAAGGACCAAGTCTTGGCAGGATTCACCACTGGCTGACTAAAGAGACTTTGGGGCCAGGCGCAGTGGCTCACACCTATAATCCCAGCACTTTGGGAGGCTGAGATGGGTGGATTACCTGAGGTCGGGAGTTTGAGACCAGCCTGACCAACATGGAGAAACCCCATCTCTATTAAAAATACAAAATTAGCCAGGCTTGGTGGTGCATGCCTGTAATCCCAGCTACCTGGGAGGCTCAGGCAGGAGAATCACTTGAACTCAGAAGGCAGAGGTTGCAGTAAGCCAAGATTGTGCCATTGCACTCCACCCTGGGCAACAAGAGCGAAACCCCTTCAAAAAAAAAAAAAAAAAAAAAAAAAGGTACCTTTGTGCCCAAATAACCCACCAGGAATACTCAGGGTGTATGCCATGGATCATGGATCTTGGGCTCTGAGGTGTGCTTGATTCAGGGGACACCCAGCACATTCCCAGCTGTGGTGGCTATGGTGAGACTCCTTCTGTTTAAGAAAAGCAGAGGGAAAAATAAAGGGGACTTTATCTTGCAGTATAGGTATCAGCTTGCTCACAGCAGGTGACAGCAACAAGTAGGCTCTTAGTGTCCCTGAGTCCAGGCCTAGGTTTCTAGGCAGAATTTCTGGGCCTTCCCTGGGCCACAGGGGAGCCCACTTCCCTGAATCCTGAGTCCCAGACTTGGCAGCATTCACCACAAGCTGATGGAGCAGCGCTTGGGCTTTAAGTGAACATCAGTGGTGGCCTGGCAGAACACCCCAGGGAGTGATGGTGGTAAAACAGTGAAAGGCCCTTGTGGCTGTGGAAAGTGGGAAGGAAGAATGAGAAGGACTTTGTATTGTGGTTTTAGCACCAGCTTACCAGCATTAGAATAGAACTTCAGGTGAACTGCTAAGGATTTTGATTCCAATTCCTAGCTCCGAGACAGCAGCTCTGGTGATTCCTGGGGCCTAGGGAACTTGCTTCCATGAACAGAATAGCCTTGGGCAAGGCCCAGTGATGTGGTGGCTTCAGGTCTGACCCAGTGCCGTGCTAGTGGTAGTGGCCACAGGGGTGCTTGAATTACCACACCCCTAGTTCCAGGCAGCTCAGCAGAGAGAGAGAAACTTGGTACGCTTGGGATAAAGTAAGGGAAAAGAACAAGAGACTGTCTGGTAATCCCAAAATTCTTTCAGATCTTATCTTAGACCACCAAGGCAGTACCTGTATGAGTCTGTAAAAGACAAGCATTACGGGGATGGGGCCCAAGTCCCTTCTAATACCTGGAAAGCCTTCCCAAGAAGGACATGCACAAATAAGCCCAGACTATGAAGACTATGATAAATACCTAACTCTTCAATGGCCAGACACCGAAGAACATCCACAAGCATCAACACCATCCAAGAAAACATGGCTTCACCAAATGAAGTAAATAAGACACTAGGAACCAATCTTGGAGAAATAGAGATATATGACCTTTCAGACAGAGAATTAAAAATAGTTTTTTTAAGGGAACTCAAAGAAATTAAAAATAACACAAGGAGAGAATTCAGGATTTTATCACATAAGTTTAATAGTGAGATTTTAAATAAACAGCATCAAGCAGAAATGTGAGAGTTGAAAAATGTAATTGACATGCTGAAGAATGCATTACAGTCTCTTAATAGCAGAATTGCTCAAGCAGAAGAAAGAATTTGTGAGCTTGAAGACAGGCTATTTGAAAATGCACAGTCAGAGGAGACCAAAGAGAAATGAATAAAAGAGAATGAAGTATACCTACAAGATCTAGAAAATAATCTCAAAAGGAGTTATTGTTCTTAAAGAGGAGTTATAGAAAGAGATAGGGGTAGAAAGTTTATTCAAAGGGATAGTATCAGAGAACTTCCCACACCTAGAGAACAATATCAAGATTCAAGTAAAAGAAAGTATCGACTACCAGGCAGATTTAACTCAAAGAAGACTACCTCAAGGCAGCTAATAATCAAACTTCCAAAAGTCCAAGATAAAGGAAATATCCTAAAAGCAACAAGAGAAAATAAACAAATTACATAAATGGAGGTCCAATACGACAGGCAGCAGACTTCTTAGTGGAAAGCTTACAGGCCAGAAGAAAGTGGCATGAGATAGTTAAAGTACTGAAAGAAAAAGAAATAATAAAAAAACTTTAACCCTAGAATAGTATATTTGGTAAAAAATATCCTTTAAGCATGGAGGAAAAATAAAGACCTTCTCAGACAAATAAAAGCTGAGGGATTTCATCAATACCAGACCTGTCTTATAAGAAATACTAAAGTGAGTTCTTTAATCTGAAGTAAAAGGATGGTAATGAGCAAGAAGTAATTAACTGAAGTTATAAAACTGGTAATAGTAAGCAAACAGAAAAACACAAAATAGTGTAACATTGTAATTGTGGTGTGTAAAATTATTTCAACTTAAGTAGACTAAATGATAAGCCATTCAAAAATAATAGCTACAACAACTTTTCAAGACATAGACTGTACAGTAAGACATAAAAAGAAACAACCAAAAGTCAAAAAGTGGAGGGATGAAGTTAAAGTGCTGATTTTCTATTAGTTTTCTTTGTGTGTGTGTTTCTATGTGTATCATTCTATGTGTATCATTCTCTGTGTTCTTTTAATGAAAACAGTGTTAAGGGGTCATTAGTTTAAAAAAATGGGTTATAAAATAATATTTGTAAGCCTCATGTTAACTTCAAATCAAAAATCATACGACAGATACACAAAATATAAAAAGCAAGAAATTAAATCATACCACCAGAGAAAATCACCTTCATTAAAAGGAAGACAGGAAGGAAGAAAAGAAGGGAGAGAAGACTGCAAGACAACCAGAAAGTAAATAACAAAATGGCAGGAGTATGTCCGTACTTATCAATAACAACTTTGAATGTAAATGGACTAACCTTTGCAATCCTAGACACAGAGTGGCTGAATGATGAAAAAACAAGACTCAGTGATCTGTTGTCTGTAAGAAACACGCTTCACCTATGAGGATACACATAGACTGAAAATAAAGGGATGAAAAAAGATATTCTATGCCAATGGAAACTACAAAAGAGCAGGAGTAGCTCTATTTATATGAGACAAAATAGATTCAGGACAAAAACTCTAAGAAGAGACAAAGAAGGTAATTATATAATGATAAAGTGGTCAATTCAGAAGACATAACAATTGTAAAGATATATGCACCCAATATTGAGGCACCCAGATATTAAAGCAAATATTGTTAGAGCTAAAGAGAGAGAAAGACCTCAATACAATAATATTGGAGACTTCAACATCCCACTTTCCGCATTGGCCAAATCTTCCAGACAGAAAGTCAACAAAGAAACGTCAGACTTAATCTGCACTATTGGACAAATGGATCTAAAAGATATTTACAGAACATTTTATCCAACAGCTGCAGAATACACATTTTCCTCCTCAGCATATAGATCATTTTCAAGGGTAGGCCATATGTTATCACACAACAAGTCTCAAAACATTCAAAAAATTGAAATAATATCCAGCATCTTCTTTGGCCACTATAAAATAAAACTAGAAAACCATAACAAGAGGAATTTTGGAAACGATACAAAGACATGGGAATTAAACAATATGCTTCTGACTGACCAGTGGGGTCATTAAAGAAATTAAGAAGAAAATTGAAAAATTTTTTGAAACAAATGGTGATAGAAGCACAACATACTCAAACCTATGGGATATAGTGAAAATAGTACTAAGAGAAATTTATAGCTGTAAGTGCCTATATCAAAAAAGAAAAACTTCAAATAAACAACATAATGATGTATCTTAAAAAATTGGGGAAGTAAAAGCAAACCAAACTCAAAATTAGTAGAAGAAAAGAAATAATAAAGATTAGAGCAGAAAACTGTACATTTCAGGGTAAAAAAGTCAGTGTTAAATAGCTTGACCCAAATGGATAGCTACATAGAGTTCTGAATCCAAACTTAAACACTACATGTTTTTCTCACATGTATAGGAAACATTTCTAATAATTAGTCATGTATTAGGCAAAAAAATCAATAAATTTCAAAGAATCAGTACTGTATTAGTCAGGGTTCTCTAGAGGGACAGAACTAATAGGATAGATGTATATATAAAGGGGAGTTTATTAGGAGAATTGACTCACAAGATTACAAGCTGAAGTCCCACAATAGGCTGTCGGCAAGCTGAGGAGCCAGGAAGCCAGTCTGAGTTCCAAAACCTCAAAAGTAGGGAAGCTGATATGGCAGCCTTCAGCCCGTGTTGGAAGGCCTGAGAGCCCCTGGCAAATCACTCATGTAAGTTCAAGAATCCAAAAGCTGAAGAACTTGGAGTCTGATGTTCGAGGGCACGAAGCATCCAGCACAGGAGAAAGATGAAGGCCGAAGGTTTAGCCAGTCTAGTCCTTCTGTGTTCTTCTGCCTGCTTTTATTCTAGCCTCGCTGGCAGCTGATTAGATTGTACCTACCCAGATTGAGGGTGGGTCTGCCTTTCCCAGTCAACTGACCCTAATGTTAATCTCCAGTAACACCCTTACAAACACACCTAGGAACAATACTTTGCATCCTTCAATCCAATCAAGTTGACACTCAATATTAGCCATCACGGGTACTATTAAGTTTTAGAGTACATGTGCACATTGTGCAGGTTAGTTACATATGTATACATGTGCCATGCTGGTGCGCTGCACCCACTAACTCGTCATCTAGCATTAGGTATATCTCCCAGTGCTATCCCTCCCCCTTCCCCCGACCCCACCACAGTCCCCAGAGTGTGATATTCCCCTTCCTGTGTCCATGTGATCTCATTGTTCAATTCCCACCTATGAGTGAGAATATGCGGTGTTTAGAAACCATGATCTCTATGATCATTTAGCAATTAAGCTGGAAGTTAATGACACAAAGGTGAATTGGCAGTGCCTCCACAAATGCAAACTTAGTACTGTGCCACTAAATAAAGTACAGATTAAGGAAAATTTTAAAAATGGAAATTCATAATGACATAGACCTGAAGTATAATGAAAACTATGTAAATTAAAATTTGGGGTAGCAAAAGCTGTTCTTTGCTATACTTATAGCTCTTATTATGTTATAAAAGAAGAATGCCTGAAAAGGAAACTACTGGAAATAGGCCTATTATGAAGGCCTGTTTCACTCAAGAATAAAACTATAATATTATTCTGGAATCTAATTCAGAAATGTATAAAATAGATAATATACCATGATCAATATGGGTTGATTTCATATATGTGGGACAAGTTTAATATTAGAAAATCCATAAATGTTATTTATCACATTAAAAGTTTAAAGTAGAAATCTCAAAAGTTCATTTCAATAGATGAAGAAAAAGTCTGTTACAATACATTCAAAACCAAATCATGATGAAATTCCTATTATGAAGAGAAGAAAAAGTTCTAAATGTAATAAAAATGTTAAAAATTTTAGAGCAGACTAGAAGCATTCCCTTTAAAATTAGTAATGAGATAAGCATGTCCACTTTACCACTTTTATTGAACATTGCCTTGGAGTTCCTAGACAGCATCAGAAGAAAATAAAAATAGATTAGATAAATAAGGATAGAAAAGAAGGAACAAAACTCATAATTCAGATTTTCTAAACAAAGAAAACCCAAAAGCTTCTAAAATAATTAGAAAAAAGAGTTCAGCAAAATCTGGAGATCGATGTATCCAAAAGTCAGTTGCATTTCTATCTAGCCAATAATTAGAAAACAAAATTTAAAAAGAAAGAAAAAGTTTAGCACTGATAATTGAAGAGAAATTATAATTTACAATATTGTAGAGTAGTATCAAGTACCTAGGAATAAAATAAACAAAAGATGTGTAAGATCTCCACAGGGAAAAATTTTAAATGTTATTAAGAGATTTAATAGAGGACATAAATAACTGAAGAAATATTTCACACCAATCAATGGATTGGAGAACTTAATATTGGCAAGATGTCGAGTCTTCCAAATTAAGAAATAGATTTATTTTAATTTTAATCCAAATTCAAATAGAGTTGGTAAAATAATTCTAAAATACATATGAAAGTGAAATTAGCCAAGAGTATACAGAGCACTTCTAAAAAGGAATAAGAAGCGGAGATTTGCCTGCAAAGCTTAGTATGCAGCTATAGTAATTAGGGCAGTGTGGCTTTAATACAACCAAGAATGAATTGACAAGCAGAATAGAATATAGAGCTCAGAAAAAGATCCACATATGACACAAGTGATATATGATAGGGGTGGCATGTCATATCATGGAGCTGGAAAAATGGTTATCCATATAGTAAAAGATAAAACTGGATCCCTAAATTAACTTATAAGTCAAGACAAAATTGAACTATTACTAGAAAATAAATGACTCAGATTTCAAAAACAAAATTTGAAAACTCTATAGAAAATAAAGTAACTATTTTTTAGATATTTAAGTAGGGAAAGATTTCTTAGGAAAAAATTATTGAGTATAGAAAAAAATTTTAAATGCCTGTATTAAAATTATTAATAATTAATCAAAAGTAACCTTAGAAACAATTTACAAAATGGGAGGAGATATTTACAATTCACACAATAAGTGATTTGTATCAATAATATATACTGAACTTTTAGAAATCAGTAAGCAAAACATAAACTGAAAAATGAGCCAGTGTCATAAACTGTCATCTCACAGAAAATGAAACTTGTATGTCCCATACATATAGGAAGAGATTTTCAATACCAATAGTGATAAAGACAGTTCAATTTTAAACCACATAGATATCACTTGTTTGCCAAAAATTGACAAGTCTGACAATTTCAACTGTTGAAGACATGTAGATCCAAAGAATCTCTTTCATATTGCTAGTGGGAGTGTAAATGGGATACCACTTTGGAAAAATAGTCTAGTGTTATCTCCTAAAGGAAAAATTTATATAATCTATGGACCTGGGTACAATTCCATTCTTAAGTATATGACTAAGATTAAATTTCTCACTGGATAAAACATGCGTAGGAATGTTGTGAGCAATCTCTCAACAATTGCAAAATCTGGAAAAATGCCCATCAATGGGAGAGTAGATAAATAGTGGCATATTTACACCATAGAATGATGATACAGTGGCTTAAAAAATAAACTTCATCAACACACAACAATCTGGATAAGTGTTAGCAATATAATATTAAGTGAAAGAAGTTCCAGAAGATTACATAAAGCACAGTATCCTCTAAGTACATAAAAATAAAGTTTATAAGGAAAAAGATACAGAAACAACAAAAAATGTATAATACAAAAAAGGAATGATGGAATGATATCTTGTGGGCCATATATAGTCTCTGTCATATATATATATTTTTTAATAATCCTTTGAAAATCTAAAAAATATTCTTAGCTTCTAGGCCATGCAAATTTACCCCACAGGCTAGAGTTTGCCTGCTTGTGTTCTATAGCCTAGTTGCAATTATAATTTGTATTTTACTAATAGTTAGATAAAATGATCTAAATTTCAAAATTTTTAGTTTCCTTTTTCAAGATAAAATCTTAACCACACTTTCCCTCATTATTTTCTATGCACATTTGGTTTATTTTTAACTGGATTCGTTTTTGGTAGACTTTTAAGTACCATGTATTGAATAATTAAAAATTACAATGTGTACTTTTTTTTGTTTTCATAGGATCACACACACACATCTTACAGTAAATAGTTCTTTGGGCAATTATCCAAATAATTGGGCTTAAAACATTACTTTTACTTGAAATACCAAACAATAGAAGCAGATATAGTTTTATTTTTAAAATAACTGTCTCACTTTCTGCAGAAAGATACCTTGTTTTTGTGTCTTATGAAATAAGCAGATATACCCTGAGCTTAGGAAGAACACCTCAAATTTTAATAAAACCAGCACTGCTTTTTCCTTAAGGTAGGTATCAATCTACTGGAAGAATGTAAGGATATGTCACAATTCTCATATTATTAGTACTAATTGCCAGCTACCTAACCAGAAAAAAATGTAGCCCTTAGTGTTAGCACAATTGAAATTCTGATCCAGGACTAGTAAGCTCGTTGAGAGACTGAGAAGCAGTAAATTCTGCAATAAAGGACTTTGTCTGCATATAAAATGACTCTCAGCGTTGACCCTGAAATGAAATCAAGTTGAAAATTGATTGGGGGAAAAATCAGTTGGGATAGTTATAGCATATTTATTTATGATTTTATAGTTACTAAGAGATTAAAGGCTGTTTCCCTCATCACTGTATCTTTACAATGACAAATCCCCATAAATATTCTAGAACAAAGTTGAAAAGCACCAAAGTAGGGATCAGATGGTTTAAGGTTCTTCCTGGGTCAGTGCTGGCTTTCTGTGCCTTGCATCTAATCCCCGGTCCTCATCTGTGAAATACAGTCATCAGAAAATCTCAGCACAAAAATTGCTCTGGGGATTCTGGGAAGATGCATGGCTATTTCTAGTCATTTGGGATTCCTAGTAAAATCACCTTACCAACTTGGCCATGAAAGTCAGTGGGTGGAGTGAATGAGAAGGGGATGGTCAAGGAGGTGTTGGGAGTACTAAAGAACATAGTGGAGGAATCCTTGCCCTTTGTTTCAGCTGTAGTCTAATAGGCAAAGGTCTGTAGCAAAGCTGGGTTTTTAAAGAAGTGCAGGTTATTCATCAGAAACTAACTCAGAGTCAGATTCCAAGATGCTAAGGAAACTCAAGTTGTCTAAAATTGGTAGCTTGGTAGGAATTTTATAGTAGTGTAGGTCAGTGTCTTACTTGTCTTTGTATTACCTATGTCTGAAATATAGGAAGTACTCAATAAATGTTTGGGGAAAGAAGAGAAGGAAAAGAAGAAAGAAAAGGAAGTGTGCTCTTTGTTAGTTTTCCTAAAAATGCCTCAAGCTAATTAATGCAAGGGAATTCAAAATAAAGGTCAGACTGGAGGTGAAGCAAAATCTGTATGTGTCATCTGTGGGAATCAAGTCTGGAAATGTATTTCCTCTGGGCAGAGGGCAGCGGTGTATCCAATGTGTATGTAACTGGAGATGTCAAAGCCTCTTTGAAAACAAATGTAGACAATCTTTAGCCTTACGGGTCTGGTTACATTTTTGTGCTAATGCTCTTTATAATATAAGTGGGAATCATCACTGAGACTAGAATGGGAAGTGGTAGATTCAAAAGTATATTTAGAATTCTCTCTGGAGTGTGGATATATCAAATAGTGTCCAAATCTATTTTCTAACAAATCTAAATTTAAAGTGTCTTCAGAGTCTTCGACTATCAGGTTTGCTGGGAAATGGGTTGAATCTGGCAACAAGGCAATGTTATACCGTTTTATGAGTTTTGCCCAAAAGGTTGATGCAAATATAGCTATGTGTGTTATTCTGAAAAACTAAAATCCTCGGTAATGGGCCATGTTATTACTTGATATTATTAAACTCAGCATGTTGCTAATGAATGAAGCTTATAAATTCACAGAGAAATGTTATATGCTTCTTTTATTTTTTAGGCCTTAAAAAAAGGCTTCTATTGCTATTACCAAAAAGACAAGAGATAACAAATGTTGGTGAGGGTGTGGAGAAAAGGGAACCCTAGTACACTGTTGGTAGGGATGTAATTCGGCGCAGTCATTATAGAAGACACTATAGAGGTTACTAAAGAAATTAAAAATAGAACTGTCATATGATCCAGGAATCCCTCTTCTGAGTATATATGCAAAGGAAATTAAATCACCAAGCCCTATAAAAATACTTGCATTCCCAGGTTTATTGCATTTGTCATTCACAAAAGCCAAGGTATGGAAACAACTGATAAAAAGTGTCCATCAACAGACAAATGGATAAAGAAAATGTGAGATTATATATTGGTATATAAATATCATGTATATATTATTTTGCCTTAAAAAAGGAGATCCTACCATTTGTCACAACATAGATTGAACTCAAGGACATTATGCTAAATGAAATTAGCCAGACCCAGAAAGAAAATTAATGCATGATCTCACTTATATGTGGGATATAAAAACAAAGGTCAAATATACAAAGACAGAAAATTAACAGTGGTTACTAGGGGTGGTGGGATTTGAAGAGAGAAAACGAGAAGATGTAGGTCAAGGGATCCAAAGTAGCAGATATGTATGACAAATAGGTCTAGAGATCTAACATAATATGAGGACTATAGTTAATAAAATTGTATTGTATTCAGGATTTTTGTTAAGATTTTTTAGAAGCTCTTGTCATAGAAAAAAGTAACGATATGAAGTTATATATATATATTAATTTTCTTCCCTCTAAAAACCTTTTGTATCTCATACCATCAGTTTGTAAATCTCAAGCATACAAAACAAAACAAAAAACAAAACATGGATGCTAGAGTTAAACACAAAACAAGACAAGTAAACACAAAACAAAACAAAAAACAAATTAAACACAAAACAAAACAAAAAACAAAACATGAATGCTAGAGTCCAAATTACCCTTAAATTGGCTTTGTTAATTCATGGGGAAAGAAACAAAAAACATTTAAAAACTCCTGGAAATTTAAGATACGACGATTCCCAATTAAGAGAAAGTAAATTCTAGGTAGGCATTAGAAGCGTATTTCTGGTTCTGATCCTTTTCGTTAAAAAATTATTTATATACACTGGAAATATATTGGACTCATTTTAATTCATGTGTTTGACTTCTAACCTCTTTCAAAACTAGGTTAGATTGAATGTTGGCAACCATGACAGCCATGGTCCATTGGCATCTGTGTCAGTCATGAACTTTGGTGAATGGAGAGGACTTGCTTTATAAGGTTGCTTTATTTAAATCAGATTGATCAGTTTGGGGAGAGAATATGATCTCACACTATGTGGCTAAAGGAATGGAGTGAGGCAGGGGGAGGTTGTATGAACCATGAATTTATTTGCTAATGTAAATATTTTAAATATTTTATTGTTTTTACATATGCTTTTTAACCATGAATTTATTTATTAATGTAAATATATTAAATATTTTATGGTTTTTACATATGCTTTTAAAATTGAAGTATTGTACCATTTTATGGTAACATTCAGAAAAGCACACAATTCATAAATTTATTGTCCCATGAGTTTCATAAACTGAACAAAAGACCTATATCAAGAAGCAATATTACCAAGACTCCAAGAAGATCCCTCTAGCCCCTTCTAGTCATTATTCACCCCTTCCTGTCAGGGTAACCACTATCATGACTTCTAGCATCACATAGTATCTTTCCCTGTATTTATATATTACAGAAATGAAGTCATATAATATGTACTCTTTTGTGTCTACCTTTTTTGTTATATTTGTGAGATTTATCCACATTATTGCACAGTGTAGTTTGTTCATTCTTATCGCTGTGCAATAAACCATTATGTGTATATAACACCTTTTATATTCATTCTATTTGGGTTGTTTCCAGTTTTTGGATATGACAAATAGTGTTGCTATGAACATTACTATGAATATCTTTTCATGAATATATGTATACATTTCTGATGAGTATACAGCAAAGAGTGGGATTATTGGATCATGTTTATGTTCCTTTTTTATAGATATTGACAAGCATCTTTCCAAAGGGGTTGTATAGGTCCCCAGTTTTTGAAGGGGAAACTTCTGTAGCTATGGTATAGGCCAATGGGAATCCAAGTAGCAGCTGAGCTCCAAGATTTGGTGAATGTCTTAATGGGGACTCAAGATCAGAAATGTGTACATCAAAGCCATGTATCAGATGGGAAGGTTCTAGGGGTCGGGGTGGGGAATAGGGCTCTGCTTAAGCAACATGATGGAAATTTAATGGAAGATATGAAGAATGTATCCAAATCTCAAAACAGTAATAATAACACAAGCTGCCAAAGGGAATTTCAGTGGTCAGTACCTTGGCCTAATTAGCTGTGTGATATATTATCTGAGTTCACCAGTCATATGGAAATGAGAGCTCAGGGGTAATATTTACCTCTTGGTAGTCATATTCATGTTATCAAATATTTGTATGTCAAAGACATTCACAATAATGTCATAGCAACACTACTTGTAATAGTCAAAAACTGAAAACAACTGAAATAAAATGGATATATAAAAGGTATTATATATACATAATGGATTACTACACAGCAATAAAAATGAACACGCTACAGAATACAAAGACTTTGGGAGTACAAGTGTGGTAAGTTTTACAGATGAGATGGAGGTCAGAGAAGTTAAATAATTTGCACAAGATTGTAAACTGCAGAAATGGAATATTTTTTCTTTTGATTTTGCTTTTTTATAAAAGTATTTATTGAGGTATAATTTACATATAATAAAAATACCCATTTTAAGTATACAGTTTGATAATTTTGACAAACATATACAGTTGTGTAATAACTACTGCAATCAAGATATGAAACATTTCTGTTACTCCAAAAATAAACCCTCCTGGGCTGGGCGCGGTGGCTCACACCTGTAATCCCAGCTACTCAGGAGGCTAAGGCAGGAGAATCACTTGAACCTGGAGATGTAGGTTGCAGTGAGCTGAGATCACGCCATTGCATTCCAGCCTGGGTGAGAGAGCAAGACTCTGTCTCAAAAAAATTATATATATATATATAATATAGAAATATATTTTTTATAGAAAATTATATTTATTTATATATACATACATTTATATATATGTGTGTGTGTATATATACACACACACCCTCCTGCCCCTTCGTAGTGTATCTCTTTCTCCATCCGTAGTTCTTGGCAATGACTAAACTATTTTTTGTCCCCAGAGTTTCGCCTTTTTTTCAAATGTCACATAAATGGAATCATCAGTATGCCTTTTGCATCAGGCTTCCTTCACTTAGGATAATAATTTTGAGATTAATTAGTGTATCAGTAGTTCATTCATTTTTATTATAGAGTGGTAATCTATTCTATGGATTTTGATTATCCATTTACCAACGGATAGATATTTGAATTACTTTCAGTTGGGGGCTGAAAGAAACTCATATGATTTACACACAGGTCTTTGCATGATCAGAAGGACACAAGTTTTTATTTACTTAGGGTAAATACTTATGAGTGGCATTGCTAAATCATTTGGTAAGTGTATCTGTACATTTTTAAGGAACTGGCAAACTGTTTTCAAACTGGCTCTACCATTTGGGATTCCCACCAGCCTTTTATGAGATTTTCACCTGCTTCAAATCCTTCTGAGCACTTGGTATTGTCAATCTTTTTTATTTTTAACCTTTTCAGTGGGATTTCATTGTGGTTTTCATTTGCATTTCCCTAATGCTTAATGGTGCTAATCATCTTTCCATGATCTTATTTTCAATTCTTTCCTGAAATTTCTGTTCAAAGCTTTTGTCTGTTATTCAGTTGGGTTTTTTTTTTTTCTTCTTTTGAGTTTAAGGCTTCTTTGTATAGCTTAGATACAAGACTTCTATTAATTATATATAGTATTTCATGAATATTTTTCCCTGGTTATGGCTTATATTTTCATTTTCTTAACAGCATCATTTGAAGGGCAGAATTTTCTTTTCTTTTCTTTTTTCTTTTTCTTTCTTTTTTTTTTTTTTTTTTGAGACGGAGTCTCGCTCTTTCACCTGGGCTGGAGTGCAGTGGCGCATCTCGGCTCACTGCAAGCTCCGCCTCCCGGGTTCAGGCCATTCTCCTGCCTCAGCCTCCCAAGTAGCTGGGACTACAGGCGCCTGACACCAAGCCCGGCTAATTTTTTGTAATTTTTTTTGTTCTCGTTTAGTAGAGATGGGGTTTCACCATGTTAGCCAGGATGATCTCGATCTCCTGACCTCGTGATCTGCCCGCCTCGGCCTCCCAAAGTGCTGGGATTACACGCGTGAGCCACCGCGCCCAGCCAGAATTTTCATTATGTTCAATTTGTCATTTTTTTCTTTTATGATTCATGCTAAGAAATTTTGTTTAACTGAAAGTCAAAAGATTTTTGTCCTATGTTTTCTTTGAGAAGTGTTATCGTTTTAGCTTTTATATATGAGCCTAGAATCCATTTTAAGTTAATTTCTCTATATGGCAAAAAGTAAGAGTCAAGGCTCATTTTTTTCATATGACTGTCCAATTGTTCCAACACTGTTGAATAGACTACATTGTCTTCATTTAATCCCCTTGGCATCTTCATCAAAAACTAATTGACCAATTATGACCAGGTCAGGGCTGAGATTTGAGTTTAGAACTATTTGACCTTACAGCCCATGGTCTTCTGCTGTGCAGTATTATGACATTTTAATTACATAGATAGGAAGTCTTTGCCCTAGACCAGAAGACTCAGGAGGGTGGAGATACTTAATCATCCTACCAGTTGAGACAAACAAGCAGGATAAGATTTTTCACTATAGAAAATTTGAAATTGAATTCACCATTGTCCATTGAAATATTCTAACTACAAAGGTGTGAATCCTTTTATACCTATCAATTATCATCCCCCTCTAATGTCTTAGATATTTCTAAAAGTATTCAGGTTACCTTCCTTGTGAACAGAGCCCTCACCTTATTCCAGTCCAGCCTTATCATGCTGCCTCTGCTACTGCAGCCACCCTTAATGTCATGACTCTATTGGGCTAAGTTGTTCTCTACATGTGTTTCTGTTCCTATAATTTTGGTCTCAGGAGATGGGGCTCTGCTTTTCCCTATGCCTTTATCCTAATCAAGAGCTTGGCGCTTATTAAATTCCCATGTGGCAGAGAGCAGCTGGTAACTTTTAAGGAAACACAAATGTAATATTTACAAGCTCACAGACTGAGGCCCAAGCCTGTCCTATGGACCTCTGAGAGCTAATTTCTCATCTCATCTCTGCCTGCTTCTATGTGACTAGGGGAGCTCAACAACCATAACCATAAATGCACCAGGCACTTCCACATCCAAGAGTCAAAGCAAAGTTAATCCCATTCCCCAAGAGAGAAGCAAGTTTCTCTTTAGCCCTTTGTTTCACACATCCCTCTTGGAATGTTCGGCTGTGAGAACATCCATTCCCTTTCAGGTAGACTGTCCACTTGGGAGTAGTCCAGTTAGTTTCTAGCCTGACAAAGCAATTATACAAGTATTCACAAGTATTTTTCTCAAAATCTGGTTTAATCTCATTCTTGTTGTAGTATGAAAATGTTTAGAATTTAATTTTGAAATCAATAGACAATAAGGAGTGTAGAAAATCCTCTATATACCTTCATCTTATATTTTACTCCCTACTACATTTTGCTGACTCGAAGAAATAATAAACTGAGTCTGAGATATTTAGTTGATGAGAGGTATATGCCTCTTCAAATTAAGAAAATTTTATCTTTCATGTAGAGTGGTAGGATTATTGACACATGCAGTATTTGTATATACTCACAATCCCCTCTCTATTGTGTCCTTAGCAGAGGAGGCGAGGCCAGTTCACTTCCTTCTCCCACACATGCAACTCTTTCCAGCAGCAGTATTCATACATATTATAAGAAAAAATTTCCTCCTCACAGGAAAGTTGGGGTTCACACATCATTTCTCTTAGCCTTTTTATTGGCATGAGCACTCCCATACTGGGAATGTGACGTTTAAGGATTTAAGAAGGAGGTGATAGTTGGGAAACTCAGAGTCTTCATTTGAGCAGCATAACTTGTGGTTATTATAATGGCTTTGGCATTAGGAAGCTCTTGGTATTAATTGGTTTTAATCCTGGTTCTACCAATTACTAGTTGAATAAGTAACTTGTTTAACTAGTTGAGTAACTACAGGCAAATTACTTAACCTCTGAACTCATTTTCCTCAGCTGTAATAATTCAATATGATAATAAGTGTCATGTAGTTAAACCAAGTGATATACCAAGATGGTGATAGTGGAGGGGTTTTCCCAGATGCGGATAATAGAGTGTGCATTGTCTGAGAAGAATTTAAAATAGTAACACTTACTAAAAGTGGGGTTTTAACTCCGGATTACTATGTGTCATCAATTCTAAACATTTTCAGTAATAAAATACTCCACCCTACCAGGTAACTGATTCCATCATTTCTACTTTGATATACCATGGAGTAGTTAAGAGATATCAGCCTCTTTTATAAGAGATATCAATGTGTGCATATATTTTTTGGAAGGGCAACTGAGACTGGATGATAAGACAAGCTCAGCCCTAGCTTCTCAGTTCTCTATATGAGTTTGCAGAAATAAGGTTATAAAAGGCTTTTTTTTTTCTGTGTGAAGACACAGATTACAGCTGTGGATTAATTCCTTGGTTAAGAGTTTGGTTCTTTCACAACCTCCACAGAATAATTTAATTGACAAAATAAGTTCAATTTTACATTATCTTTTGATAAAAATAATCTGATGTCAAAAATTACAGTATTCCAAATCTTTCTTCTAAAGAAATAACATTGTTCATCTCAACATTCTACTGAGGAGAGAGATTTTGTACCTCTTAGAAAAATAAGCCAATTAGCTCCAAAAGAAGTATTCACTATTAAGCAATTAAAATAGGTATTTGCTAAAGATAACTTTGTGTCTTCCTTTCTGAATGTGATTCAAAGGCATAATTAGCTCTGAGAGGAAGTGATGTGGTTATTGATGAAATATTCTTTCTGTCCTTGCTTTTCACCCTGCAGATAGAATGGATTCAGATGTACCTTAATTCCTAACTTTTCTTTCATTTTCATAGGATTGAATAGGGACTGATGTTCATGGTCTTTTATTTTTTGAGCAGAAAGTTCAACATTTTCCATCTAATATATTGTCAAGTCCATCGTATCTATTGGCAAGTCCATGAATTCTGCCACACAACTAAAAAAAAGGTCACCCAGTTAGGTGATTTACATTTTTTTCTTGCTGTAGTACTTTTTTCCCTCTAAGGACCTAAGCACTGGTATTACTTTTTATTACTTTTGCATTATGCTGAGGCATTATTTTGTTTTCTAAACCTAAGTAGCTGTCTGATGGTTCACTTGAAGACACAGGTTTCGGACTTTGTTCTTCTTAATGATAGTAAAATGAAAAATGATTTAGAATCTTCAGTGGATACTTGATTGCTAGAAATAAGACCTCCAAGTTTTGTTGCAGATACAGCTATTTTGATAATCCCTATCCATATTATCAGAGATTATTCTTACTAACACTCAGTCACTGTGCCATTTGAGCCAAAACTTATCTATTTATCTAGCCTAATCCCTCTTCCAAGAAAAAAATCCCCATTCTCCACATTTGATACTAATCTCAATGCTTCAGTGATAATTTTAGTGTTTTCAATGCATTCTCACAGATATAGGTATTTAGGGGCTAGGTACCGTCTTCTGCCCTAGCCATCTGGCTAAATGCTTAAGAGGCTTTGTGTTAAACCACGCCACTAATGCAGTGAGAATCAGAGCTGGCTTTCCTGATGTCAGCTAATCTCACACATTTATTTCAAAGTGAAAATTTGTCACTACTTTTCCATTTAAGTAAATTTTTTACATCATTTTCTGTTTCTGGAGCAGAGATTTAATTTTTGGAACATATATTCTAACATAGAAGTAATACAACATATTTCATCAAGGGTGTCATTATTATAGCTCCCAATATTATTTAGTGGAACCAAATATTTTGTAAGTGCACAACCAGGCCAAGCCCCATCAATATATGTGAGACAAAAGCTAAGTTTTCCATGATATGTTTTTCTCTAAAGTTGTCTTTTTAACCTTGTAAGGAAAGAAACAACAAGAACAAAATAACTTGGACTTTCAATTTTTTCCTTATATTATTCTTAAAGTGGAAGAGGTAGAGCCAGTCACCCAAGAAATGACAGTGTCTCAGAAAGAGAGCATTAATGCTATGTTCCTTGATGTTACTACTGTCTGGGAGAAGGGAAAATATTGCAGTATTCATGTTTCCATGGTACCACACACTGCATTCAGGATGACTGTAAAGATGATAAGAAGAATTTACTTTTATTCATTTTGTACCAAACCTGAAAACTAAGCTGGACACTATAATAGATATCAGATTATATTTTAGGGGCATCAGGCATCCAAGCAAGTAGCACATTTTTTTAGTTTTCTATTATCCTATTTGGTTTTACCAGGAAAAAAAAAACAATTTTCATTTATTTTCTTTTGTTGTACAAAGATCAATTGAACTACACGGGTTGAATTAGTTACCTCTTTTTGTATAACAAATTACCACAAACTCAGTAGCTTAAAATATCTTCCAGGGCTGAGGTCTCATCAGAAGGTTGGACTAGGGAAGAATATATTTCCAAGGTCACACAGCAGAAGTCAGTTCCTTATGGGTTGCCATACTGAAAGTCTCAGTTCCTAGCTATTGGCTGGCAGCTGCTCACAGTTCCTTGCAATGTGGCAGCTTGCTTCATCAAAGTGTGTAAGCCAAGAAATTTAACAGAGAGATTCTGCTAGCAAGATAGAAGTCACAGTCTCATATAATGTAATCACAGACGTGCTGTCTCTTCAATGTGGTTGCATTCTACCTGTTAGAAACAGGTTGCTTCCGGAACTAACATTCTATTGAAAGGTGTAGATAGTAAGGTAGTAGGCGAATAAATAATTGACATAGTTACAGGTATATCTAAGAGCTGTGAAGGCAAGATAGGTACAATGATACATATAGAAATGTCACTTTTAATGAGATATAAGTTAAGATTCTCTGAGAATTTGATATTTGAGCAGACATGAATATGTGGGAGTAGGGCATTCCAGGCTGGGAGAATAGCAATGATATGGTTTGGCTGTGTCCCCAACCAAATCTCATCTTGCATTGTAGTTCCCATAATCTCCATGTGTCTTGGGAGGGACCCGGTAGGAGATAATGTAATCATGGGGGTGGTTCCTTCATGCTGTTCTAATGATAGTGAGTGAGTTCTCATGAGATCTGATGGTTTTATAAGGGGCTTTTTCCCCTTTTCTTGGCACTACTACTTCCAGCTGCCATGTGAAGAAGAAAGTGTTTGCTTTCCCTTCTGCCATGATTATAAGTTTCCTGAGGCCTCCCCGGCCCTGCAGAACTGAGCCAATTAAACCTCTTTATAGAACTATAAGAATGGACTAATACAAACAAACACGAAGTTCATGGCTTGGGAATTCGTTTGGAGTATTGTAGAAATAGCAAGAGGCTAGTGTGAATGGTGAGAAATGAATGAGGAGGAAATAAACACACACAGCTGTGCAAGGCCCAGGTCATTAGAGCCCCAAAGGGCATGGAAAGAAAGAGGTTTAAATGTATTCTAAATGTAGTGGAAAGCCACTGGAGTCTTTTGTATTTGAGAATGTACTAATTAGGGTAATTCTAGCTACTGTCAGTAACAAACCCGAAATATACTATGGCACCAATGGCAGTACAATATTATTTATCATTTATGTAAAATTCAGAACATCTATTCCTGACCAGTGGAAAATTCTCCTTCAGAGAGTGATTCAGTGACCCAGCCTTCCATCTGGAGGCAAGTTGCATGCTTGCAGCATCAAGTTAGCAGAAAGGGAAAGAACACAGGGAATCATACATATTAATAGAAGGGTTTGGGGATTTAGACTTGGCAGTGGCAAATATTACTTTTTCTCATATTTCATTGGCTAAAACTGAGTGGTAATACCACATCTAACTGCAAGAGAAATTGCAAAATTGACTCTAGTTTTGAAAATAAGAAGAAAAGATAGATTGTTAAACAACTAACTCTTCTCTGCCATGGAGCATGAGCTATTCTTTTTTTTTTTTACATAATACAATGCTTTTCTTTTTTTAAAATTATTATTATACTTTAAGTTTTAGGGTACATGTGCACAACGTGCAGGTTAGTTACATATGTATACATGTGCCATGCTGGTGCGCTGCACCCACTAACTCGTCATCTAGCATTAGGTATATCTCCCAGTGCTATCCCTCCCCCCTTCCCCCACCCCACTACAGTCCCCAGAGTGTGATGTTCCCCTTCCTGTGTCCATGTGTTCTCATTGTTCAATTCCCACCGATGAGTGAGAATATGTGGTGTTTGGTTTTTTTGTCCTTGCGATAGTTTACTGAGAATGATGATTTCCAATTTCATCCATGTCCCTACAAAGGACAAGAACTCATCATTTTTTATGGCTGCATAGTATTCCACGGTGTATATGTGCCACATTTTCTTAATCCAGTCTATCATTGTTGGATATTTGGGTTGGTTCCAAGTCTTTGCTATTGTGAATTGTGCTGCAATAAACATACGTGTGCATGTGTCTTTATAGGAGCATGATTTATAGTCCTTTGGGTATATACCCAGTAATGGGATGTCTGGGTCAAATGGTATTTCTAGTTCTAGATCCCTGAGGAATCACCACACTGACTTCCACAATGGTTGAACTAGTTTACAGTCCCACCAACAGTGTAAAAGTGTTCCTATTTCTCCACATCCTCTCCAGCACCTGTTGTTTCCTGACTTTTTAATGATCGCCATTCTAACTGGTGTGAGATGGTATCTCATTGTGGTTTTGATTTGCATTTCTCTGATGGCCAGTGATGGTGAGCATTTTTTCATGTGTTTTTTGGCTGCATAAATGTCTTCTTTTGAGAAGTGTCTGTTCATGTCCTTTGCCCACTTTTTGATGGGGTTGTTTGTTTTTTTCTTGTAAATTTGTTTGAGTTCATTGTAGATTCTGGATATTAGCCCTTTGTCAGATGAGTAGGTTGTGAAAATTTTCTCCCATTTTGTAGGTTGCCTATTCACTCTGATGGTAGTTTCTTTTGCTGTGCAGAAGCTCTTTAGTTTAATTAGATCCTATTAGTCAATTTTGGCTTTTGTTGCCATTGCTTTTGGTGTTTTAGACATGAAGTCCTTGCCCATGCCAATGTCCTGAATGGTAATGCCTAGGTTTTCTTCTAGGGTTTTTATGGTTTTAGGTCTAACGTTTAAGTCTTTAATCCATCTTGAATTGATTTTTGTATAAGGTGTAAGGAAGGGATCTAGTTTCAGCTTTCTACATATGGCTAGCTAGTTTTCTCAGCACCATTTGTTAAATAGGGAATCCTTTCCCCATTGCTTGTTTTTCTCAGGTTTGTCAAAGATCAGATAGTTGTAGATATGTGGCATTATTTCTGAGGGCTCTGTTCTGTTCCATTGATCTATATCTCTGTTCTGGTACCAGTACCATGCTGTTTTGGTTACTGTAGCCTTGTAGTATAGTTTGAAGTCAGGTAGTGTGATGCCTCCAGCTTTGTTCTTTTGGCTTAGGATTGACTTGGCCATGTGGGCTCTTTTTGGTTCCATATGAACTTTAAAGTAGTTTTTTCCAATTCTGTGAAGAAAGTCATTGGTAGCTTGATGGGGTTGGCATTGAATCTATAAATTACCTTGGGCAGTATGGCCATTTTCATGATATTGATTCTTCCTACCCATGAGCATGGAATGTTCTTCCATTTGTTTGTACCCTCTTTTATTTCCTTGAGCAGTGGTTTGTAGTTCTCCTTGAAGAGGTCCTTTACATCCCTTGTAAGTTGGATTCCTAGGTATTTTATTCTCTGTGAAGCAATTGTGAATGGGAGTTCACTCATGATTTGGCTCTCTGTTTGTCTGTTATTGGTGTATAAGAATGCTTGTGATTTTTGCACATTGATTTTGTATCCTGAGACTTTGCTGAAGTTGCTTATCAGCTTAAGGAGATTTTGGGCTGAGACAATGGGGTTTTCTAGATATACAATCTTGTTGTCTGCAAACAGGGACAATTTGACTTCCTCTTTTCCTAATTGACTACCCTTTATTTCCTTCTCCTGCCTAATTGCCCTGAGCTATTCTTAAAAAGATCATGCAGGTCTTCATGTGGACAATAGAATGTGGAAGGAAAAATAGAACCTTGAAGTCCAGTCAACTAACTATTAAAACAATATAGGTAGAAAATAATGGCTTCTGGGGCAGGAGAAATGAAAGTAGAGGTGGTGAGAAATTGTTGTGCTCAGGATATATTTTGAAGATAGTCAAGAGGAGGTGCTGATGGAGTCTGTATGGGATAATAAGAAAAGAGAAAGATTTCTCTCAAATTTTGGTTTGAGCAAATGGTAGAGGGTAGATACTGGCAGTTCTTGAAATAAGGAAGACATGGAGAGAAGCAGATTTGTGGTCCAGGTGTGAGAAGTCAAGAATTCTTCTTTTGAACTTCCTAACAGTTATTTAAACATAAAGTAAGTGATTATATAAATGAATCTGCAACTCAGAGGAGGAAGTGCTGGTGATAAATATGCATAGGTCTTCAGCACATACAGAACATTTAAAGTTATTGCTTTGGGTGAGATTATTTTGCTAGGATATAAACATTTTAGGATTAAGCCATGAGTACTTCAACATAAAGAGAAAGGGGAATCTTCAGAGATATTCAGTGAATAGGGAAAATTCCATATGAGCATGGTATTCTTGAAGCCAAGCAAAGAAAGTTTTTCAAGAAGAAAAATGTGGCCACTATGTCAAATATTATTGTATTGAGAAGATCAGAATAATTGAGATAGACGTGGGCACTGGATTTGGCAAGATGCATTCATTGTGACTATGAAAAAAGCAATTTTGATGTAGAGTAGGATCAAAATGTTAAAGAGAAAATTGAAGCTAAGGAAGTTGAAAAAGTGTGCATCTGCAATTCTTTCAGGAATTCTTATTATAAAAGGGAGTAGGTAACAAAAAGTGTGAGAGAATCAAGGGAAAATTTTTTAGAGATAGGAAATGTTATGTCATGTTTGTATGTGATTAGAAATGCTTTTGTAAAGAAGGGGAAGAATAATCATGCAGGAGGGAGAAAAGATGCATTCCTTGTGTGTGAGAGGGAATGAGACTACAGGCACAATTACAAGAATTGGCCTTGGAAAGGAGGATGGACAGGTCCACAATTCAAATAGGAGGTAAACAGAATCGATGGAGACAGATCCCTCTTGGTTCCTAGATGTGATATTGGAAAACGGAGTTGTTTTCTTTGGTCATTTTTTTCCCAAATAAATGAAAAGGCATCAACAGCAAAGAATGAGGAGGGAATGTTAATATTTGAGGAGAGGAGAAGCTCCCTGTTAATAAAGACACTTATGGGTTATGTGAGAACATTCCAAGTACTGAGATCTTTATGACATTATTAGTTATTGCTAAAACTTTGCACACTTTCTTTTAGATCATACATTCATTGCTGGGTCAGAGTAATAATTTACTGGATGGATTTGAAGGCCCTTTTGAACTGAAGATTTTATAACACAATTTTGTAGTTTTGCATCAGCTTTTGTATTCTTCAACAATTCAACAAGGATTTATTCAGCATAAAGTATGTGAAGATATAGTTCCTATCTCCAAGGCACTTACAATCTTAATTTATTTCATTCATGGAGGTGAGATGATCTTCAGGACTGTTGTCTCAGGGTTTAATAAAAAATACTGAAAATAAATTAGAGTCAATTTGAGAAGATGGAAATTAAAAATCTTTGTCTCATTTTTCAAATCTGCCAGCCATTCACTGATGAAAGATTATCTTTCCAAAGTGAATCAGTTACCAGGTAGTGATTTCTGTAAGCAGGGTGATGAGTATTCTCAAGTGAAATATTTAACCTGAGTTCTTAAAAGAGTTATCAGTACCCACTTTCTTTATTTCCTTACTTTCAACTCACTCTGTAATCCACTTTAATCTTCATTTTTTTCTTGCCATTCCACCAGAACAGTTCTAATTTAAGTCAACTGTATAAAATTGAATAGACATTATTTAGTCTTCATCTCATTTCCCCTCCCAGCATGTGACATGGCTGGTGACTCCTTCCTGAGATGCTCTTTTCCCTTGAAATCTGTGCATCGACTCTGGGATTTTTCCACTCCATTCTTCATACTGCATCCAAAGTTATTATATCTTATAAAATAAAAATTTGATTGTGTCACTCAATCCTATTCTCCACACTTAGACACTTAAAATCTACCAATGGCTTTTCTTTGTCCTATTTCTGTTTAGATAATGACCAATTCATCTGCTCAGCCTACAACTCTTTGTGATTTTACCCTGCCAGTTTCTCTGCTGCCATCATAGAAGTCTGTCCCTCTCATTTTGGAGTCTTTCATAGGTTCCTTGTCCATGTCCTAAGGGCTTCTACATGGGGCCTATTATCATGCTGCTCTCACCCTCACCCCCTTTAGTGTTTTCCTCTCTTCTTACTCCCACTTCTCATCTCTGACTCATTAATGGCTACTCCCTCATTGATTAGAGTATCGCTTTTTCAGGGACTCCTTCCCTGATGTACTCTGGTTCATGTTTGTGTTTTGACTACTCCTTTGAGATGGTATTCCTTATAATCATCAGCATGATCATTTTATTAATTGCATTTCTCACCACCACAACCCGAGAACACTGCATTTTTGCTCAATATTTAATCTCCAACACTTAATACAGTGTCTACCTCATAACAGAACCTTAAAAATTTGTTGGTGGATGCCTACTACAATGCCATTTTAAAGTATAGCTAATCTTCTAGTTACAATTTGCAGATGCAGTTTTCTTATTCTATGCCATCTGACACTAAAAGGGATCCCCGGGTGTTAGGACCTATAGCTGAGCACTAAATTTTCTTAGTGACTTTAAACTTATAACCCTGGTGGTGTTTATAATTACTCCTTTACATTTTTAACTCTAATCCTTAATAGATATGATCCGTGCCTTAAGAGAAAAGCATGAATAATGATGAAGAATCCACATCTCTTAAGCTGTGCAGAATTTTCATGATGTTATCTTAAGATAGGTCTACTGCTCTGCTCACCCACTCTCTACTTGGCTATTCTTTCTTTTTCAGTGTTCCAGATAGGTAGAACTTAATGGCAGTAGTAACCTCAAGCTATGATGAGAATCCTTTCAGTATTACACTAATACACTCTGTTCCACACCTCTTCCATGTATACCTTCAAATTCTATGGATTCAGATACAAGAAAAACTCATGAAAAGAATAAATATGGTATTGCATCAGACCACTATGTACAAACACACATAGGCAGACACACACACACACACACACACACACACTTAACAGACATTATGGATCTGCTATTTATCTAAACTGTTGGAAGAGGTACAGTTTAACAGCTCATATTACTCTTCTTTGAGACAGGAACTGTGCCAATTTTCTTCATTGATGCATGCCTGGTACTTAACACAGTACCTGGAACCTAGTGAGTACTTCTTAAATATTTGTTGAGTGAATGAAAGATATACTTACTGTGTCACAGAATCTGTGCTAAGTGCTCTACAGGAGCTGTTATGCTTATAATGCTACCAACAATTCTATCATTATTTATCTCCCTGTTATCAATTCATGCCTCTCAGCTCCAAATTCTGAGACCTTCCAATTCTCCAGCCTTCATTTCTGCTCTGTAAAACTGGGGCCCTTTAAATATATTTTCTTCATCAGCTGACATGATGTTAATATTTGTCAATAAAGGACATTGGAAAAGCATTGCAGGAGGAAGGTTTTTCCTTCCTGATTCCAGTGTACTCTAGGCAGGCTCTTGAAGCATGTTCACTTTAGCACCTGGGGCCACTGGCTGTCCTCTTGTGCAGTTTTACAGTGGAGTGTCTTCATTGAGCACCTCCTAGTAAACAGCTTTCTCTGCAACTCTA
Organism: Homo sapiens; assembly: GCF_000001405.40. Lineage (NCBI taxonomy): Eukaryota > Metazoa > Chordata > Mammalia > Primates > Hominidae > Homo > Homo sapiens. The sequence continues at coordinate 110,177,915 of NC_000005.10, forward strand.
GACAGTAGGTTTCTGGTAAGTTGCAGAGGGTAGCTTTTTAGCAAGTTCCACAAACCAACCACAGCAACTTGTCTGCCATCTGGTGAGCCATGAATGTGTCCTTCCTGTCTCATAAGGTCTGGATCTCGGCCCGGGACAACTGTTACTTTGGCTGCTCAATATCAGACCTAAGGCCTTCCCTATACCTGCAATTCCTATATTCTTTAGAGTTCTTGTGATTTTTATTAGTCAATGCCTCTGTACTTTAACCCCCTTGTACAGTCAATTCTTTATTTTAACATTTTCTCATTCAAGTTATTATGTAATTCCTCTCTCCTATTGAATCCTAACTCGTAGAATTCTCTCCGTTTTACAAATGAAAGTGATGTCAAGAAGTATTATAAATTTGTGCAAGTTCACACAGCTTGCAAGAAAACTGATACTAGAATCCAAGCATTGTGATTTCAGAGCCTGTGCACCTAATCATTATGCTCAGCTGTTTCTTATATGTGAATATAATAAATCTATTGTGTTCCATAAGGTTTTAACTATGTGATATGAAATGCTTTCATATTTGTTCTAAACTTGAGGATGACACACAATTTATTGTGTATACATACTGGAACACTATGATTCCAAAACTTTTCATCACATATTCTATTCTGTACTGCTCATTCATTATGATTCTTTCTTTTCAATGGAAAGGTATTACATCACTTTAATCTTTCCTTAAATATCAAGCCCCCAAAATGTTAATTTTCTCTATGTCATCTCTAGTTTTATTATGTGACTATATGTTTTGTGAAGAAGACTTCTGTGCATATATTAGCAATCTATGCAGGCTGATGTAGTTTTTTGAGTGTTCCCTCAAACTGTACTTAAAATTAACCACATGACCAAGTTACTGATTAGCCAAAGTCTTGGAACATAGGCAATGTGCTAGTTGTGGCTTTTTGATACCTCATTATCATTCTGCACATAGTATAAATTTTAAATGTCAAATATTTAAGGGAATCAGAATTAATGGATGAAAGAAATGGTGGAAACTGAATGATTGGGGTGATGGTTGTATATGAAGAGAGAGAGAGAGAGGGAGAGAAAAAATCCCTCTCTGTTAGGAATGGACAGTCATATTTGTTGTCTCAAAAACACTGAAGAAAATTTAAGATAGTACATCAATTATTTCTCCCACTCTCCAAAAATAAAAATAAAAAGAACCAACATTTTCAGTCCTGTAATTTGGAGCTTAGAATACCTCTTCTAGAAATGTGCAAGTTTTTTAAAAAAAATCAAAACTGAAACAGTGTCCTGGTTTGAAGAGAGGTTATTGAATTCTAAACTTTATCATAGAGGCATGTGCATGACTAAGAGGTGTTCCCACCTGATAAACAAGCATACATGACATCGTCTATTGTGTAATTTGGCTCCGCTCTTCATTATTGTTACCATCATTTTATCTCCAATGTGACAGCTTTAGTTTTCTGAAAAGGTTTTAATTGGTTAAAAAAATCCCCTGTCCTTTATCAAGAAGGATTCTTCCTGTTTTGTTCTTTCTCTCAGAGGGGAAGGAAAATCTAAGCAAGAATGCTCAAGGAGGCATTTTGAGGCCCCTGTGGAGTGGAGGTGCCCCCTTTGACCTTTTCATCAGTCTTTTCATTCCTCACCAGGAAGATTCCACAAAGACAATTTGAGAATCTTATGTGAAGCAGAACTAAGCTCTTGCAGTTAGTTATATGTGATGACAGAAACAGAATTACATGGTAAGCAGATCGTTTTGTTTGTGATATTTTCAAATATAATTTTAAAGCTCTCTTGGTTGCATTTATTTTTTATTGTGTGTGTGTATGTGTGTATTCCAAACATATGTTTCTATATGGATATAAAGTATGTGTGTTATGGAGTAGTTTACGCTTCAATAAACATGAAATGACTGAGTGAGATGCTGCTTCAATCATGGGTCACCTATGTTTTGAATATTTTGATTTTTTTCTTAAGTGTGCCCAAGGGATATTACTTTTATCTATTTTCCCGTGAATAACCCATGTTAACAACGTGAGGGTTTTTCTTTCCATTTTGTCTTCTTTCAGTTAATTTTAACTTCATTATTAAGATAAATTGTAATGATGTTTAAAACCCCAGAGGCAAATGGGCTTCATTTGATTTCTTCTGGTAGATGAAAAAAAAATTTTTTAGCAGTTCCAATCTTCTGTGAAATGTGCCCTGTGCTTTGTGCTTACATTTTTAATGTGCCTTTCAAAATAGAATTGATTTGATTCTTTCTTTTAAGATATAAAATGGTAAATATTTTATCAGGGAAAGGGTAGTTTTTTGTTCTTTTTGGGGATATAAGCAACTGAAACAGTAAAAATAGTCTTACTAAATTAACCAACTGAACACAAAACAACACTATTTTAAATCAGTTTGCATTTCCAAAAAAAAAATTCACCTTGAGATGTAATTTATTTGGCAGACGCTCTCTGGGGAAGAGAATTTTTTCCCCAGAGATGATCATAGTCTGTCTCTTGCTCAGGCTTTCTGACATCTCAAACAAAAGAAGAGATTCAAATAACAAATAATACAGGGAAATCACTCAAAGGAAAACATATCAGAGATGTGTCATGATTTCTGGTGAAAGTTTAGCTACCCTCATGAAAAAAAATGACAGATTTTATGAATTATGTGACTTTTCATAATGTAAACCTTATTTTATACAAAAGAGTGGCCATTTATTGGCCAAGCTCTCTGTTCAGGCCATGGGGACAGTCAGTTGGACATTAGTCCCTGCACTACATAAAGCCTGCCCTCTTCCACTCATTTATGTTACAAAGAATAATTGAGCACCTTCCCTGGGCCTTGTGCTGTGGGAGATAAAATAGTGAAGTAAACACAGACCCTGCCCTCATGGAGCTTCAAGTCTAATCGGAGAGTGAATATTCATATTCCTGAAAGGCAAAATAATAATAATAATAATAATAATAATTGCCTTGTGAAAGGAATATAAAAGTATTGCAGAATGTCTTGGGAATGGGTAAATAGACTTGAAGTTTATTTCTTCTTTGCAGATGGCATCAAGTATAGAATAGGGCAAATTTGGGCTTGAAAGTCATTTTTCTGTGGCAGAGTTCAATATCACTTGGATTTTAGTGAACAGAACCATTGTGGTTGGTGATTCTTCTACATCTTTTTTCTTCTTGTTAGGGCAGTGGCTTCTGTGAATTAAAGGGCCTGTTACCCACCCTATAGGTAACAATCCTAAGCCTCCCTCACAAGCCTAATTATTAGCAAATTGCTCTTGCTAGATCAATGGTTATGCTTTCAAGTCTAATAAGAATGAAAAAAGTGTTCAAAGCTGAGATATTTTTAGTCCTACAGAGAGATTGATTTTCTATGAGTCTCTAAATTACCTTTAAAAACTTCTTTTAAATTCCAGCCAACATGTTAGATTTGAGATTTACCATTATGAAAGAATGTTTTCTTGGAAATCCCTCCTCCAGTTAATTTTTGTAATTTCTCTGTTAGGAACTCACTAGTGGTTTCTTAGTAAATGTAACATCCAGATAGTAATAGCTTTTGTTATGTTAAAGTACAACTCAGACATTTAAAACAATATGTATTTGTCATTTATCATGATTCTGTAGGTTGGCTGGATGTTCTAGGCTGTGATAGTTGAGCTGAGGATACAGTGGACTCATATGTTTGAAAACTCAGCTGGGGAAGCTGTGTGCTCTCAAGGTAGATCCTCATTATTTGGTGACAGTAGAAGTCCTAGAGGCAAGTAGGAGAGGGCAAGCCGCAATGCACACTTTTGAAGACTTTGCTTCTGGCATGTTGGCTAATGTCCCATTGAGTAAAGTAAGACATAAAACCAAGATCAAATTTAAAAGTTAGAGATAAAGATTGCACCTCTTGATGGAAGGGGTGGCAAAGGCCATTCACTGCAAAAGGCCATTCGTACAAGAAGTTGTGAACAAATATGAGGCCATTGTTGCTGTACTTTACTTCATGAATTGACCCTTTAGAGGTCAGATCCTGGGTTACTTTGTGGGATGTCCAAAATCTCTCGTAAATGCTTCCTAACTTTCTATTTATTTCTTATTTTTTCCACACTATCACATCCATTCTTTCAAAATGGTTACTCTTATGCTAGTTGGCCAGCTGGATATTAAAATCACTTCTCAGGTAAAGAGATACGGTCTACCTTGCAACAATATTGGATTAGGTATTCTTTCAATTGGGAAACAAAACCTTTTTTTCTTATAAAGAAAAATACAATTATTGGCCCAGTGGGCGAGAAAAACATTTTTTGTCCGTTTTCTTTCTTTTTGTTTTTAAACTAGTGGGGTGAAGAGGAGAAGGGAGAAGGTACCCTATCCAAGACTCCTGAAGAAATAGCACATCATAACCAGCAGCATGTAAGGTATACCCTTGATAAGCTAGGACCAGAAGCTCTGTTGGAAACATCCTCAGGCTCTGATAAGTCATAGTTTGATCAGTAGAAGAATATCCCTTTTCTGAATTTGTCTGAAGTGAGAATATTTCTTAATTAATTGTTTCAAGAGTTAAAAAAGTTTCACGGACATTATTTTCTTCTAGTAAAAGTTGATATCCCAACTAGTCTGAATGCTGTTAGCAGCCAGGCTGTTGTTAAATTACTAAAAGTTATTAAAAATAAAATAATTAACTACTTCACCAGAAGCTCAATGGTTCTGATGAAACATTCCATCACTTTCTTAGAAATTCTGTTTCATGTCATTCCTGTTTAGAATATATTATGCAATTAGCAGTTTTCTAGTCCCAGTGAGTGGTAAAAAGAATAAACAGTGAGACCTAATCAGTCTCCAAAATGCAGTGATTGAGCATTATGAACAAATTCCCTTTGTGAGAAACACAGAAACAAATAGAAAGGCTCCTATATTCTGGGAAAAAGTGAAACCAGATGCACAGAACTGATAGATTGAAAATACCTTCTCACCAGAATCACTACTTCCTCCACAGCACCACGTAATCAGGAAGAGATCCTTTAGCTCCCAGTTTCTTCTCCAGCCAAAGATCAGGTTGGCTCATGTGTCCAACATCCCAACTCCTCTGAGGCTCCCCACAAAATTGGCATCTGTCTTTCCAGTCTTGGAGCTCTGATGGGTCCAGTCCAGTCTAGCTACCTAGGAGAGAATGAATGCAGTACGTTGAATTGATAGAAACAATTTCTCCCCTCCTATGGCTCAGCACAAAGTGAGCAGAACAAAAATACAGCAATCTGCTTCTCTCTAGAGGGGGAAAGAATTGGTAGAGGACCCAGAATCTCTGGCTGTACTGATTGATAGGGTCTTCTGAACGAGTCCAGGTTGTGACTATTCTAATGCAGAAATATCAACACAGCATCAAGGAAAATGAATAACCAGGTGAACATGTTCCAGATAAAGGAACAATATAAATCTTCAGAAACAAACCCTAATGAAACATACACTTTGCCTGATACAGAATTCAAAGTAGCTGTCACAAAGATGTTCAGTCAAGTCATGAGACAATACATAAACAAAGTGACAATCTCAACAAAGAGATAAAATGGTAAGAATTGCCAAACAGAAATCATGGAGCTGAAGAACACAATAATTAAACTGAAAATTTACTAGAGGGGTTCAAAACCAGACTAGATCAAGCAAAAGAAAGGATCAGTAAATCCAAAGACAGGTCATTGGAAGTGACTCAGTCAAGAGAAAAAATAAAAAAGAATTAAAAAAGAGAAGAGAAACCTTAATGGATATATGGGACTCCATGAAGCTGATCAATATACACACTATGGAAGTCCCAGAAACTAGAAGAGAAAGAAAAATGAATAGAAAGCTTATTCAAAGAAATAATGGCTAAAAACTTCCAAAATCTGGGAATGGAAATGGACAATGAAGTCCAAGAAGCCCAAGTCACACCAGATAAGACAAACTGAAAGAATCTACACTGAGACACATTATATTCAAATTGCCAAAAGTCAAAGAGAGAATTTTGAAAGCAGCAAGAGAAAAGCAGCTTTCCACATACAAGGTAAGCTCTGTTAAACTAGCAACTAATTTTTCAGCAGAAACATTGCAAGCCAGAATGGAGTGGAATGATATATTCAAAGAACTGAGAAAAAAATCAGTGTTATCCAAGAACACCATACCCAGCAAAACTGTCCTTTAAAAATGAAGAAGAGATAAAGATTTTCCCAGAAAAATAAAAATTGAGAGATTTAATCACCACTAGACCTGCCTTACAAGAAATTTTAAAGGGAGTTCTTCAGGTTAAAATAAAATGACACTAAACAGCAATGTAATAGTGTAATAAAATATAAAACTTAATAGTAGAGTTAAATATACAGGCAAATGCAGACTACTATATTATTGTAATTGAGGTGTGTAAATTACATAAATTACTTTTAATTCTAAAAATTATTGGACAAAACCAGCTATAACTGAAAATATGTTAAAAGATACACGATAGATATAATGCATAGATATGAATTGCATAGATATAAATTGGGACAATAACAAAAATTGTATGTTTATAAGAGGTTAAAGTATAGAGTGTTAAAATGTAATTGAATTTAAGTTGTTATCAGCTTAAAATAGACTTATTATAACTATAAGATATTTTATGTAAGCCCTAAAGTAACCATACTCAAACAAAAATTCCTATAGAAATTACACAAAAGTGAAAGCGTATGAATGGGAAAAATGAACGAAAGACAGAGGAAGATAGCAAGAGGAAAAAAAAAAAACAAATGAACTACAAGAATAACAGAAAACAACAAAATGGCAATAAGAAATTATGTCTCATTAATACATACTTAAAGTGTAAATGGATTAAAATCTTCAATTGAATGGATTTGAAAAACACAATTATATGCTATTTTTAAGAAAATTATTTTAGATTTAAGGACACACATAGGCTGAAAGTGAAAGAATAGATGATATTTCATACAAATGGTAACCAAAAGAGAGTAAGGGTGCCTATACTTAGATAAAATAGACTTTATGTCAAAAACTGTCACAACATACAAAGAAGGACAATATAATGAAAATGTGTGAATTCATAAAAAGAATATAATACAACCAAGGGGAGAAATACAAATATAATATTAAATAATGGTAGGAATCTTTAATACCCCAGTTGCAATACAGGATAAAACATTCAGACAGAAATATCAATAAAGAAGCAGAGAGCTTGAACAACACTATGGACGTTACAAATATATACAAAACATCTTATCCAACAGCAGCAGAATAAACATTTTATCAAGAGCACACAGAACTCTCTCCTGGATACATAACATGTTAAGTCACATAACAAGTTTTTTTTTTTAATTTTTATTTTTTCTGGGTACATGGTAGGTATATACGTATATCAGGTACATGAGATATTTTTAAAGGCATTCAATAAGTAATGGGTAGAAGAAGTATCCATAATCTCACACATTTATCTATTCTTTGTGTTACAAACAATCCAATTATACTCTTTGCAGTTATTTTTAAATATATACTAAATTATTGTAGACTGTAATCACCGTGATATGACTATTAATATCAAATGCTAGGTTTCATTCATACTAGCAAACTCTATTATTTTTACCCATTAACCATCTCCACTTCCTCCTCATGTCCCCCACCAGCTTTCTCAGCTTCCGGTAACTATCCTTTTACTCTCAATCTCCATGAGTTTAATTATTGTAATTGCTGGATCCCACAAATTAGTGAGAATATGTGAAGTTTGTCTTTCTGTGCCTCACTTATTAAGTTATGTTGATCATATGTTTGTGTTTAAACATGCATTATGTTCATGTTTAAGTATACATTATGTTAAACATAATGACCTCCAGTTTCACCTATGTTGTTGGAAATGACAGAATCTCATTCTTTCTTTTGGCTGAAGAGTACTTCATTGTAAATATGTACCACATTTGCTATATCCATTCATTTTTCAATGGACACTTAGGTTGCTTCCAGATTTTGACTATTGTGAATGGTACTGCAGTTAACATGAAAGTACAGATAAATCTTCTATATACTGATTTTCTTTCTTTTAAGTATATACCCAGCAGTAGGATTGCTAACTCATATGGCAGCTCTATTTTTAGTTTTTTGAGGAATGTCCAAACTGTTCTCCATACTGGCTGTACTATTGTACATTCCCACTAACAGTGTACAAGGGTTCCATTTTCTCTACATCATCACCAGCACATTTTATAGCCTGTCTTTTGGATAAAAGCAAATTTTTTATTATACTTTAAGTTTTGGGATACATGTGCAGAACGTGCAGGTTTGTTGCATAGGTATACATGTGCCATGGTGGTTTTCTACACCCATCAACCCATCATCTTCATTACGTATTTCTACTAATGCTATCTCTCCCCATGCCCCCCACCCCCCTACAGGCCCCAGTGTGTCATGTTCCCCTCCCTGTGTCCCTGTGTTCTCATTGTTCAGCTCCCACTTATGAGTGAGAACATGTGATGTCTGGTTTTCTGTTCCTGTGTTAGTCTGCTGAGAAAGATGGTTTCCAGCTTCATCCATGTGCCTGCAAAGGACATGAACTCATTCTTTTTATGGCTCCATAGTATTCCATGGTGTATATGTGCCACATTTTCTTTATCCAGTCTATCATTTATGGGCATTTGTGTTGGTTCCAAGTCTTTGCTATTGTGAATAGTGCTGCAGTAAACATATGTGTGCATTTGTCTTTATAGTAGCATGATTTGTAATCCTTTGGGTATATACCCAGTAATGAGAATGCTGGGTCAAGTGGTATTTCTGGATCCTTGCGGAATCACCACACGGTCCTCCACAATGGGTGAACTAATTTCCACTGCCACCAACAGTGTAAAAGCGTTCCTATTTCTCTACATCCTCTCCAGCATCTGTGGTTTCCTAACTTTTTAATGATCGCCATTCTAACTGGCATAAGATACTATCTCATTGTGGTTTTGATTTGCATTTCTCTAATGACCAGTGATGATGAGCTTTTTTTCATGTTTGCTGGCTACATAAATGTCTTCTTTTGAGAAGTGTCTGTTCATATCCTTCATGTACTTTTTGATGAGGTTGTTTTTTTTTCTTGTAAATTTTTTAAAGTTCCTTTTAGATTCTGGTTATTAGCCCTTTGTCAGATGGATAGATTGCAAAAATTTTTTCCCCTTCTGCAGGTTGCCTGTTCAGTCTGATGATAGTTTCTTTTGCTGTGCAGAAGCTCTTTAGTTTAATTAGATCTCTTCTGTCAATTCTGGCTTTTGTTGCAATTGTTTTTGATGTTTTAGTCATGAAGTCTTTGCCCATGCCTATGTCCTGAATGGTATTGCCTAGGTTTTCTTCTAGGATATTTATGGTTTTAGGTCTTACATTGAAGTCTTTAATCCATCTTAAGTTAATTTTTGTATAAGGTGTAAGGAAAGGGTCCAGTTTCAGTTTTCTGCATATGGCTAGCCAGTTTTCCCAACACCATTTATTAAACAGGGAATCCTTTTGCCCTTGTTTTTGTCAGGTTTCTCAAAGATCAGATGATTGTAGATGTGTGGTATTATTTCTGAGGCATCTTTTCTGTTCCACTGGTCTATATATCCGTTTTGGTACCAGTACCATGCTATTTTGGTTACTATAGCCTTGTAGTATAGTTTGAAGTTAGGTAGCGTGCGTGATGCCACCAGCTTTGTTCTTTTTGCTTAGGATTGTCTTGGCTATATGAGCTCTTTTTTGGTTCCATAAGAAATTTAAAGTAATTTTTTCTAATTTTGTGAGGAAAGTCAATGGTAGCTTGATGGAGATAGCATTGAATGTATAAATTACTTTGGGCAGTATGCCCATTTTCACGATATTGTTTCCCCTATCCGTGAGCATGGAGTGTTTTTTCATTTGTTGTGCCCTTGCTATTTCCTTGATCAGTGATTTGTTGTTCTCCTTGAAGAGGTCCTTCCCATCCCTTGTAAGTTGTATTTCTAGGTACTTTATTCTCTTTGTACCAATCGTGATTGGGAGTTCACTCATGATTTGGCTCTCTGTGTGTCTATTATTGATGTATAGGAATGTTTGTAATTTTTGCACATTGATTAGGGGATATCACCACTGATCCCACAGAAATACCATCAGAGAATACTATAAACACCTCTATGCAAATAAACTAGAAAATTTAGAAGGAATGGATAAATTCCTGGACACATACACCCTCCCACGACTAAACCAGGAAGAATTTGAATCCCTGAATAGACCAATAAGAAGTTCTGAAATTGGAGCAGTAATTAAAAGGCTACCAACCAAAAAAGGCCTAGGACTAGACGGATTCACAGCCAAATTCTACCAGAGGTACAAAGAGGAATTGGTGCCATTCCGTCTGAAACTATTCCAAACAATGGAATAGGGGAATAGTAAGGGAGGGACTCCTCCCTTACTCATCATCTTGATACCATAAGCTGGCAGAGACACAACAACAACAAAAAGAAACACAGCAACAAAAACAACAAAAAAAGAAAATTTCAGGCCAATATCCCTGATGAATATCGATGTGAAAATCCTCAGTAAAATACTGGCAAATTGAATCCAGCAGCACATCAAAAAGCTGATCCACCACGATCAAATCATCTTCATCCCTGGGATGCAAGGCTGTTTCAACATACACAAATCAACCAACGTAATCCATTACATAAACAGAACCAATGACAAAAACCACATGATTATCTCAAGAGATGCAGAAAAGGCCTTTGATAATATTCAACAGCACTTCATGCTAAAAACTCTCAATAAACTAGATATTAATGGAATGTATCTCAAAATAATAAGAGCTATTTATGACAAACCCACAGCCAATATCATAATGAATGGGCAAAAGCTGGAAGCATTCCCTTTGAAAACCAGCACAAGACAAGGATGCCCTCTCTTACCACTCCTACTCAACGTAGTATTGGAATTTCTGGCCAGGGCAATCAGGCAAGAGAAAGAAATAAATGGCATTCAAATAGGAAGAGAGGAAGTCAAATTGACTCTCTTTGCAGATGACATGATTGCATATTTAGGAATCCTCATCATCTCAACCCAAAATCTCCTTAAGCAGATAAAAGCAATTTTAACTGGGGTGAGATGACATCTCATTGTAGTTTTGGTTTGCGTTTCTCTGATGATCAGTGATATTGATCACATTTTCATACACCTGATTGCCATTTGTATGTTTTCTTTTGAGAAATGTCTATTCAGATATTTTGCCCATTTTAAACTCAGATTATTAGACATTTTTCTTTAGAGTTTGAGCTACTTATATACTCTGGTTATTAATCCTTTGTCAGATGCATAATTGGCAAATATTTTCTCCCATTCTATGGGTTGCCTCTTCATTGATTGTTTCCTTTGCTGTGCAGAAGCTTTTTAACTTGATGTGATCCCATCTGTCCGTTTTTGCTTGGATTGTCTGTGCTTTTTGGGCATTACTCAAGAAATCATTGCCCAGTTCAATCTTCTGGAGATATTCCACAATGTTTTCTTTTAGTAGTTTCATAGGTTGAGGTCGTATCTTTAATCTTTAATCCATTTTTATTTGATTTTTTATAAGGCAAGAGAGAGGGCCTAGTTTCATTCTTCTGCATACGGATATCCACCTTATAAGTACCAGTTATTGAGAGATTGTCCTTTCCTCAATGTGTATTCTTGGCAACTTTGTTGAAAATGAGTTCACTATAGATGTATGGATTTGTTTCTGCATCTTTATTCTGTTCCATTGGTCTACGTATCTGTTTTTATGCCAGTAACATACTGTTTTGGTTACTACCGCTCTGTAGTATAATTTAAAGTCAGGTTAATGCCCACCAGTTTTGTTCTTTTTTGCTTAGGATAGCTTTGGCTATTCTGGGTCTTATGTAGTTCCATATAAATTTTAGGATTTTTTTGTCTATTTCTGTGATGAATGTCAGTGGTATTTTCATAGGGTTTGCACTGAATCCATAGATTGCTTTGGGTAGTATAGACCTTTCAACAATATTGATTCTACCAGTCCATAAACATAAAATATCTTTCCTTTTTTGTATGTGTTCCCTTTAATTTATCTCATCAATATTTTATGGTTTTTATGTAAAGACTTATTTCTTTGGTTAATTCCCAGATGTTTTATTTATTTTATTTTAAATGGGATTACTTTTTTGGTTTATTTTTCAGATTGTTAACTGCTGGCACAGAGAAATGCTACTGATTTTTGTATGTTGATTTCATATCCTAGAACTTTACTGAGTTTGTTCATCAATTCTAATAGATTTTTGGTGGATTCTTTAGGTTTTTCCAAATATGAGATTATATAATCCACAAACAAGAATAATTTGACTTATTTCTTTTCAATTTGAATATACTTTATTTCTGAATCATATCTGATTGCTCTAGCTAGGACTTTCAGTACTATGTTGAAGAACAGTGGTGAAAGTGGGCATACTTGTCATATTCAAGACCTAGGAAGAAAAACTTTCAGTTTTTTTCCCATTCGGTATGATACTAGCTATGGGTCTGTAGTATATATGACTTTTATCATGTTATGTTTATTCTATGCTCATTGTTTTTGTGGGTTTTTTTCATAAAGGGATGTTGAATTTTATCAAATGCTTTTCAGCATCAGTTAAAAGAATCATATGGTTTTTTTCCTTTATTCTGTTTATATGATGTATTGATTGCACTGATTGGTTTGCATATATTGAACCATTCTTTCATGCCAGTGTTTCCATTTGGTCATGATGAATGATCTTTTCATGTATTGTTGAATTCCATTGCTAGTATTTTGTTAAGGATTTTTGCATCAGTGTTCATCAGGAATATTGCCTATAGTTTTCTGTTTTTGATGTGTGTTTGTCCACTTCTGATGTCTGGGTAATATTGGCCTTGTAGAATGAGTTTGGTTGTATTCCTCTTCCTCTTCTATTTTTCAGAATAGCTTGAGTAGGATTGGTATTATTCTTGAAATATTTGATAAAATTCAGCAATATATCCACTGGTTCCCAGGATTTTCTTTGCTGGAAGACTTTTTATTATGGCTGCAATCTTATTACTTATTGTTCTGTTCAAGTTTTGGATTTCTTCATGGTTCAATCCTGGTAGCTTGTACGTATCTAGTAATTTATTCATTTCTTCTAGGTTTTCCAATTTATTGGCATAGAGTTCCTTATAGTAGCTTCTAATGATTCTTTGAAATGCTGTAGTATCTGTTGCAATGTCTCCTTTTTTATCTCTGATTTTATTCATTTGGGTATTCTCCCTTTTTTCAATAGTAAGTCTGGCTAAAATTTGGTCAATTTTGTTTATCTTTTCAAAACACCATATTTTTTATTTTATTTGTCTTTTGTATTGTATTCATTTAAATTGTATTTATTTTTGTCCTGATGTTTATGATTTCTTTTCTTCTATTAATTTTGGTTTTGGTTTACTCTTGATTTTCTACTTCTTTGAGATGCATTGTTGGATTGTTTATTTGAGTTTTTCTACTTTTTTGATGTAGGTGCTTATAATTATAAACTACCGTTAGTATTACTGTAACCATATCTCATACATTTTGGTATATTGTGTTTCCATTATCATTTGCTTTGAGAAATTATTCAATTTCCTTCTAATTTCTTCATTGACCCACTGGTCATTTAGGGGCTTTTTTTTTTTTTTTTTTTTTTGAGATGGAGTCTTGCTCTGTCACCCAGGCTGGAGTGCAGTGGCATGATCTCGGCTAACTGCAAGCTCTGCCTCCTGGGTTCATGCCATTCTCCTGCCTCAGCCTCCCGAGTAGCTGGGACTACAGGCGCCAGCCACCATGCCCCACTAATTTTTTTGTATTTTTATTAGAGACGGGGTTTCACCGTGTTAGCCAGGATGGTCTGGATCTCCTGACCTCGTGATCCACCTGCCTCGGCCTCCCAAAGTGCTGGGATTACAGGCGTGAGCCACCCCGCCCAGCCTCAGGGGCATATTTTTAAATTTTGATGTGTCTGTATAGTTTCCCAAATTCCTCTTGTTATTGATTTTTAGTTTTATTCCACTGTGGCCAGAAAAAATCCTTGATATAGTTTCAAATTTTGATTTTTTGTGTGGCCTAACATATGGTCTATCCTTGAGAATGTTCCATGTGCTGAGGAGAAGAATGTGTATTCTGCAGCCATTAGATAAAATGTTCTGAAATATACATTAGATCAATTTGTTTTATAGTGTAGATGAAGTCCAATGTTTCATTGTTGATTTTCTGTCTGAGTGATCTGTCTAATGCTGAAAGTGGGGTGTTGAAGCCTCCAGTTATTACTGTGTTGGGCTCTATCTCTCTCTTTAGCCCTAATAATATTTGCTTTACATATGTAGGTGCTCCAGTGTTGGGTGCATATATATTTACAGTGGCTATATTCTCCTGCTGAATGAACGGCTTTATCATTATAGAATGATGTTCCTTGGCTCTTTTCATATTTTTTGTCTGGAAATCTATTTTGTCTAATATGAATCAGGCTACTTCTGCTTTTTTTTGGTTTCATTTGCGTGGAATATCTTTTCCCATCTCTTTGTTTTAGTCTATGTGTGTACAGGTGAAATGTGTTTCTTGTGGGAAACAGATCATTGGGGTTTTATTTATCCATTCACCCACCATATGTCCTGACTGGAGAGTTTAGTCCATTTACTTTCAATGTTATTATTGATAAGTAAGGGCTTACTCCTGCCATTTCATTATTTGTTTTCTGGTTGTTTTGTGGTGTTCTCTTCCTCTTTCCTTTCTTTCTGGATCCTTTCAGTAAAGATGATTTTCTCTGGTGGTATATTTTAATTTATTGCTTTAAATTTTTTCTTGCATCTGTTGTATGATTTTTAAGGTTACCATGAGGTTTGCAAATACTATCTTATAACACACTATTTTAAACTGATGACATTATTTTATACTGATTGCATAATAAATTAATTATCCAACAAGTAAAAACTAATAAAAGCCTACACTTTAACTTCTTCTCCCCTGCTCATTAACTTTTTGTTGTTTCTATTTATATCTTATTGTACCCTCTATGTCTTGAAAATTTGTTGCACTTATAATTTTTTATCAGTTCATCTACTCAAGATATGAGTAGTTTACATACCATAATTATTACAGTATTATAATATTCTGTGTTTTTCTGTGGACTGACTATTGTCAATGAGTTTTTTACCTTCAGGCGATTTCACCTTGCTCATTAATGTCCTTTACTTTCAGACTGAAGAACTCACTTTAGTATTTCCTGTTGGATAGGTCTGGTTTTGATGAAATCCCTTAGCTTTTGCTTGTCTCAGAAAGTCTTTATGTCTCCTTCATGTTTGAAGGATGTTTTCACTGGATATACTATTCTGGGATAAAAGTTCTCTTCACTTAGCACTTTCAATATGTCATGTTATTGCCTTCTGGCCTGTAAAATTTCCATTGAAAAGTCTTTTGCCAGCCATATTGGAGCTCCATTTTATGTTATTTGTTCTTTTTTTTTCTCTTGCTGATTTTGAGATCATTTCTTTATCCTTGTCTTTTGGAAGTTTGATTATTACATGTCTTGAGGTAGCCTGTTTGGATTAAATCTGCTTTGTGTTCTATAAACTTATTGTACTTGAATGTTGATATCTTTCTTTTGGTTTGGAAAGTTCTCTGTTATTATTCCTTCGAATAACCTTTCTACCTCTATCTCTTTCTTGACCTCCTCTTTAGGGCCAATAACTCTTAGATTTGTCCTTTTGAAGCTATTTTCTAGATCCTGTAGGCGTGTTTCATGCTCTTATTCTTTTTATCTTCTTTAATTGTATATTTTCAGAAGTAGCCTGTCTTCAATCTTATTAATTCTTTCTTCTGCTTGATCAATTATGCTTTTAATAGACTCTGATGTATTCTTTAGGATGTCAATTGCATTTTTCAACTGTAGAATTTCTGTTTGAGTCTTGTTAATTATTTCAATCTCTTTGCTAAGTTTATCTGATAAGAATCTGAATTTCTTGTCTGTGTTATCTTGAGTTTTGTTGAGTTTCCTCAAAACAAGCTATTTGAATTATCTGTCTCAATGTTCACATATTTCTGTTGCTCTGGAATTGGTCATTGATGATTTATTTAGTTTGTTTTGTAAGGTCATGTTTTCCTAGATGATCTTGATGCTTGTGAATGTTTGTCAGTATCTGGGCATTGTAGCCTTTACAGTCTCAGCTTATTTGTACTCATCCCTCTTGGGAAGGCTTTCCAGGCGTTTGAAGGGACTTGGGTGTTGTGATCTAATTTTTTTGTCACTACAGCAGTGTCTGTATTAGGGGGCACCCCAAGCCCAGGAATGCTGTGGTGTTAGCAAACTTGTAGAGGTACTCCCTTGATGATCTTGGATAAGATCTCTAAGAATTCTCTGGATTACTGGACACAGACTCTTGTTCTCTTCCCTTAATTTCTCCCAAACAATTAGAGTCTGTCTGTTCTGAGCTGCCTGAACTTGGGGAAGTGGTGATGCAACACCCCTATGGCCACCATCCCTGGAACTGTGCTGGGTCAGACTTCAAGCCAACACAGCCTTGAGTGTCTCACAAGGCTCAGGGTAACCACTGACTGGCTATTGCATATGCTTATTCAAGGACCTGGGACTCTACAATTAGCAGATGGTAAAGCCAGCCATGCTTGTGTCCTTGCCTTCAGGCCAGTGAGTTCCTCTTGGCCCCAGTCAGGTCCAAGCATCCTGTCTGAGAGCCAGGTCTTGGAGTCAGAAATCTTAGAAATCTACCTGGTGCTCTAATCTACAGCAGTCGAACTGTCACCCAAGCCACAAGACAAAGTCCTTTCTACTCTTCCTGCCAAATTTTCACAGTCAGAGGAGTCTCTCTTCATGGCCACGACCCCTCCACTCCCATGGCATGTGGGGCCTGGCCACTGCCAGTTTTCATTCAAGGCCCAAGGGCTTTTCAGTTAGCTTATGGTGAATGCTCAGGCCAGACTCTCTGTTTAGGGTAGCAGGCTTCCCTCTGGCCCAGTGCAGGTCTAGAAATGCCATCCAAGCACCAAGGCCTGGAACTGGGCACCCTAAGAACCCACTTGGTAATCTACTGTACTGTGGCCAATCTGATGCCTATGCTGCAAGACAAAGTCCCCTTTACTCTTCCCTCTCCTTTTCTCAGACTGAAGGAGTCTCTTCTCATTGCCAGCACATCTGTAAATGTGCTGGATCACACCTGTAGCTAACCTGTCTCTCAGTCTCTTCCAAGGCCCATGTGAGTACTACTTGACTACCAATGTTGACTATTCAGGGCCCAAGGCTCTTAATCTGCAGGTGATGAATCCTGCCAGGACTGGTTCCTTCCTTTCAAGACCGTGGGTTTCCTTCTGGCCCAGGAAAAAGAGCTAGGTCCCGAAATGGGGGTCTCAGGACTCTGCCTGTTGTCCTGTCCTACTGTGGCTGAGCTGGTATCCAAGTTGCAAGACAATGTCTTCTTTATTCTTCCCTCTTCTCTCCTCAAGCTTAAAGAAGGAGTGCCTCCGGTAGCTGCAAGCTGCACTGCCTGGGTTGGGGGAGAGGTGGTACAAGCACTCTCTTGGCACTCCCAGCTGGTGTCTCAGTAGGATGCATGCTCTCCATGTTCACTGGCTTCAAGCCCAGCACAGCACCAGTGTTTGCCTAGGAGCTGCAGTCTTTGTGGTACAGACTGCCTGTCAAGTTTATACAGAACCTCAGATCATTTTAGCTTGCAGTGGAAAGGCTTGCCAGAACTTGGGTTCTGACATCTGGGAAGGGTAGTTCCCTTTGGCTAGGGCTGGTCTAAATGCTCCCTCTGTGGATGCCAGCTGAGTTCTGCCTGGTGTTGCTTTCTGCTGTGACAGGGCAGCACTGAGTTCCAATTGCAAGGTCCCACAATCACTGCACTCTTCCTCCCCTGAGTGCACAGATTCTCTCTCCACACCACACAGCCATAGCTACGGGAATCAGAAGGGGTGGCATTGCCGATTCAGGACTGTCTTTTTTACCCTTTTCAGAGTCTGCTTCTGTAATATGAAGTTACAGCCAGATACTGTGATCAGTCAATTGCTTTTTGGTTCTCATGAAGGTACATTTTTGTGTGAATAGTTTTTCAATTTTGTTTTCCTGTGAGATGGAAGCGTCTAAACAGCCATCTTGCTCCACCTCCTCCCATAAAACAAGTCTTGAAGTTTATTTATTTATTATTGATGTGTTGTATATATTATAGTTTCAGGGTAAATATGATAGTTTAATAAGAAGATTGAAATCATACCATGTTTTTGTTTTTACTAACCATAATTGAGTGAAACTGGAAATTAACAGCAGAAGGAAAAATGGAAAATTCACAAATATGTAGACATGTACCCATAAAGAACATACTCTTGAACAACTGCTGGGTCATAAAAGAGGTGAAAAGATAAATTAGATAATACTTTGAGACAAACAAAAATGAAAGCACAATATAACAAGCCTTACGTGATATGATAAACAGAGTATTAAGGTGAAGTTTATTGCAATAAATATCTATATTACAAAAGAAAAAATGTTAAATAAACAACCTACTTTTACATACAAGAAAGTAGAAAAAGAACAAAGTAAGCCCAAGGTTAGTAGAATCAATAAAATAAAAATTGGGACATAAATAAAGTAAAAAATAGAAAACAATAGAAAAAGTTAATAAAAGCAAGAGTTAGTTTTTTGAAAGATACACAAAATTGATAAACCCTTAGCTAGATTTAAAAAAGAGAGAGCTGTAAATAAATAAAATTAGAAATGATCAAGGAAACATTAACACTGATACTAGAGAAATAAAAACAGTCATAAGAGACTTCTATAAAGAATTATATACCAACAAACTGGATAATCTAGGAAAAATTGATAAATTTCTAAAAATATACAACCTGCCAAGACTAAATTATGAAGAGATAGAAAGGCAGAACAGACCTATGACTAGTAAGAGGAGTGAATCAGTAATCAAAAACCTCCCAGTAAAAAAAAGTCAAGGATCAGATGATTTCACTGGTGAATTCTACCAAACTTTTAAAGAAGAATTAATGTCAATTCTTCTCAAAGTCTTCCAAAAATGTAAAGAGAAGGACACACTTTCAAACACATTTTATAAGGCTAGCATTACCCTAATACCAAAGTCAGACAAAGGCAACACAAGAAAACCACAGGCCAATATTGCTGATAATCACAGATGAAAAAATTCTCAACAAAATATTAACAAAGTGAATTCAACAGGACATTGAAAGGATCATATTCCATGACAAAAGTGACTTATCTACGATTCAAGTATTGTTCAACATATTAAACTCAACTGCATTATACCACATTAACAGAATAAAGAGTAAAAATCACATGATTGTCTCTGTAGATGCAGTTAAAAAATTTGGAAAAATTCAGCACCATTTCATGGTTAAAAACTCAACAAATTTAGAAGAGAAGGAAATTACCTCAAAATAATAAATGCATATATTAAAGCTGACAGCTAATACCATATTAAATGGTGAAAAATGGAAACTTTTACTTGTAAGATCAGGAACAAGGCAAAAATGCCCTTTTGCCACTTCAATTTAACACAGTATTAGTAGTCCTGGCCAATGCAGTCAGGCAATTAAAAAATAGTATTTAAGAAATAAATTGTCTCTGTTAGTATATGACATAATCTTATGTATAGAAAACCTTTAGGATTTCACCAAAAAGCTGTTAGAACCAATGAACTAAGTCAGTAAGGTAGCAGGATAGAAAATCTACATAATAAAGTCATTTTCATTTTATATACTAACAATGAACAATCTAAAAAGGAAATTAGAAAAAATTATCCATTTACAATAGCACCAAAAGACTATACTTAGGAATAAACCGAACTCAGGGTTTGAAAGACTTGTATACTGAAAACTAGAAAACATTGCTGAAATAAATTAAAGACAAACAAATGAAAAGACTATGTGTTCAGGATTGGTAGACTCATTATTGTTAAATATCCATACTACCTAAGGCCCTCTACAGATTCAATGCAATCTCTATCAAAATCCCAATGGAAAACAATTCTGCGATCCATATGAAACCACAAAACATGAAAAGACAAGTCAGACTTGAGAAAAGAAAAGAATTAAGCTGGAAGCATTACATTTTTTTTTATTTCAAAATATACTACATAGATAAAGTAAGACAGTATGATTCTGGCACAAAGACAAATTTATAGACTAGTGGAACGGAATACAAGGTGTAGAAATAAATCCACACGTGTATGGTCAGATGGTCTTTGAAAATGGTGCCAAAAATACGCAATGGGAAAAGGATGGGATCTTCGATAAATGATGTTGACAAAACTGGATAGCACATGTGAAAGAATGAAATTGGATTCTTATGTTTACCTGTACATAAAAATCAACTCAAAGTTCATAAGAGACTTAAATGTAAGATCTGGAACTGTAAAACTCCTTAAAAAATAGGAAACAAGCTTAGTGACATTATCTTCGCAATGATTTCTTGGACATTACACCAAAAGTATGGGCAATGAAAACAAACACAAGTAAGTGGAACTATATCAAAAATAAAGTTTCTGTATAACATTACTTGGTAACATATATCAAATTATATATGTGTGTGTGTATATATATATATGTGTATAGAGATTATGTATGTATAACTATTTATATAGTTATACATTATTATATAGTTATAACTGTATATTATATATACAATAACTATATATTATATATACAAGTGTATTTTGTACATATAAGTATATATACAACTATAATTTGTCCATTTACAATTACAAAAATTAAAACTAGGCCTGGCGCGGTGGCTCACGCCTGTAATCCCAGCACTTTAGGAGGCCGAGGTGGGTGGATCATGATGTCAAGAGATTGAGACCATCCTGGCCAACATGGTGAAACTAAAAATACAAAAAATTAGCCGGGCGTGGTGGTGGGCACCTGTAGTCCCAGCTACTCGGAAGGCCGAGGCAGGAGAATCACTTGAACCCGAGAGGCAGAGGTTGCAGTGAGCTGAGATTGCGCCACTGCACTCCAGCCTGGCGACAGAGCGAGACTCCATCTCAAAAAACAAAACAAAACAAATTAAAATTAACAAGATAAATGTGAAATTGACCATAAAAATAAAGTTTCTGCACAACAAAGGAAATAATTAACAGAGTGAAAAGACAACCATGAAATGGGAGAAAATATTTACAATCCATATATCTGATAATGAGTTTCTCTTCGATATGCATAAGGAAATCCTACAACTCAATATCAAAAAAAAAAAAAGCTAATAATCTGTTTAAAAAAATGGACTAGACTTGAACTTCAATAGACATATCTCCAAAGAAGACATACAAATGGCAAACAGGCATGTGAAAATTTGCTCAACATTACCAGTTATCAAGGAAACGAAAAGTAAAACCACAATGAGATATCCCATCACACCTGTCAGGATAAATATTATTTGTAAAAAAATCTCCAAACATAACAAGTATTGGTGAGGATATGGAGAAATTGGAACTCTTGCACACTACTGGTGGAAATGCAAAAGTGTGCAGCCTCTAAGGAAAACACAGAGAGGGAATGGGAAGGGAGGGCTCTGGAGGAACACTGACTTCTCTCACATTTGCACATTTATACAAATTTGCACATTTGCCTTATCTCCCTGTTATGGGTTGAATTGTGTTTCCCCCAAAATATGTTGAATTCTTAACCCCAAGGACCTCAGAATGTGAGTTTCTTTGGATAAAGGGTTGTTGTAGATCTAATTAATTAAGATGAGGTCATACTGGAGTAGGGTGGGCCCTTAATGTAATGTTACTGGTGTCCTCATAGGAGGATCATATGAAGACACTGAGGAAGAACTCCAAGTGATGATGCAGGCAGAGATTGGAGTGATGCAGCTGCAAGCCAAGGACTGCTAGCCACCACCAGAAGCTAGGAAGAGGCAAGAAGGATTCTACCCAGAGTGTCAGAGGGAGCATGGCCCCACTGACATCTTGATTTTGGACTTTTAGCCTCAAGAATTGTGATAGAATAAATTACTAAAGTTTTCTTAAAGGAATAAACTGAAAATAATGGATATAAATATTGCATTTGTCTGTCTCAGTAATGATAGCAAGACTTGATAACTGGGACATGGAGAGAAACAAAGTCCTTTTCCCCTTTTTTTATACTCCCATATTTTATTTCTAGAAATGACACATAAATAACAGACTCAGAAAGAGAATAATAGAATGCTTCAGCTTTATAAATGGTGAAATTTAGGAAGCACTAAAGAACTAGTAACTTTCTGCTCATTTTCAGTCAAACCATTGGAGGCATTGCTACTCAGGAGGCAGAGATGTTGGTTATACCTAATTTATTGCTGTTAGAAAAACTCTGTGGCCTACAGGATGGTGGCCAGAGTTGAATCCATACACTGCTCTTCTCAGCTCAAATTGAGAAATTTACTTTCCAATGCTTCGTGGAAGGCGGAGGCCCACAGACTCACTGCCACTTTAGTAGCTCTCTTACCAGGAGTATAATCCTAAATCAAAGGCCCTAGCCACAAACACTGTCAATCTGGATTCTTCCAGGTTTAAAAAACAATCCCCCTATCTATGATGATACTGGTTGTGATAAGCTGCAAATCATTCAATAGCTTTCCTGTGGGAACCTCACAAGACAGAGAAGTAGCTCACAAGATGCTATTTTTAAACTTTCAGATAGGTTTATCTCATTCAGCATAGAGGCTGCAGTAACAAAATTGTGATTAGAAATGCTCCAGAGAAGAAAAAGTGACATGTACTCATCTTTGGATGTTTTAGAACTCAAACTCTGTATCTTGCAAACTGCTGAACCCTTTCTAAATGGCCTTTATGAGGGTATCACCAGGCAAGGGGAAATGAGGCTGGCACTCATAAGTCATTATTTCTGTAAAATGTCTGTTCACATAATCCCTTTTGGTCAGGGTACCATATCTCAGACTCACAGCACTCCATGGCAGGGGGCACAATGAGGAATTAACTCTTGGACAGGAAACCTACTTAATACCTGATCACTTCAAAATAGCGAGTTGTAGAAAACTGTTTGTGTCCAGAATGAATTAATTCCTGCTTTGGGTGTGTGGTGGTACAGAAAGTGGTATGAAGTCGTGCTCTAGAAAACCCCAGGCATACAGACTGGGACTAAGTGTGTGACTTGAACAGCAATATATCATTCTTATTAAATTAAGAGAATCTCCCCAAATCCCCAACTAAATTGTTGATTTTTCATAGACCACCATAATAATAGAAGAGAGAGTTTCACCGAAGAACAAATATTTAACCTACCAACATGTTTGTTTTACATTCACTGCTAACACTTTTTCCTGTCATAAACAATTCACCTGAGTAAAGAAAACAGCAGTATAATTGATAGACTTAAAATTGTAATCATGTCAGTAAACTGCCTCATTTACTGACGCTATGTGTCAAAGAGTCACACACTAGGTAAAGGGGGGTGAAGCATCTTATGTTTTTAGTAACTAAAAATGCTATTTGCCAATACAAAGAAATGATCATTTTAATCTGTTTGCATTGTCCTTTATTGTGTGTAGTTTTACATATATGTCTTCTGCATTAATGGATGAAGTTGCTTAACTGTGGGCAAACAAGGAAGCCTCCCCTTCTCTATAGAAGGGATTTCAGGACAAGTCTAAATAATGGGATGTATCTATGTATCTGAGCTGAAGAAAAAGGAAGTTCAATACAGAGAAATAGTGCAGTTAGGTCTTCTAAGAGTTAAAAGAGAAACCATTTCTGCAGCAATGGCTGAGATTGTAGCTGGCATCTTTTTGCTGTAATTTCCACAGTAAGAAACAGAGATGAAGAAAGACAGGACTTTATTCCATCCCTTGTTTTCTTCCATATGTTCATATACCCACCAACATGCAAAAACAATGCTTCTTGACATAAACAGCACTTCCATTATATAACATAATATTTAACTGGAGAAAGGATATTATTTTGTAAGACCAATCTTGTAAGATTCAGGGTCCATGATTCACCATGGTCCAACTCTTTATTTTCTATGAAAGTCAGTCCCTTTGGGAAAGGTATACTTAGAAAATAAAACTTTGCATTCCTATGCAGACTTTTTACTGGTAAAGTTAATTTTACCCATGAGACTTACACATATTTTGTGAATGTTTTTAAATACTAACATTTTCTTGATATACTGGATATAGCATGGCTGAGATGATATCACTATTTGCTCAAATAAATAGACTTTTCTCATGCAAAGCATTCTTTTGGGGTTGATACATTTCAAATATCCTTGATTGCTTCAGGGGCTCCTTATACACTCCCTTTTGAATAACCTTTTGTCCCCGTAGGAGGCTTATCTGTGCTTATAATCATTTGACAGATTTTCCTCCAATTCTTAAAAATAAGAGGTCTCTCATTATCACAGCTCATTTCTTCATCTGTTTCCTTAAATTCACCTCCTTCATCCTTACAAACCTGGTTCGGTTTGTTAGCATTTCTCTTTTATACATCATTAATTTATTTTCACTGGCTCATTTTTCTCACTTATTGAGAAACTCTAGTGTCTTTCATTCTCAAACTACCCTACCTTGACACTGTATCTACCACTTGACACTATTTAGCTTTGCAGCTCTCCATGTTGTGTAAATGTATCTTGCTCTATTCTTATTCTTCTTTTTCTATAATATTAACTATATTCTAGTCCTCCATTTATTTTTCACTCCCTAATCCCTGTGATTGGCTTTCAGCTTCCTCCACTTTGGAAATTACTATTAGAAATTATTAGTTACTGTCTAATTGCCAATTCCAGTGAACATTTTCTACAGTGACAATGTATGCTTTCCCTTATTTGGTAAGTGTTGTTGAACCCCAGGCTTCTGACCTTTGCCCAATGCTCTTTTTCTACATATTCTTTTGTCGTTATATTATCTAACTTCAGCCCTTTCCTTGATGACTCCCGAAGCATTATCTTTAGGCTACTTTTATTTTCTTCAATTTTCCCTAGGTAAGGTAAACTTGCTGGAAATTTGGGACATTTAGATGTCTGGACCACTCCACAAACTCAGTATGTTTCAAATTAAACTTAACAGTTTTATCTCTAAAATGTAGATGGGCTCTTCCATCATCTTTTTTGAGCAATTCAGAAGTAACAAAATTTACAAAGAATAATTGAGAAGTTTCTAGTGTAACTGGCAGTAGATCCAGGTCCTGGTTAGGTCCAAGTTCAGGGACATGGCGGTGATTATCCCTGTTTCTAGCTTTACCCAAGACTAGATCTGGTTTCCTACAATACCCAGACAGACGCCCTACAAACTCTGACCTTACGTAGATATTAAAACCCCAGCATTTAATATAGGAATATTTTATCCAGATCCTTTCCTCCTCTACATTTCTCTTACTTTCTCCCCTCAGACTTACTTCAAAGTTCATGACTGACTGACTGGCTTCTGGAGATTTTTTTAAAAAATTAAAATAGAGCTAACTAGAATTTCTATGTTTAAAGGGTAAGTGTATGAAGAATTGATGGTTCGTGGAGGGAGGTATTCTTGTATCTACCTAGCCTGCAATATTGACAATATTGGCATGCATTTCTTATCTGGTTGTATCATTGGCCATCCAGCCAACCAAACTCAAAATGCAAGAAGTATCCCAGACTCTCTTTTTCACCATCAAGAGCCATTACTTCCCCAAGTCTTGCTGTTTTTATTACCTAAATATTTGACAATTTATTTCTTCTCTATTGGTTATGTTATGTTTGTCCTAGATTATGTCTTTGGTGTCTCTCATCTGGACTATGGCAGAGTTCTGTCACTGGTACCCAGGAGTGTGGTCTCCAAACCATTTTTCATGATGGCAACATTATCTATCCATAGTAGAAAACTGACTATGTCACTTCCATTCTTAAAACCTTTCAATGTTTCCTAAGCTCTTGATGTTGCTTAAAAAAACCCATGATCTAGCCCTTTCCTCTTGTCCTCATATCCTACTTTCTGACTCACACTTTATTCTTCCAAAAGGAGGAACTGCTTATAATTCTCTCCTTTTCCCTGGGTGAAATAACACCACTTCATATTTTTGTTGGACTCACTCTGAGTCATAATTTAAAATTCAAATCAGGCCTCACTTCTTATAGTATATCTCCTTTTTTTTTCTCTCCAAATATCCCATCCTAGTTTCTTGTGTTATCTCTATCACTGCAGATAACATTATTTTGTAAATATATCTTCATATGTCTTTGTTTCCCATTAAATTTTCATCCCTTTTAGGACTGAATACACAGGCTTCTGGAGAACTTTGCCCCAGCCCTACAAAGTATTGTCACCTAGTTGTTGTTGTAATTGTAACTTCAAAAGGCCATTCCACCATTCTATAAATCCAGCAGCTTCAGGATGATGGGGAACATGGTAAGACAAGTGAATTCCATGAGAATGAGCCCACTGCTGCACTTCTTTAGCCATCAAGTGAGTGTCATGGTCAGAGGCAATGCTGTGTGGCATACCCTGATGGTGGATAAAGCATTCCGTGAGTCCACAGATGGTAGTGTTGGCAGAAGCATTGCGTGCAGGATAGGCAAACCCAAATTTGGAGTGTCTTTTCCAGTGAGGACAAACCTCTTCCCTATCCAGGATGGAACAGGTCCAATATAATCAACCTACCACCACGTAGCTGGCTTATCACCCCAAAGAATGGTGCCATATCAAAGGCTCAGTGTTGGTGTCTGCTGCTGGCAAATTGGGCACTCAGCAGTGGCCATATCCAGGTCAGCCTTGGTGGTGGAAGTCCAAGTTGCTGAGCCCATGCATAACCATCATGGCTGCTTTGTTCATGGACACATTGGTCAATGACGGGTGGCTGGGGAAAGAGGCTGAGTGGTGTCCACAGAATGGATAGGTCATCCTATCCACTTGATTATTAAAATTGTCCTCTGCTGAGGTCACCCGTTGGTGAGCACTCTAATGGGAAACAAGTATCTTCACAGTTTTTGATCACTCAGAGAGGTTCATCTACATATCTCTTCACCAAATTTATTTGTCACCGATTTTCCAATTATGTTTCTTCCCTGACCATCCAGCCAAACCATTGGCTACAGCTGATGAATCAGTATAAAATCACACATCTGGCCATTTCTCCTGCCATGCAAAGTGCACAACCAAATGCACTGCTCAAAGTTCTGCCCACTGGGAAGATTTCCCTTCACCACTGTCCTTCAGGGATGTCCTCTAAAGGGGCTGTACTCCTGTAGCTGTCCAATTTCAGATGGTGATTGCATATCCTGCAGAACCATCTATGAACCAGGCCCTAGTCTTCTCTTCGTCTGTCAGCTGATCATAGGGAACTCCCCATGAAGCCATCGGTGCAGGCTGGGGGAAAGAAGGCAGGATGGCAGAAGTGAAGATCAGGGGCATTTGAGCCACTTCCTTGTGTAACTTACTTGTGCCTTCAGGACCTTCTTGAGCCCTATCACATATATACCACTTCCATTTAATTATGAAATGCTGCTGGGCATGACCCACTTTATGGCTAGATGGATCAGAAAGCACCCAGTTCATGATAGGCAGTTCAGGTCACATGGTGACTTGATGACCCATAGTCAAAACATTCAGTTGCCACCAAAGCCCAGTATTGGGCCAAGAGCTATATCTCAAAAGGAGAGTAGCTATGTGCAGAAGATGGCAGGGCTTGCTCCAAAATCTTAGAGGCCTCCACCCTGATTCACCTATGGGGGCCTGCCACAGGCTCCAAACAGCATCCCTATCTTCCACTGACACCTCAAGCACCATTGGATCTGCCGGGTCATATGGCCCAAGAGGCAGAGAAGCTGGCACAGCAGCCCAGACCTGTTACAGAGCCTTCTTCTGTTCTGGACCCCACTCCAAACTGGCAGCCTTTTGGGTCACTTGATAAATGGGCTGGAGTAACACACCCAAATGAGGAATGTATTGCCTCCAAAATCCAAATAGGCCCACTAGATGTTGTGCCTATTTCTTGGTTTTAGGAGGGGCCAAATGCAGCAACTTATCCTTCACTGTAGAAGGAATATCTTGACAGGCCCCACACAACTGGACCCCTATAAATTTTACTGAGGTAGAAGATTCCTGAATTTCAGACAAATTTATTTCCCATCCTCTGGCACACAAATATCTTGCCAGTAAGTCCAGTGTGTTTGCTACTTCTTGCTCACTGGATCTAATCAGCATAATGTCATCCATGTAATGGACCAGCATGATATCTTGCAGAAGTGAAAAGTGATCAAGGTATCTCTGAATAAGATGATGACACAAAGCTGGAGAGTTGATATACCCCTGAGGTAGAAGAGTAAAGGTATATTTCTGGCCTTGCCAACTGAAGGCAAATTGCTTCTGGTGGGCCTTATGGACAGGAATGGAGAAAAATGCATTTGCCAAGTCAGTGGCTCCATACCAGGTACTAGATGTGTTAATTTGCTTAAGCAATGAAATCACATCTGGTACAGCAGCTGTAATTGGAGTCACCATTTGGTTAAGCTTACGATAATCCACTGTCATTCTCTATGATCCATCTGTCTTCTGCACAGGCCAAATAGTAGAGTTGAATGGGGATGTGGTGGGAATCACCACCCCTGCATCTTTCAAGTCCTCGATGGTGGCACTAATCTCTGCAGTTGCTCCAGGGATCCGATATTGTTTTTGATTTTTCTAGGTAGAGGCAGCTTTAATGGCTTCCATTTGACCTTTCCCACCATAATATCTCTCACTCTAATGGTCAGGGAGCCAATGTGGGGCTTCTGCCAGCTACTAAGTATGTGTATGCCAATTATACATTCTGGCACTGGGGAAATGGCCACAGGATGAGTCTGGGGACCCACTGGACACACTGTAAGTCAGATGTTTTTCGGCTAAAACTCCATTAATTACCTGATTTCCATGAGCCCCTACTTTAAATGGAAGACCACAATGACCCATTGGATCCCCTTGAATCAACGTCAGCAGAACCAGTGTCCAGTAGTCCCCCAAATGTCCGATCACTTTTTTCCGCAGTGCAAAGTTACCCTGGTAAAAGGCTGGAGGTCTCCTTGGGCATGGACGGGAGAAAGATTAACAGCATAAATTGTTAGGAGTGTAGTGGGGTCCTTCCTCAAGGGTTCCCAGTCTCCTCTTTATTCAAGGGGTTCTGGTTCTGTAAACTGGCTGAAGTCTGGAAATTGATTGAGGGGCTGTGAGTCTCTGTTTTTATTATTCAAATTCATCTTTTGTCCATTTGACCTGGAAGTTTTCTGGTTATATAAATTAAGTAGGAATGCAGTAGGTTTCCTATCAATTTCACTTCAAGGAACACCATGATTAATTAGCCAGTGACAGAGCTCTACACAAGTCAGACTATTCTGATTGCTGATTTGCCTCTGCTGTCTGTTACAGTAGCTATGGCCAACCTTGCCTTTGACAGTTGAGTGCTGCCACTTGGTCCTGCCACCTCGGGACTCAATTATTCTCATTGTATTTAAATTTCATAGTTGAGTGTCTGTAGTTACCACTGTTAGATCTGACATACAGAGAAGAGCAACTACAGGGCTCTTCAAAGATGCAGGTGCTGCCCTCACAAATCTATTTTGAAAGGTATTGGTCAAGGGTATAGCTTCTGGATCCTCCCAGCTGAGCTGAGTAAGTCTAAAGTGACTAATCCACTCTACAGTCCCAATCTCCCTAAGCCTTTGGATCCCTTCCTCTACATTAAACTAAGGAAGTTCAGGTATTTCCAGCTCACTCACAGTGGTCCGTCTTTCAATCCATATTTCAGCTAACCAAGAAAATAAACTATCAGAACCTTTTTTAACTCTCTGACCTGCAACATTAAATGCAGAATCCCTACTTAGTAGGCCCAAATCAATAAATTCAGCCTGATCCAACTTTGTTTCCTTCTACCATTATCCCACACCCTTAATATCCATTCCCATGCCTGTTCTCCAGATTTCTGTTTATATAAATTAGAAAACTCAAGCAGTACTTTTCAAGTGCAGCTCACCTCCACATGGGACACACACTGAACCTCACCCTCTAGGGGCCCACTGGGACTTAAGTCTAATTATAGGTCTAGAAGCAAACAGGAATGTTGGGGGTGGCTCCTGAGGAGAATCGAAATTATCTTGCCAGGCAGCTGCCTCAGGGAAGGCCATCACTGTTCAACCTCAGGCAGTGCAGGGTTTATCTCCTCAGACAAAGGTGGAAAGGCTGATGGCAGCATGGGTCTGGAGGGAATGTTGCCACTACTGGGTATGGGGAAGCTGTTTCTTCTGGCAAGAAAGTTTCATCAGAGTTTACAAGCTCAGTGTCTCCAGCTTCCTCAGGGTCCTCCCACATGTCCCCATTTTAAGTTGCAGGGTCCCATTCTTTTTCAATCAATGCCCTCACTTTAACAGTAGACACCTGGTGAGGCTGTACATCCACCTTTTGTTGCAGGGCAGCCACTTGCATGATAAGAACTTGTGTCTGTTTTTCCACAGTTTCAGCTATTTCTCTACGGGAGAAAAGACACTGACTCAGGGCAATCTTAGAAGAGTCGAAGCTCAGTATCTGCTTCGGAAGCTGGGTGTTAGAACTCCTGAGTTCATCATTTTTTTCCATCACTTTATCCAGTGAACTTAGGAGAAACCAACCAGCTTCATTATGTTCCTTGGTTCTCCACCTATGGTCAAAAGTATTCTGTATAGTTTCACTAAACTCTTTGTCTGTCATAAGCACTGAATCAGGAGTGTCAAATGCATTTATTTTGTTTTACTCTCTAAACAGTTCCGATGAAGGACTATCAGTGTTCTCCATACTATTAGAAGTAGAGTTCTTAGCATTTTTCAGTCTAGTCATATTAAGCAGCCAACTCCAGAAACCCCAAAACCAATGAAAGAACTCCATCCTTAATATTCTGCTCCTCTAGAACCTCTAGAACCTGGTATCAAAATCTGTATTAGGGTTCTCTAGTGGGACAGAACTAATAGAATATATATATCACTGGGGTTTGTACAGATAATTTCATCATCCAGGTAATAAATATAGTGCCTTATAGGTATTTTTTCCGATTCGTTCCCTCCTCCCATCCTCCCCCTTCAAGGAGTCCCCAGTGTCTTTTGTTCCCCTCCTAGTGTCCACATGTTCTCATTGTTCAGCTCCCACTTATGAGTAAGAACATGCAGTATTTGGTTTTCTGTTCCTGTGTTAGTTTAATAAGGAGAATGGCTTCCAGCTCCATCTATGTTGCAGGAAAGGACATTATCTCATTCTTTTTTATGGCTGTACATAGGGAAGTATAATATTTCCTATAGTATTCCATGGTGTATATATACCATCATTTTTTTTAACCAGTGATGGGAATTTAGGTTGATTTCTTGTTTTTGCTATTGTGAATAGTGCTTTGATGAATATACATATGCATGTGTCTACAAGTGGTAGAATATGGTACCCACATATGATAGGTACCATATATATGGTGGAATAATTTATATTCCTTTGGATATATACCCAATAATGGGATTACTGGGTCAAATGGTAATTCTGTTTTAAGTTCTTTGAGGAATCACCACACTGCTTTCCACAATGGCTGAACTAATTTACACTCCCACCAGCAGTGTATGAGCATTCTTTCTTTCTCCACAACCTCACCAGCATCTGTTAATTTTTTACTTTTTGATAATAGCCATTCTGACTGGTATGAGATGGTATCTCCTGTTTTGGACCCCACTCAAAACTGGCAACTTTTCAGGTCATTCAGTAAACGGGCAGGAGTAACACACCCAAATTAGGAATGTGTTGGCTCCAAAATCCGAATAGGCCCACCAGGCCTTTGGTGTCTCATTGTGGTTTTGATTTGCATTTCTCTACTTATTAGTGATGTCGAGTATTTTTTCATATGCTCATTGGCTGCATTTTCTTTTGAAAAGTGTCTGTTCATGTCCTTTGCCCACTTTTTAATGGGATTGGTTTTTTTTTGCTTGTAAACTTATTGAAGTTCCTTGCAGATTCTGAATTAGACCTTTGTCAGATACATAGTTTGCAAATATTTTCTCCCATTCTGTAGGTTGTCTGTTTACTCTGTTGATAGTTTCTTTTGCTGTGATGAAGCTCTTTAATTTAATTAGATTCCATTAGTTAATTTTTGTTTTTGTTGCAATTACTTTTGGCATGTTTATAATGAAATCCTTGCCAACATCTACGTCCAGAATGGTATTTCCTAGGTTATCTTCCAGGGTTTTTATACCTTTAAGTTTTACAGTTAAGTCTTTAATCTATGTTGAGTTGACTTTGTATGTGGTGTAAGATAGGGGTCCAATTTCAGTCTTCTGCATATGAGTAGCCACTTATCCCAGCACCATTTATTGAATAGGGTGTCCTTTCCCCATTGCTTGTTTCTGTCAGCTTTATGGAAGATCAGATGATTGTGGGTGTTTGGCATTATTTCTGGCCTCTCTATTCTGTTCTGTTGGTCTACCTGTGTGTTTTGGTACCAGTACTATGCCTTTTTGGTTACTGTAGCCCTGTAGTAGAGTTGAAGTCAGGTAACGTGATGCTTTCAGCTTCATTCTTTTTATTTAGGATTGCTATGGCTATTTGGGCTCTTATTTTGGTTCCATATGGATTTTAAAATAGTTTTTTCTAATTTTGTTAGGAGTGTCATTGGTAGTTTGATAAGAATAGTATTGAATCTGTATGTGGCTCTGGGCAGTATGGCCATTTTAATGATATTGATTCTTCCTATTCATGGGCAGATTTTGTTTTGTCATCTCTGTTTTCTTTGAACAGTGTTTTGTAATTCTTGTTGTAGAGATCTTTCACCTCACTGGTTAGCTGTTTTCCTAGGTATTTTATTCTTTTTGTGGTAATTATGAATGGGATTGCATTCTTTATTTGGCCGTTGGTTTGACTGTTGTTTGTTTAGGAATGTTACTGATTTTTTGTATACTGATTTTGTATCCTGAAACCTTTCTGAAGTTTACAGCTCAAGGAGTTTCTGGGCAGAGACTGTGGGGTTTTCTATATACAGAATCATATTTTCTACAAACTGGGAGAGTTTGACTTCCTCTTTATGGACTGATGCCTTTTATTTCTTTCTCTTACCTGATGGCTCTGGCCAGGAATTCCAGTACTGTGTTGAATAGGAATAGTGAGAGAGAAGGTATCATTGTCTTGTGTTAGTTTTCATGGAGAATGCTTACAGCTTTTACCTATTTAGTATGATGTTGGCTGCGGGTTTTCCATAGATGGCTCTTATTATTTTGATGTTTGGTCCTTCAACACCTAGTTTATTGAGGGTTTTTAACATGAGGGGATACTGAATTTTATCAAAAGCTTTTTCTGCGTCTATTGAGGCAATCCTGTAGTTTTTATTTTTAATTCTGTTTATATGATGAATCACATTTACTGATTTACATTTGTTGAAAAAACTTGGAATCCCAGGGTTGATCATGGTGGATTAGCTTTTGGATGGGCTGCCGCATTTGGTTTGCTAGTATTTTGTTGAGTATTTTTGCATCAATGTTCATCAGGGATATTGGCCTGAAGTTTTTGTGTGTGTGTGTGTCTGTGTGTGTGTGTGTGTGTGTGTATGTGTGTGTGTCTGCCTGGTTTTGGCATCAAGATGATACTGGCCTCAAAGATTGAGTTAAGGAGGAGATTTTCCTCCTCAATTTTTTGCAGTAGTTTCAATAGGAATGCTACCAGCTCTTCTTTGTACATCTGGGAGAATTCAGCCTTAAATCTCTCTGTTTCTGGACTTTTTTTTTTGGTTGGTGGGCATTTTATTGAAGATTCAATTTTGGAACCTGTTATTGGTCTGCTTAGGAATTCGGTTTCTCCCTGGTTCAGTCTTGGGAGAGTGTATGTGTCCAGGAGTTTATTACTTTCTTCTAGATTTTCTAGTTTATATGCATAAGGTGTTCATAGTAGTCTTTGATGATTATTTGTATTTCTGTGGGGTCAGTGGCAATATCCCTTTTGTCATTTTTAATTGTGTTTATTTAGATCTTCTCTCTTTTCTTTATTAATCTAGCTAGTAGTCTATCTACTTATTTTTTCTTTCAAGCAAACAGCTCCTGGATTTGTTGGTCTTTTGAACTTTTTTTGTGTGTCTCTATCTCCTTCAGTTCAGCTCTGATTTTGCTTATTTCTTATCTTCTAAGCTTTGAGGTTTATTTGCTCCTGATTTGCTAGTCCTTCTAGCTATGATGTTAGGTTGTTAATTTCAGATCTTTCTAGCTTTTTGATGTGGGTATTTAGTGCTATAAATTTTCCTCTTAACACTGCCTTAGCTATATTCTAAGTCCTTTGTATTCATTAGTTTCAGATAACTTCTTGATTTCTACCTCAATTTTATTATTTACCCAAAAGTCATTCAGGATCAGGTTGTTTAATTTCCATGTAATTGTGTGGTTTTGAGTATTTTTTTTGGTCTTGATTGCTGTTTTTGGTGTGATGTTTTCTGACAGTGTGGTTGGTATAATTTCTCTTTTAAAAAAATTTGCTGAGGATTGTTTCATGTCCAGTTGATTGGACAATTTTAGATATGTGACATGTTCAGATGAGAAGAATGTATATCTATTGTTTTTGATTGGAGAGTTCTGTAGATGTCTATTACATTCATTTGGTTAAGTGCTGAGTGCAGATCCTGAGTATCTTTATTAATTTCTGTCTTGATGATCTGTCTAATACTGTCAGTGGGGTGTTGAAGTCTCCCACTGTTATTGTGTGGTTATCTAAGTCTCTTCATAGATATCTAAGAACTTGCTTTATGAATCTGGGTGCTCCTGTGTTGGGTCTGTATATATTTAGGATAGTTAGGTCTTCTTGTTGAATTGAACCCTTTACCATTATGTAAAGCTCCTTATTGTTGTTATCTTTATTGGTTTACAGTCTGTTTTGTCTGAAATTAGGATTATAGCCTCTGCTGTTTTTCTAATTTCCATTTGCTTGCTAGGTTTTCTCCATCCCTTTATTTTGAGACTAT
Organism: Homo sapiens; assembly: GCF_000001405.40. Taxonomy (NCBI): domain Eukaryota; kingdom Metazoa; phylum Chordata; class Mammalia; order Primates; family Hominidae; genus Homo; species Homo sapiens. The sequence continues at coordinate 110,212,804 of NC_000005.10, forward strand.
GTGTTTTGTTTTATTTTATTTTATTTTATTTTATTTTATTTTATTTTATTTTATTTTATTTTATTTTATTTTATTTTGTTACACTTTAAGTTCTAGGGTACATGTGCACAATGGGTAGGTTTGTTACATATGTATACATGTGCCATGTTGCTGTGCTGCACCCATTAACGCATCATTTACATTAGGTATATCTCCTAATGCAATCCCTTCCCCCTCCCCCCACCCCACAACAGGCCCCGGTGTGTGATGTTCCCCTTCCTGTGTCCAAGTGTTTTCATTGTTCAATTCCCACCTATGAGTGAGAACATTCAGTGTATGGTTTTTTGTCCTTGTGATAGTTTGCTGAGAATGATGGTTTCCAGCTTCATCCATGTCCCTACAAAGGACATGAACTCATCATTTTTTCTGGCTGCATAGTATTCCATGGTGTATATGTGCCACATTTTCTTAATCCAATCTATCATTGATGGACATTTGGGTTGGTTCCAAGTCTTTGGTATTGTGGGTAGTGCCACTATAAACATACATGTGCATGTGTCTTTATAGCAGCATGATTTATAATCCTTTGGGTATACACCCAGTAATGGGATGGCTGGGTCAAATGGTATTTCCAGTTCTAGATCCCTGAGGAATCGCCACACTGTCTTCCACAATGGTTGAACTAGTTTACAGTCCCACCAACAGTGTAAAAGTGTTCCTATTTCTCCACATCCTCTCCAGCACCTGTTGTTTCCTGACTTTTTAGTGATCGCCATTCTAACTGGTGTGAGATGGTATCTCATTGTGGTTTTGATTTGCAGTTCTCTGATGACCAGTGATGATGAGCATTTTTTCATGTGTCTTTTGGCTGCATAAACGTCTTCTTTTGAGAAGTGTCTGTTCATATCCTTTGCCCACTTCTTGATGGTGTTGTTTGTTTTTTTCTTGTAAGTTTGTTTGAGTTCATTGTAGATTCTGGATATTAGCCCTTTGTCAGATGAGTAGATTGCAAAACCTTTCTCCCATTCTGTAGGTTGCCTGTTCACTCTGATGGTAGTTTCTTTTGCTGTGCAGAAGCTGTTTAGTTTAATTAGATCCCATTTGTCAATTTTGGCTTTTGTTGCCATTGCTTTTGGTGTTTTAGACATGAAGTCCTTGCCCATGTCTATGTCCTGAATGGTATTGCCTAGGTTTTCTTCTAGGGTTTTTATGGTTTTAAGCCTAACATTTAAGTCTTTAATCCATCTTGAATTAGTTTTTGTATAAGGTGTAAGGAAGGGATCCAGTTTCAGCTTTCTACATATGGCTAGCCAGTTTTCCCAGCACAATTTGTTAAACAGGGAATCCTTTCCCCATTGCTTGTTTTTCTCAGGTTTGTGAAAGATCAGATAGTTGTAGATGTGTGGTATTATTTCTGAGGGTTCTGTTCTGTTCCATTGGTCGATATCTCTGTTTTGGTACCAGTACCATGCTGTTATGGTTACTGTAGCCTTGTGGTATAGTTTGAAGTCAGGTAGCATGATGCCTCCAGCTTTGTTCTTTTGGCTTAGGATTGACTTGGCAATGTGGGCTCTTTTTTGATTCCATATGAACTTTAAAGTAGTTTTTTCCCATTCTGCAAAGAAAGTCATTGGTAGTTTGGTGGGGATGGCATTGAATCTATAAATTACCATGGGCAGTATGGCCATTTTCACAATATTGATTCTTCCTATCCATGAGCATGGAATGTTCTTCCATTTGTTTATATCCTCTTTTATTTCATTGAGCCGTGGTTTGTAGTTTGAATGTGTTTGCTCTTGCTTCTCTAGTTCTTTTAATTGTGATGTTAGGGTGTCAATTTTAGATCTTTTCCTGCTTTCTCTTGTGGGCATTTAGTGCTATAAATTTCACTCTACACACTGCTTTAAATGTGTCCCAGAGATTCTGGTATGTTGTGTCTTTGTTCTCGTTGGTTTCAAAGAACATCTTTATTTCTGACTTCATTTCATTATGTACCCAGTAGTCATTCAGGAGCAGGTTGTTCAGTTTCCATGTAATTGAGCAGTTTTGAGTGAGTTTCTTAATCCTGAGTTCTAGTTTGATCGCACTGTGGTCTGAGAGACAGTTTGTTATAATTTCTGTTCTTTTACATTTGCTGAGGAGTGTTTTACTTCCAACTATGTGGTCAGTTTTGGAATAAGTGTGATGTGGTGCTGAGAAGAATGTATATTCTTCTCTAGATGTCTATTAGGTCTGCTTGGTGCAGAGCTGAGTTCAATTCCTGGATATCCTTGCTAACTTTCTGCCTCGTTGATCTGTCTAATGTTGACAGTGGGGTGTTAAAGTCTCCTATTATTATTATGTGGGAGTCTAAGTCTTTCTGCAGGTCTCTAAGGACTTGCTTTATGAATCTGGGTGCTCCTGTATTGGGTGCATATATATTTAGAATAGTTAGCTCTTCTTGTTGAATTGATCGCTTTACCATTATGTAATGGCCTTCTTTGTCTCTTTTGATCTTTGTTGGTTTAAAGTCTGTTTTATCAGAGACTAGGATTGCAACCCCTGCTTTTGTTTTGCTTTCCATTTGCTTGGTAGATCTTCCTCCATCCCTTTATTTTGAGCCTATGTGTGTCTCTGCACATGAGATGGATCTTCCGAATACAGCACACTGATGGGTCTTGACTCTTTATCCAATCTTTGCCAGTCTGTGTCTTTTAATTGGAGTATTTAGCCCATTTACATTTAAGGTTAATATTGTTATGTGTGAATTTGGTCTCGTCATTATGATGTTAGCTGGTTATTTTTCTTGTTAGCTGATGTAGTTTATTCCTAGCCTCAATGGTCTTTACAACTTGGCATGTTGTTGCAGTGGCTGGTACTGGTTGTTCCTTTCCATGTTTAGTGCTTACTTCAGGACCTCTTATAAGGCAGGCCTGGTGGTGACAAAAAATCTCTCAGCATTTGCTTGTCTGTAAAGTATTTTATTTCTCCTTCACTTATGAAGCTTAATTTGGCTGGATATGAGATTCTGGGTTGAAAATTCTTTTAAGAATGTTGAATATTTGCCTCCTCTCTCTTCTGGCTTGTAGAGTTTCTGCCGAGAGATCCGCTGTTAGTCTGATGGGCTTCCCTTTGTGGGTAACCCAACCTTTCTCTCTGGCTGCCCTTAACAATTTTTCCTTCTTTTCAACTTTGGTGAATCTGATAATTACATGTCTTGGAGTTGCTCTTCTCGAGGAATATCTTTGTGGCATTCTCTGTATTTCCTGAATTTGAATGTTGGCCTGCCTTGCTAGGTTGGGGAAGTTCTCCTGGATAATATCCTGAAGAGTGTTTTCCTACTTGGTTCCATTCTCCCTGTCACTTTCTGGTACACCAATCAGACATAGATTTGGTCTTTTCATATAGTCCCATATTTCTTGGAGGCTTTGTTCATTTCTTTTTACTCTTTTTTCTCTAAACTTTTCTCCTCACTTCATTTCATTCATTTGATCTTCGATCACTGATACCCTTTCTTCCACTTGATCGAATCGGCTAGTGAAGCTTGTGCATGTGTCACAGAGTTCTTGTGCCATGTATTTCGGCTCCATCAGGTCATTTAAGGTCTTCTCTGTGCTCTTTATACTAGTTAGTCATTCATCTAATCTTTTTTCAAGGTTTTTAGCTTTTTGCGATGGGTTCGAACATCCTCCTTTAGCTCAGAGAAGTTTGTTATTACCGATCATCTGAAGCCTTTTTCTCTCAGCTCATCAAAGTCATTCTCCACCCAGCTTTGATCCATTGCTGGTGAGGAGCTGCATTCCTCTGGAGGAGAAGAGGCACTCTGATTTTTAGGATTTTCCAGTTTTCTGTTCTGATTTCTCCCCATCCTTGTGGTTTTATCTACCTTTGGTCTTTGATGATGGTGATGTACAGATGGGGTTTTGGTGTGGATGTCCTTTCTGTTTGTTAGTTTTCCTACTAAAAGTCAGGACTCTCAGTTGCAGGTCTTTTGGAGTTTGCTGAAGGTCCACTCCAGACCCTATTTGCCTGGGTATTACCAGCAGAGGCTGCAGAACAGCATATAGTGCAGAACGGCAAATGTTGCTGCCTGATCCCTCCCCTGGAAGCTTTGTCTCAAAGGGGTACCCAGCCGTTTGAGGTGTCAGTCGGCCCCTACTGGGAGGTGCCTCCCAGTTAGGCTACTCAGGCATCAGGGACCCCCTTGAGGAGGCAGTCTGTTCATTCTGAGATCTCCAGCTCTGTGCTGGGAGAAGCACTACTCTCTTCAAACCTGTCAGACAGGGACACTTAAGTCTGCAGAAGTTTCTGCTGCGTTTTGTTTAGCTATGCCCTGTCCCCAGAGGTGGAGTCTACAGAGGCAGGCAGGCCTCTTTGAGCTGTGGTGGGCTCCACCCAGTTCAAGCCTCCTGGCCGCTTTGTTTACCTACTCAAGCCTCAGCAATGGTGGACGCCCCTCCCCCAGCCTCGCTGCTGACTTGCAGTTCAATCTCAGACTTCTGTGCTAGCAGTGTGTGAGGCTCGTGGGCGTGCTACCCTCCAAGCCATGCATGGGATATAATCTCCTGGTGTGTCATTTGCTAAGACCATTGGAAAAGCACAGTATTAGGGTGGGAGTGTCCTGATTTTCCAGGTACCATCTGTCACAGCTTCCCTTGGTTAGGAAAAGGAATTCTCTGACCACTTGCACTTCCAGGTGAGGTGATGCCCTGCCCTGCTTCAGCTCATGCTCTTTGGGCTGCACCCACTGTCTGACAAGCCCCAGTAAGATGAACCTGGTACCTCAGTTGGAAATGCAGAAATCCCCTGTCTTCTATGTCACTCACACTGGGAGCTGTAGACTGGAACTGTTCCTATTCAGCCATCTTGGGACCTCCCCAAGCTTATGTGTTTTATTGCATGTGAGATGTTTCTTGAAGACAGCATACTATTGAATCTTGCTTCTATATCCTGTTTTCCACTCTATGCCTTTTAATTGGGACACTTTGCCCATTTATATTCAAGGTTAGTATTGATATGTGTGAATTTAATACTGTCATTGTGTTTTTAGCTGGTTATTATGCAGACGTGTTTATGTGGTTGCTTTATAATGTCACTGATCTGTGTACCTAAGTGTGTTTTTGTTTCAGGTGATAATAGTCTATCCTTTCCACATTTAGTGTGCCTTTCAGATGCTCTTATAAGGCAGTCTGGTAGTAGTGAATTCTTAGTATTTTGTTGTCTGAAAAGGATCTTATTTATCTTTCACTTATGAAGCTTAGTTTGGCTGGATATAAAATTCTTGGTCAGATTTTTTTTCTTTAAGAATATTGAATATAGGCCTGTAATCTCTTCTGGCTTGTAAGCTTTCTACTGAAAGGCCTTCTGTTAACCTGATGGAGTTCCCTTTATGACCTGCTCTTTCTTTCTAGCTACATTTAACATTTTTTCTTTCATTTTGATCTTGGAAAATCTGATGATAATGTTTCTTGGAGATGATCTTGTGTAGTATCTTGCAGGGGTTCTCTGCATTTTCTGAATTTGACTGTAGGTCTTTCTATCAAGTTTGGGAAAGTTTTCATGGATAATATCCTGAAACATGTTTTACAAGTTGCTTGATTTCTCCTCATCTCTTTCAGGGATGCCAATGGCTCATAGATTTGGCCTCTTTACATAATCCCATTTTTCTCAGAAGTTTTGTTTGTTCTTTTCTTTCTTTTCTTTTTTTGTCTTTCTTATTTCAGAGAGCCCATTTCAAGATCTAAGATTCTTTTTCAGTTTGGTCTATTCTGCTGTTAATATTTGCAATTGCATTATGAAATTTTTGTGGTGTCTTTTTTTCAGCTCTATTAAGTCAGTTATCTCCTTTCAATACTGGCTATTTGATCAGCTCCTGTATCATTTTATTGTAATTCTTAGATTTCTTGGATTGAGTTTAGACATTCTCTTGAATTTCAATCATATTCGTTCCTATTCATATTCTCTTTTCCGTCATTTCAGCCATTAAAGCCTGGTTAAGAAACCTTGCTGGAGAACAAATGTGGTTATTTGGAGAACAGAAGACACTCTGGCCATTTGAGTTGCTGGAGTTCTTGCACATGCTAATTTTCATTTGTGCATGTGGCTGCTCCTTTAACTGTGGTATAGATTGAGTACAGTCAGAATTATATTCTGGAGGTTTTCAGAGGACTGAGGCTTCATGCAGGGTTTTTGTTTATAGCTAGGTTCTTGTCCTTGGCTTCACATGAGGGTGTGTTAGCAAAGTATTTTAGGTGTTTAAATATTAGGGTGAGATCCATTAGGTTTTACTTAAGTGTAATGATCAGTAGTTAGGTTCTTAGTGATGTGGTTTCTCTACATTTCCTGGTAGTTGCAGCTGTGCTCCTTCTCAATGCTCTGAAAGTGTGGGCTTCTCTTCCACTTCAGTGCTGGCTGTAGTTCATGGTTTGGCACTCCCTGTCTCCACACTGATGCTCTGGGGCAATCTCAGGGTTTGTGCTCTCTCTCCAACTTGGAGGCAGCAGAGGAAGGGAACTTAGCAGTGGTTGTGGCTGTTGGTTTTTCACTTTTCTCCTGGGGCTCCACCGCAGAGAGATGCAGAGCTGCAGTCAATCAGTGCAACTGGGCTGTGATGAGGGGGTTGCACTGTGGTCCTAAGCTAGGGAAGTCCTGCCTAGGGACAAGAACGGGGAGATGGGTGTGACCTGTGAGAGAAAGGCTGTTCTCCTCTATTTAGCATAACTGCAGCTTGCTTGAGGTGTCGATAGGGCACTTAGAGTCTTTGCTCTTCCCCAGTTTTAGGGCAGTAGGGGCAGTATCACTGCAAGGTCAGTGGTAGCGGGGCTTTCAGCTATCCCTGGGAGCTCCACTTCCAAGAAACATGGAACTGTTACTACTGGGAGTGTTCAGCCAAGGTGTGGGGTGGCTGGACTGCTGGTCTGAGCTGGGGGCTTCACTTTTAGGGGAGCAGGGGGTTGAGGGCTGACAGAGAGGAGAGATTAGTCTCCACTCCATATGGTGACCATGGCATGCTATAAGCTTGAGTGTAGCCCTCAGGCTTTTTGTTTTTTCCCCAGACCGAGGGTATCAGGGGCAGAAGTGCTGTTGTGACAGTGGCAGAGGGGTTGCCAGTTACCTCTGAGATCCTCTCCCCAGGGGAATTTAGAGCCACTACCAGTGAGTGTGCTCAGCTGTGGGTGAAGTGGCTGTTCTGTGGTTCTGAGCTGGGGGCCCTGCCTGATGAAAAGTGGGGGTTGGGGGTTTCCAGTGTAGAGGGATGGGACTCCTCTCAATATGGTGGCTGTTGTGTGCTGAAGGTGCCAGCATAGTGACTCGACTTTTTTTTTCCTTCCCCAGCCTGAGGGCAGTTAAGGCAGTAGCACTGCAGCTGCAATGGTAAAGGGGCTGTGGGTTGACTCTGTGATTTCCTCTGCAGAGAAATGTTGAGCTTCTTTTGATTGAGGTGTTCAGGTAGGGCCAGGGTGGTGGTTCTGGAGTCCCAGGTAGAGTGGCCCTGCCCAGTGAGAAATGAAGTCTAGGAACTATATGGAGGACAGTCTAACCAATTTTCCATGAAGAAGCTGCATGGTGCAGGAGGGTCCACACCAGCCCCTCATCCCCTTGGACTCTCCAGAACTTGGAGGGAGCAAGAGCAAAGGCTGCAAAACAGCAATAATGGTGGCTCACCCCTTCCTCTGGGAGCTCTGTCTTAGGGAGGTACAGAGCCACTGCCAGTCTGAGAATGCTGGTTGGGGAGGCTGAAGTCCCTGCTCAGAAAATCCCACCCAGTTAGGAGAAATGGGATCAGGGACCCATGCAAAAAAAAAACAAAAAACAGTCTGGCTGCTTCTCCACAGGGCTGCTTCACTGTGCTGGGGATCCACTCCCAGTCTCTGGTCACCTTGGACTCTGTAGATCTCAAAGGCAGCAGCAGAAAAGACCAGGAAATGGCAAAGATGGTGACCTGTCCCTCCCTCTAGGAGATTCAGCTCTGGGGAGTGTGATGTTGGTGTTGGTGCTGGCCTGAGAACACCGGCAGTGGGTGGCTGAAATCATAGGTCAGTGGGTCTTAACCTACAGAGGTGTCATGGAAGTGAGGCCTGCAGACCATCACTGTTCAGCCCCCTGAAATCAGCCCTTTTTTGATCTCATAATAATTCTCTACACTTCCTCCCAAACATCCAATTCATTGTTTCCTTGACTTATCTTTTAGTCTGTTGTGTAATAATCATTAATTATAGCTTTGTGTTTTTGGCCATTTTTACTTTAGATCTTCACACTAGAGGATTGACAGATTTATTATATAGCACCATTACAGCACTTGGATATTCTGAATTTGATTATTAATTTACCTCTACATACGAGTTTTATAGTTTTATGGGTTTTTATGATAGTAATTATCATGTCATTTCCAGCGGGAGCACTTTCTTAAGCATTTCTTGTAAAGCTGGCCTAATGGTGATAAATTCCCTCAGCTATTGCTTGTCTGGGAAAGTCTTTGTTTCTCCTTCCAGTTCCAATTTTCTTAAGGATAGCTTTACCAGAGACAATATTCTTGATTGGCAGTTCATCTTCTTTCAGCACTTTGAATATATCATTCTATTCTCTCCTGGACCATAGGATTTCTGCTGAGAAATCAGCTGATAGGCCAGTGGGATTTATTTTACATGTGACTTGATGCTTTTTTCTGGCAACATTTAGCATTCCCTCTCTTTGCTTTTGACTTTTGACAGTTTGCCTGTAATGTTACTTAGAGAGGATCTTTTTGAGTTAAATAAAGTTGGGAACTTTTGAGCTTCCTGGATTTGGATGTCCACAATTCTCCAAAGACTTGAGACATTATTAGCTATTATTTTATTAAATAAATTTTCTGTTCCTTTCCCCATCTCTTCTCCCTCTGACACTCCTATAAACAATCACAGTCACACATCACCTAATGATAGGAACACTATTGGAGAAACGTGTCATTAAATTTTTTTGGTTTGGAACACACCATAGAGTGTAGTTACACAGATCCAGATGACACAGGCTACTACATACCTAGGAAATATGGTATAGCCTATTGCTCTTAGCCTACAAACTGGTACAGCTTATTACTAAACTGAATACTGTAGGCAGCTGCAACACAACGTTAAGTATTTGTGTATCTAAACATATCTAAACACAGAAAAGATGCAGTAAAAACTATGGTATTATAATCTTATGGGACCACTGTTTTATATGTATTTAAATCATTGACTGAAACGTTAGATGGTATATGGCCATTTTTGCTTGCTTAATGTTGTCTCAAAGTCCCATAGACTTTCTTCAGTCACTTTTTGTTCTTCATTATTTTTTCCTTTCTTACTGAGTTATTTCAAAGGATGTGTCTTCAATTTAAGAAATTCTTTCTCCTTCTTGATCTTGTCTGTTGTTGAAGCTGTCAGTTGTATTTTTTATTTCATTCATTGAATTCTTCAAGATTTATTTAATGATATATATCTCTCTGAGTTTCTTATTCAGGTTATCAGTTGCTTTCCTGAGTTTACTGAACTGTTTGTCTACATTATCTTATATCTTGCTGAGTTTCCTTAAGATTATTACATTGAATTCTGTTTTAGAAATTTTATAAATATGTTTTTCTTCATGGTCTATTACTGGAGACTTATTGTATTCCATTGAGGGTGTCACATTTCCTAGATTTTTCTTTTCATTGTGTTTCTATACTGATGTCTGATCATCTAGCAGGACAGTTGGTGTTTCCAATTTTATGGAGTAGTTCTTGTAAAGAGAGACTTTTTCCTGTAGATAGGTCCCAGGATGTCAGTTGGGTATGGTGAGTTGGCTTTGTTTTAGAATGAACTTAGCAGCTTAACTGAATCTCCATTAAGTTTCTTTAGCCGTAGTCCTTGTCAGCAATGTTAGCAATTGCCTCAGTGACCTAGGCTACAGGAGTTTGTGATGGTGGTGACATGATTTTGCTGGGAGTAAATGCACTGAGCTGTTTGTCAGACATAGTACGTGCAGTCATGGCAAACCAATAAGTTTGTACAGTAGGATTTCTGGGGGTGGGAGTGGAGTGTCTCTACTGGGCTGGTTGTCACTCTGGTTGTTCATGGGAGAAGTAAGCCAGCAGGCTGTGTGGCTGACTCTTCAGGGATGCAGGGCTGCTGGCAGACACCACTGGGCCAGTCATGGATGCAGGTGTGCTGGTGGGCTGGCTGGCTGAGCAGTGCAGGCACATGTGGGCATAGCTGGACAGTTGGCTGTAAGGAAGCTTCCCCACTGTTTAAGTCCACCTGTTATTGGAAGAGAGTGTTGTGCTGCATGGGTTTAGAAACTGGGTCCTTGCTTGTTCTGTTGGGTCTAGGTTCCAGGCAGCCAAGATCTTGGTGCTGCAGTCATCAACATGAGTGTGGTAGAATGACAATGGGGCCTAAGCATGAAGAGAGTCAGTGGCTACTTGCACTCAGGATAAGATGCACTCTAGCAGTGATTTTGGTTTCACGATGGTTCCATGCATTAACAATTTAGATTGCAAAAAGTGGGGAGTGGGGGTCACCATGGGCTCTTACTCTGGGACAATGCAGCTGCACAAACTTCTGGTAACTAGCCAAACTGGATCCAGGGTCTTTGAGGACTTAGGGACTTTCCTGTATCAAGGACTGCTAGTCCCTGTGGCATCAGTGGCAACTACTGAGGTCTTATTTTACCTTTTCCCCATAAGAATTTCCTCCTGACTCTGAGCCAATCCTGACAGGGGAGACAGTGCTGTAGAGGCAGTATGTCTCACTGCCCCCCTCTATGGTGCTACCCTGTTTTCCATACACAGCAGGGATTTTACTGCTTTCTTGGTGCTCTCCAGTATACTTTCCCAGTTCCTCCAGTAAAGTTATAGCTGTTCATTTATTGTTTGAGTCTCTTTATGTGTGTGCATGGGGGGAACAAGTACAGATAACTCTAGTCAGCCATCTTATTAATGCCTATTTGTTTTTTAATCAACAATCGTTTTGATGGTCATTGTTCCAAGATTATTGATTTTTCATGTAACTCTAGGATGTGCCATTTCCATTAGCCAAGCTCCTTGTAATCCTGAAACCAAAGAGACTTACTTTTTCATTTCAAGAGATATATTGTTATGAATGGCTGTTAGAGAGGAATGACTTGTTTTTTCTACTCTACAATTCAGTGGTGCTAGGTTTCAACAGGTGTCTCCTGGATTTAAGCTTTTCAAGAGAATAAATTCTAGGTTGAGACACCAAAAATTTAACAGAAGTTATTGATTCTGTTACCCAATTGCTTGACAATAATTATTGAAGACAAATTAGTTCTTCCTTTTGTCCTCTCTTTCCAACAGAATATCACTCTTATTGCCAGAAAATATATTGTGTTGGGAAACAATAAAAGAAAAGCAATAAAAGAAAAAGATGAACAGGACTTCATTGGATAAATGGAAAATAACTGATCTCTTATCACTGTAAATTCTTAGAGACCAACTGCTGTAGCTGAAAAGGATCAATAAACCCACAACTAACATCAAACAACAGCATCTCTGTTAAACATAACCACTATACCATGGAGCTATTGTGCTATATCTCTTCTCTCATCTTAAAACAAATATTCGTATTTAAAAAAAGAGTTTTAGAAGTCTAACAGAGCCTTTATAAAGGCCATTACTCTCCAAAAATTTAGGGCCCATATCAATCTTTAAAGTTTTTATTTTCAATACCTAGCTTAGTACCAGAAACTTTTTTCTATATCTTCTTTCGTGAACTTCGGTAGTCTGAAAAAGACATGTCTGTGTTGGGGACCTCACAGCAAATGGTAGCTGGGAATCAGTTCTCTCTCTAGTTTATAATCCATTGCACTTCTAATAGAAATGATCAGGACTTATCGAATACACTGAATTCTGTCAACTCACATAGTGACAAACAATACAGCCAGGAATAATTTTGATGTAAACAGAAGTACTATAAAAACAACTAATAGAGTTTTATGTAGCTCTGCTGATTTCATTTTTGGTACTATTGCATAAATTTTGACCAGAAAAACATTCTGTCAGTGAATGAATTGGACTCAGGGATCTAGAACATTCTCAAAACCAGATAAAGGCTGTATTCACTTTATTCTTTGGGTGTGTAGGAGATCAGATATTCAATCTTTTCTTTTTAGTTTATAGATCCCAGATTAAGAGAAGCTAAATTCCAAAATCTGCATTTAGACATGAGGTAAATCATGAGACCCAGGCTTCACATATAATACTATGATTGAATGGAACTTTTAGAAGGTATTAAGCTGGGCTCAGCATATTTTTAATATGGTAAGAATGTGAATAATTATATCCAGAGAGGCTGGTTATTTGCAAAATTTATTTACTGATTATTTGCAAAAGAGGCTTTATTTATGCCCTTTCCTGTATCCATTACCTTTTGTAATTTCACCTTGAGACATTTCCCATCAAGATTGAAGTCTTTCTGTCTACATTTTGAATCTGAGTTAAGTTTGTGAGTAGAATGTGGCAGAAGATACATTGTGTTATTTCTGAGCCTAGGCTTAAGAGCACTTGCACATATCTACTCATTGTCTTGAATTATTGCTAATATTGTGTACAAAACCAAGGCTAGCTTTCTAGATGATAAGAAAGACGAGGCTCTCTTTCTCCTATTGCTCCAATCAATAGGCAGGCAAACCCCATAAGAGCTTCCTAGCTGACTAGCAGCTGGCTGACAACCCATTCAGGACCAGAATAACTTCCACTAGAGTTCGCCCCAATTTTTGATCCACAAAATTGTGAACTAAATATAGAATTGTTGTTTTAAATAATGCATGGTGTATGGACAGAAAAAGTAACCAATGGAATGAATGGAGAGTCTACATGCTAGGCATATAAGACCTTTTGATTTCCAAAAAAAAGTTGGGCCTGCTGGATGGTGAATAAAGAAAGATATTTTTCATAAATAATATTGAGGCAAATAAATAACCAAAACAATGTAATAATAATAATAATAATAAAGCTTGCCTCCTGCTTCACAAATACATAAATATTAATTTCAGATGAACAGTGGATCTAAATGCAAAAGGCAAAATGAAGTCTTCTGAATATTTTAACATGCTTGAAATACAAAGATATTGCTGAAGTGAAACAGAAAAAATGATGATCATAAAAAAGAGATTCATAAAATGGACTTCAAAAAAGGTCATGAACTCAAATTTTATGAAAAAGTACACGTAAGTACAAAAGGGCCAATAATGTTAAACATGTGCAAGAGTTTTTAATGTGAAATAAAAAAGTCAGTATCCCAAAATGTTAACATGAGAAATAAAATTAGAAAAAAGCATCGATAAATCAAGTTTGATAGAAAGCAAAGATGGTAGTAAAGTATTTAAATATACTTATAATTACAATAAATGTAAATGGGCTAAAGTCACCAAAAAAAAGAACAGAAATTGTTAAGTTTGATAAAAATGTAAATTTGTGCCATTTATCAGAGCCATATTTAAAAGACAATTAAAATAAAGGTTTAGACTAAAATAATGGAAGTTTAATATTAGATAAAAACTAATGAAAGGAAAAATTACATAGTTATAATAATAGACAAAATATATAAAGTTATGAAATGATAAAATAATTACTTTTTTCAGAAGATATAAATATTTTAAGCTTGTATCTACTAGAAGAGCCTTAAAGACCATAAAGAAAAAATGGCCAGAACTACCAGAGGAGAGACAAATCTTAAATCACAGTGGAAGATCTTTACAGATTTCTCCTGACACAATGAACATACACCAACATTCCTTTCAACCATGTCTATAAAATGTAATCAAACTTGTCATATACTAGGCTAGCCTCAACAATTAATATAAAAGCAATCACTATCATACAGATCAAATTCTGTCACCAGATTAAATTTATCTTGGAAATTGATAACAAAAATATGATTAAAACACCCAATATTTTTGAAAATGAAAAAATGGAAGCTCTACATACCTCATGGGTCAAATAAATGACCATAATGGAAATCAAAAGAGCATGTGTAATATGATGCCATTTAAAAATTATATTTCAGTACTGTAAATATTTTTGCCTAGAGGGATATCTAAAGAGTAGTCAGATAAAGGTCAACTCCAAGTATTTCAGGGTAATAGGATTTCACATGATTTTCATTTACTTCTGAAAAGTCCGCTTTTTTTTCCCACATGAAAATGTTTCATTTTAAAAAATAACAGTTTTATATCCTATTGAAACAGAGAAAGAGAAGCTTTAGGATGGTTGACTAGTTGCATTTCATGCTCACTTCATGCACTTAAAAGAGCCAAAGGAGTGTACAGATAAGCACACCTCAAATGCAATATCCAAGAGAGGGCAATGGAATTGAGCAGAAAAGTGACAGGAAACACTGGGAACAGAGAGGTAAGAGAGACAGCCTACTTGGTCAGGATCAGATGGAACCTGTAAGTGACTTCCTAATGCAGGGAAAAGGTAAGTTAGAGAGTTCTAGTGGCCCATATTCCCTCCAAAGAATCATACAATTCTGGTCATGGGAGAGGCCCTTGACCTTTCTAACTCCTGAAGCTGACACAGGCAGCCACCAGGAGACCATGGTATGAAACTGCTCTTGAGAGGGAGCTCATGCTGGATTCTATACACTTTCTGAGACCTAAGCAGCCGCTGCAAGGTGCCATTTTCAAACCTAACTTTTGGCAGACTGCATTCTGTTCTGGGACCCAGAAGCATTGGGTCTGGGGCATTAGGGAAATGTGTTGTTGCTACTGAGACTGCAGTGCAAACTGGGAGTGCTCCTGCAGCTGGGGCTGAGAAGCCAGTGAGGCATGAACCGCAGCTGCTGGTGCTGGGAAGTAAGCACTGCCAGGACTGAGACTGAAATGCTAGCAGGGCACAAGTTGCCAGTGAGACTTAGTTAGGGACTGGGCAAGGGCTTTTGCAGCTGGGGTTGGGGAGTAAGCCCTGTCAAACTGGGGCATAAGAGAAAAACATCTTCCCTACCTGCTTACCCAGGCTATAGCCAGCAAGGTCACCCCAACCTCTCCAGTGGAAGGACCTCAGCATGGCTCACTTGAACACTCTGCCTTGTGTTTGAGAATCATCCCACCCCTGCCCACCATGGGCGGTGCCTCCTACTCTCAGCATTAGGATGCCTGAGCACAAGCCTGCCTTACACCTCCCCAAGACAGAGCACATAGCCCAGCGTCTTGGGGATTGCCCAGCCCAGTCAACATCTTGGGCACCTCAGCACTCCTCCCAGAAGCCTGGAGTTGGGCCTAAACTCCCATTTGCTGTTACCTCAACTGACACCTACCTTCAAGAGTCATCAGCAGGCCTGGAGACTAACTCACCCAGCCTACCGCAGCCATTGACAAAATCAATGTATGCTGCTCAAGACTCAGATAATCATCCCACCACTGCCATTACCCATGCTATGCCAGCTTCCAAGGGGCCCCAGAACCCACCCACCTACCCATTTCACCATTGCTGCCATTAGCAGCTGATCAAGCCGCTTGGAGGCCAAAGAATTGGTCCACCAATAACTGCCAACCCAGTGCCAGTATAAATCACTATTTGGCACAAATATAGGCATGCTTAGCACACCACTGCCATCACTGGAGCCTGGAAATTTGCTCAACTGGCATCCCAAGCCCCCGTGCAACTTCACCAAACAGCTTCCGTTAATAATCTCACCCCAATGTGCCAAATAAATCACGTATACCCCAGCACTGTTTACAGCCAAATAAATCATACAGATACCACTACTGCATGCACCCAGAATCAAAGCCAAAGTGTGCTACCCAACAAACACCATAGATACACCTTTATGAAAAAGTCCTACCTTGTGAAAGTAAATTCAAAAATAGGAAGAAGCAACTGGTACACCAGATGCACAGATATCAATGTAAGGATGCAGGAAACATTAAAAAGCCAGTAAATATGACATCCCAAAGAAACCAAATTATTCTCCAGGAGTATATTTTCATCAAAAAGACATTTTTGAAATTCCAGATAAAATATTGATTTTAAAGAAGGTAAGATACAAAAGAATTCTTAAAAATTACAAATAAACAAGAAAGACAATTCAGTATATGAATGAGAAATTTACCAAATAGATACTTTAAAAGAAACACATAGAAATTCTGGAACTGAAAAAAATTCATTGAGGGAAACACAAAATACACTTGAAAGCTTCAACATTAGACTAGGTAAAGCAGGAGAAAGAAACTCAGAACTTGAAAACTGGTTTTTGAAATAATTCAGTACAACAAGAATAAAGACAAAGGAATAAAAAAATGACCAAAGTCTTTGTGACATTTGGAACATAAAGCAACTGAACATTTCAATTTTTAGAATCCCTGAGGTTAAAGAGAAATGAAAGAATTAGAAAGCACAATTAATAAAATAATACATATAAATTTCCCAAGTCTAGCAAGAGATTTAGAAATCCAAATACAGGAGGTTTAGCAATCCCCAGACAGATACAATGTAAAACGGTTTCCATGACATATTACAGTCAGATTATCTAAAGTCAAACATAAAGAATTAATACTAGACAGCAAGAGAAAATCATGTGGTTACCTATAAAAGAAACCTTATCAGAATAACAGCAGATTTCTCAGCAGATACCTTACAGGCCAGAGAAGAAAGAGACAAAATATTCAAAGTGTTGAAAAAAATAAACTGCCAGCCAAGAATAATACATCCAGCAAAATTATTCTTTATAAATGAAAGAGAAATAAGGTCTTTCACAGACAAGCTAATGTTGAAGAAATTTATTACCACTAGACTGATCCTACAAGAAATGCTGAAGGGAGTCCCACATCTGTAAGTGAAAAGAGAATATTTACCATTATGAAAATACTAAAGTATAAAGCTCAGTGGTTAAGCAATGACTCAGAGGAGAAAGAGAAAGGACTCAAAGATAACACTATAGAAGTCCACCAAGCCATCATGACAGCAATAAGAGCAAAGATTATATAAAACAACCAGAAAACAGTGAACAATATGACAGGAACAAAGCCTCACATATCAGTAATAACCATGTATGTAAATGGATCAAATTATCTACTTAAAAGATATAGAATGATTCAACTGATAAAAAGACATTATTCAATTATGTTCTTACTAGAAGAAACTCACCTTACCAGTAAAGACACATACAGACTGAAAGTAAAGATATGGAAAAAGATATTCTATGCAAACAGAAACAAAAAAGGCAGGAGTATCTATACAACAAACTTTAAGTCAAAAAAAAAATTTAAAAAGACAACAAAAGCCATATATAATGATAAAAGAATCAATCTGATAAATGAATATAATAATTCTAAATATGTATGTACCTAACAATTGGAGCACCCAAATACATAAAACAAGTATTACTAAATCTAAAGAGAGAGACGAACTGTAATACAATAATAGTGAAGTACTTCAACACCACACTTTCAGCATTAGACAGATAATCTATACAGAAAACCAGCAAGGAAACATTGAATGTAAACTGGACATTAGAACAAATGGACCAAATAGACAATTATAGAACATTCTGTTCAACAGCTGCAGAATATACATATTTTCATCAGCACATGGAACATTTTCCAGGCTGAGCCATATGTTAGGTCACAAAGCAAATCTGAAAAAAATTTTAAAAATAAAAATCATATCAAGTATCTTCTCTAGACCATAGTGGAATAGCACTAGATATTAATACCAAGAGGAACTTGAGAAACTATAGAAATACATGGAAGTTAAACAACATGCTCCTGAATGACCATTGGGTCAATGAAGAAATTCAGATGGAAATCAGAAAAATTCTTGAAACAAATGAAAATGGACCCATCATGTACCAACACCTGTAGGATACAGCAAAAGCAGTATTAAGAAGGAAGTTATAGCAAGAAATGTCTGGAACAAAAAAGTAGAAAGATTTCAAATTAACAGTTTAATTATATACCTCAAGAAACTAGAAAAGCAAAAACAAACTAAACTCCAAATTAGCAGAAGAAAGGAAATAATAAATATCAGAGCAGAACAAAATGAAATAGAGACCAAAAATGCAAAAAATCAACAAAATGTTAGTTATTCATAAAGATTATATACATACATAAATTCTAACTAGACTTACCAGGAAAAAAGGAGAGAAGACTCAAACAAATAAAATCAGAAATAAAAAGGGACACATTACAACTGATATCACAAAAACATAAGGATGAGCTGAGACTATTATTAACAACTGTTCATTGACAAATTGAAGAACCCAGAGGAAATGGATAAATTGATGGAAACATACAACCTACCCAGATTGAATCAGGAAGAAATAGAAAATGAACTGAGCAATAGTGAGCAGCAAGATGGAATCAGTAATAAAGTCTCCCAACAAAGAAAAGCCCAGGACCAGATGAAGTCACATCCAAATTCTACCCAATGTACAAAGAACTAATGCTTAGTCTCCTGAAACTATTTTAAGGACTTAAGAGGAGGGAATTCTAGCTAATTCATTCTAAGAAGCCAGTATCACTCTGAGATTAATGTTAGACAAGGACACAAGAACAACAACAACAAAAACTACAGGAAAATATTCTTGAACATAGATGCAAAACTCCTCAACAAAATATTACCTAACCAAATTCAAAAGTACATCAAGAAGATAATACAGCATCATTAAGGGGGATTTTCCCCAGCAATGCAAGGATGGTTCAACATAATGCAAATTAATACACATACTACATCAAATCACAGAATCAAAGATATGATTATCTCAATAGATGCAGAAATGGCATTTGATACAATTCAAAACTTCATGATAAAAACTCTCAGAAAACTCGGCACAGAAGGAACACACCTCAAAATAATCAAGGCCAAATGTGACATACCCATAGTTAACATCATACTGAATGGGATAAAGTTGAAAGCCTTTTCTCTAAGTAGTGGAACAAGAAAAAAGACCAGGATACCCATCTTCACCACTCCCATTCTACATAGTACTAGAGATCCTAACCAGAGAAATTAGGCAAGCTATGGTAATAAAAGGTAGCCAAAT
This sequence comes from Homo sapiens, assembly GCF_000001405.40. Lineage (NCBI taxonomy): Eukaryota > Metazoa > Chordata > Mammalia > Primates > Hominidae > Homo > Homo sapiens. The sequence continues at coordinate 110,231,763 of NC_000005.10, forward strand.
TGAAAAAGAGGAAGTCAGATTGTCCCTGCCTGATGATATGATTGTATAACTAGAAAAATTTAAAAACTCTACCAAAATAGTCTTAGGTTTGATAAATAAATACCATAAAGTTGCAAGGTCCAAAATCAACGTGCAATAATTAGTAGCATTTCTATATACCAATAATAATCTACCTGAGAAATAAATAAGGCAATTCCCTTTACAGTAGTTAGAAACAATACCTAGGAAAAATTTTAACCCAGAATGTGTAAGATCTCTATTTAAAAATCCACAAAATACAGAAGAAAGAAATTGCAGATGACACAAAAGAGTGGCAAAATATCCCTTGATCATGTATTGCAAAAATGAATATCATTAAAATGATCATATTGCCCAAAGCAATCTACAGATTCAATTCAATCTCTAGGGAAACACCAACACCATTGTTAATATAAATTTTTAAAAACTAAAATTCATAGGAAGTCAAAAAAGAGACTGAATAGCCAATGAAGATCCTAAAAATGCTAGAAGGAAGTCTAAGAAAAACTCTCCTGGACATTGGTCCAGGGAAAGAATTTGTGACTAAGACCTCATAAGCACAGGCAACAAAAACAAAAATAGACAAATGGGACCTAACTAAATCAAAAGCTCCTGTGTAACAAAAGAAATAATCAACAGATTGAAGAGACAACTGTTGATTTGGAGAAAATATGTGCAAACCATTCATTTGACAGGGGACTAATATCACACATATACAAGGAACTTAAACAAGTCAACAGGAGAGAAATCAACAATCTCATTAAAAAGTAGGCCTAGGACATGAATAGACTTTCTCAAAAGAAGACATAAAAATGACCACAGGTATATGAAAAATGCTCAACATCAGTAATTATCAGAGAAATACAGGTCAAAAGCATAATGAGATATCATCTTACTTCAGTTATAATAGCCATTATTTAATAAGACAAAAACAAAACAAAACAAAACAAGAAAAACAAGAAAACCCCAAATCCAAAACAGATGTTGGCAAGAATGTGGAGAAAAAGGAACTCTTACACACGGTTGGTGGGAATGTAAACTAGAACAACTCCTATGGAAAGCAGTATGAAGATTCCTCAAAAAACTAAAAATAGAATTATCATTTGATCTAGCAATCTCACTATTGGATATCTATTCAAAGGAAAAGAAATTAATATATGAAAAGGGTACCTAAACTTGCTCATTTATTGCAGCACTATTCACAGTAGCAAAGGTATAAAAGCAACCTAAATGTCCATCAGTGAATTAATGGATAAAGCAAATGTGGCATATATACCAAATGGAATATTATTTAGCCATAAAAAATGAAATTATGTTATTTGCAGCAACATGGAAGTAACTGGAGGACATTATGTTAAGTGAGATAAGCCAGGTACAAAAAGACAAATATCATATGTTCTCACTTGTATGTGGGAGCTAAAAAATTTGATCACGTGGAGGTAAAGAGTGGAAACTTAGATCAAGAATTGGGAATGGTGAGTGGTGGTTGGGGCAAAGGTGGAGAAAAGTAGGTTAAAAGATACACAAACTTATATGAAAGTAATAAATTCAATTTCTGATAGCAGAGTAGGGTTACTATAGTTAACAAAAAATGTATTGTACTTCAGTGATGGACACCCTAAATATCCTGATTTGATCACTATGCATTATATACATGTAACAAAATTTCACTGTACCCCATAAATGTATACAAATAACAGTTAAAATAAAAGAATTGGAAACATATAAGAATAAAGTAGTTATGAAAATTGCATGGTATTTATGTTGTACATAATAAACATACACAATTTTTATTTGCCAATTACAAAATAGAATATAAAAATTAAAATAAATATTATCAAAAATATTTTTGTTATATATAGATTATTGGTTTTCAGAGAATGATATAAAAGCTATGAAGATTGGTTATTGAGACAATGACCAACGTAGGAATTGATAGAATAGAAGTGAAGTCAGCCAAAGCAAAATTTTAAAAAGGAAAGAAAGTTAACAGTGAATTGGCTGCAAGGTCACAAAGAATCATGATCTATTGTTGAACTGATACAATATACTCTACTCTTGCCTCTACCCAACTCTCACCCAACAGTATAGCTTCATGCAGAAAATGCACATGTGGTCTGCTTTAAATCAACATATTTTAAAACATATTATTCTTTAAAAAGCAATAATCCATATATAACAAAAGCAACCTTTTTGTTTATACTGTTTATTTTATTTTTGTTATTTTTGCCCAAATTCTAATGTTAAAAAGAGATTTTCAAAAATTATAAGAATTATCACCAACACTTCTGAAATTAGCTATCATCTACATGTAGAAAAAGCATGAGATCCTGTAACACGGAAAGGAAGGGGTATTGCCTGTGTGATTAGAAAAGTATCCTATTGTAAAATTTTTCATGGAAATCTGTCAAATCCAAGTCATTGGTTCCCATTTGTGAGCTATGGACTCTTGGGGGACTTTGCAGTTTTGTCCAATAGTTACTGAATTTATAGCTATGTTCAACTTTCTTGATGAACCAAAAATTTATCTTCCATATACATTTCTAAATATGTATGGATGCTGCAGGCATTCATAACATTAAAATTGACCTAAAATTCATTGTTGAAATCTTAGTAAGATTTGCCATTGTACAAGCTCCCAATCAAGAGACTCGAAAAGCATACATATTTTCATGTAGATTTCAACTATATTTTTATTTTGAAATGAATCTTCATATTTAAAAACTACTGACTTAGGCATATTTAAAACTACTGACCTTGGCAGTGCTACTAAGATATTAGACAGTGCCCACATTTCAGTTACTTAATTCATGAGTCAGAACGGTGTTAAAAGTTAGAGGGATGAAACCAGCAATTAGGTGTGTGGGGTAGTTTATCAGATACCTGGGATGTACCAAGTATTCTTATACAGCAATAGCAGAATGCAGGTTTATTGTTCTCTCACTCCCTGGGAGAGGTCTTTTTGGTCAGATGAAGAAAAAGAATAAAAATCTTCCTAGTCTAATAATACATATACATTCTGAAGAAGGCTGTCAGTATTAACATGAGAAATACTTGTTTTCTATGGGAAATTACACTCTGAACTTGCTAAGGCTTATTCAGTGATGTATAGGATCCAGAGGCCCTACTCCTCACCCCTCTAAACTGATGTCGAGAGTTTGGATTCTGGAGGTAATGCTAGTGGAAGGAGGGAGCAAAAAATTGCACAGATTGCTTGGAGAGAGAGAAAGATTAGGAAGGAATACAGACTCATAAATTTTCATGTGATATTGAATTTAATGAACTGAGAGGTAATTTGATTGAAAATGGAAAGAAATATTTGCACCAACATCTGGACTCCAAGATTTTATCATCATCCAGTAGCATTGTGGTAAGTAATATATTTGAAATGTTAACTCACGTTTTCTCTCCCGTTCAAGCAGATACTGGTCTATACATACTGCCACAAGGGAGAAATACAGAGCAGAAGGCACGTTGATTTTTAGCCTCTTTCTAGATTATATGTTCAAAAGCCCTTGGGCTTTAAGGTAATATGGACACAACTATGCAATGAATAAGCACCTGGGAACCAAAAATTTAAGGAAAGTGGATCTTCCCCTGGAAATTTAAAAATAATTTCCCAGTTAAAAAAATTACATAGAAGGTAACTGCTGAGATTAGAGTTGTGAATGGGTCCCAAAGAGGTGTGCTATTGGTCATTAGTGCTGCATATCCAATATATCTGCTTAACCTGCACCCCTATGTTAGGAAACATAGTAGGATTGTATTTCTTTTTTGGGGGGCGGGGGTGGCGCTTAAAACAGCACACCTTTCATTATTTTACAGCTTTTTAGCTCAGAAGTCTGAAATCGTTCTCGCTGAACTACGCTCAACGTGTTGGCAGGGCTGTGTTCCTTTCTGGAGGCTCTCAGAAGGAATCTGTTTCCTTGTCTTTTCCAGATATTAGAAGGCTGCCCCAATTCCTTGGCTCATGACCACTTCCACCAACTGCAAAAACCAGCTTTCATCCTTTTCAAAGCCAGAATTGGCTAGTTGAGTATGCCGTATCTCTGATTCTGAGTCCTCTGCCTCTCTCTTTTTCATTTAAGTATCATTTTGATTACATCGGGTCCACCTAAATAATCCAGGATATCTCTTTATTTTAAGGTCAGCTGTTTTGCAACTTCAGTTCCATCTGCTACCTTAATCCCCGATTGCCATGTAACATGACATACAGATTCCGGGAATTAGAATGTGGACAACTTTGGGGAGTAACTAAAATCTGCCTACCAAATACCTCCAATCCAAACTGTCCCTAAATTCAGACTCACATACCTAAAAACCTGACATCTTTTTTTTTCTTTTTTTTAAATTATACTTTAAGTTTTAGGGTACGTGTGCACAATGTGCAGGTTTGTTACATATGTATACATGTGCCACGTTGGTGTGCTGCACCCATTAGCTCGTCATTTAGCATTAGGTATATCTCCTAATACTACCCCTCCCCCCTGCCCCCACCCCACAACAGTCCCCGGTGTATGATGTTCCCCTTCCTGTGTCCATGTGTTCTCATTGTTCAATTCCCACCTATGAGTGAGAACATGAGCTGTTTGGTTTTTTGTCCTTGTGATAGTTTGCTGAGAATGATGGTTTCCAGCTTCATCCATGTCCCTACAAAGGACATGAACTCATCGTTTTTTATGGCTGCATAGTATTCCATGGTGTATATGTGCCACATTTTCTTAATCCAGTCTATCATTGTTGGACATTTGGGTTGGTTCCAAGTCTTTGCTATTGTGAATCGTGCCACAATAAACATACGTGTGCATGTGTCTTTATAGCAGCATGATTTATAATCCTTTGGGTATACACCCAGTAATGGGATGGCTGGGTCAAATGGTATTTCCAGTTCTAGATCCCTGAGGAATCGCCACACTGTCTTCCACAATGGTTGAACTAGTTTACAGTCCCACCAACAGTGTAAAAGTGTTCCTATTTCTCCACATCCTCTCCAGCACCTGTTGTTTCCTGACTTTTTAGTGATCACCATTCTAACTGGTGTGAGATGGTATCTCATTGTGGTTTTGATTTGCATTTCTCTGATGACCAGTGATGATGAGCATTTTTTCATGTGTCTTTTGGCTGCATAAATGTCTTCTTTTGAGAAGTGTCTTTTCATATCCTTTGCCCACTTTTTGATGGTTTTTTTTGTTTTTTTTCTTGTAAGTTTGTTTGAGTTCATTGTAGATTCTGGATATTAGCCCTTTGTCAGATGAGTAGATTGCAAAACTTTTCTCCCATTCTGTAGGTTGCCTGTTCACTCTGATGGTAGTTTCTTTTGCTGTACAGGAGCTGTTTAGTTTAATTAGATCCCATTTGTCAATTTTAGCTTTTGTTGCCATGCTTTTGGTGTTTTAGACATGAAGTCCTTGCCCATGCCTATGTCCTGAGTGGTATTGCTTAGGTTTTCTTCTAGGGTTTTTATGGTTTTAGGTCTAACATTTAAGTCTTTAATCCATCTTGAATTAGTTTTTGTATAAGGTGTAAGGAAGGGATCCAGTTTCAGCTTTCTACATATGGCTAGCCAGTTTTCCTTAAGCTGATAGGCAACTTCAGCAAAGTCTCAGGATACAAAATCAATGTGCAAAAATCACAATGATTCTTATACAGCAATAACAGACAGAGAGCCAAATCATGAGTGAACTCCCATTCACAATTGCTTCAAAGAGAATAAAATACCTAGGAATCCAACTTACAAGGGATGTGAAGGACCTCTTCAAGGAGAACTACAAACCACTGCTCAATGAAATAAAAGAGGATACAAACAAATGGAAGAATATTCCATGCTCATGGGTAGGAAGAATCAGTATCATGAAAATGGCCATACTGCCCAAGGTAATTTATAGATTCAATGCCATCCCCATCAAGCTACCAATGACTTTCTACATAGAATTGGAAAAAACCACTTTAAAGTTCATATGGAACCAAAAAGGAGCCCGCATTGCCAAGTCAATCCTAAGCCAAAAGAACAAAGCTGGAGGCATCATGCTACTGACTTCAAACTATACTACAAGGCTACAGTAACCAAAACAGCATGGTACTGGTACCAAAACAGAGATATAGACCAATGGAACTGAACAGAGCCCTCAGAAATAATGCCGCATATCTACAACCATCTGATCTTTGACAAACCTGACAAAAAGAAGAAATGAGGAAACGATTCCCTATTTAATAAGTGGTCCAGGGATATTTATAAGAGAAATGTAATTTTTAAAAAAAATGTGAATTGATAGCAATTCTTTCTGGTCTCAGATCTTTATTAAGGCAAAAGCATTGCAGCCACATGGAAGTTTGAGACCCAAACTTGTTTCACGTAAAAATGCCAACCACAGTGTTCCATAGAAAGACCTGGAGTTTTTAGTGCTTTTAGTTTTGTGGTTTCCTGATTTACAGTTGGACATTGTGCATAAATATGCAGCATCCTACATTCTTGATGAAAACAGCCTTTTCTGTTTTATTGGTCTGCATACATTGTGCTGAATTTCTCTACATGGGACAAAATTTATGTTGATAGCTGATACAAGGAACAATAACTTGAAAGGGTTTCTCCAAATGTAGCAGAAGTACTTGCTTTAATCATAGTTCCTGGTAGCTGAGCTGAGTAGATAAAATCATAAGCCAACAATATATTAATCACAATAATATGAACACTTAGAAAAAATAAATCAATTTAGGAAATTACACATTGCGGAGAACACTATTTTTCATGAGTTTCTACATAGAATTTCTATTTACCTTCACTCAAGAGACCTGTCATAGTTCAAAATGTCTTCAAAAACATACTTTAGGAATATACCTACAATCTTTTGCATAGTTTCCACTTTGCTTTCTAAGCATGTTAGACGGATGTTTTAGGCAAGTTTTGTGAAAACGACATTTAAAACTGGATTTTGTCCTATTCCATGTTTCACCTCAATTCTTGTTATAACTCTTTCAAGGAAGATATTGCTCAAGCCTTTTGGTAAAAACTTTATGTCACACTTCCTTTCCTTTCATCTTTCTTTCCTTCTTTATTCTGTTCTTATTTTTTCTCATCCTTCTTCTTCCTTCTCCACTTTCTTCTTCTTTAATGTTTCTGTTGAATACCCTCTAATGCAATAGGATTCCAAGCTGAGAAGGTTTCATCACTTTAAGTCTCAATGTTGACTTGTAATCTAGCATCATTGATATTGAGACTATTAAAATAGATTTATTCATCAAACAAAATTTATTGGCATGATCTGTAGGCAAGTCTCTGAGGTCAGCAGTGCTGGAAAACATAGAGCACATTTCCTGCATCCAGAGAATTTACAGATAAGTAGGTTGTAAAGGCAGGATAGTGGGAGAGACAGTAAGGTATATTGGTGAAGTTTTTAAAAATCACTTTCTTTCTTTTTTCTAAAGTGTTCCCTTGCCTCACCCACACACATAGGAAAAGAGCAGTCCTAAAGGACTTCATTTTTTTCTTGTTTGAAATGTCTTTGTTTGTAAATAGAAATTACCTTTCAATAAGTGTGAGTGTATATTAAAATCATTCTATTCATAATCCATTGGAGATTTAAAATATAATTTTCTAAACCACTTAAGGAGAAATTTTGAAAATCAGATATGCAATTATATGAAAACAGTGTTTGGATGGAAACATCACCATGAAGGACTAGTGTGCGTGAATGTGATGTTTCTCATTCTACCAGAGTTTTAACTATAGGAGCTGTAAGTTAAGTCTATATCGTGCAACCAGAGCAATAGTTTAAAAACTAGCTGGATTTCATGTTTCTTCTAGTGCATTTATTGAGAAATTGACCTGTTAAGAGGGCTAAAGTGGCTGTGTGGTTGATATAAATCAGCTTAAGGCCCAAAGTGAAATTTGAGCACACTGCCCTTAATTCTGACCCCACATAATGTTGACTCCACTTCCAAGTTCCCTTTAGTTTTTTGAGGTCGTTGGTAGTTTTCATTTTACTTTGTGCTGGTGAAGAGAGGTTTTCTGAACCAGCTCATTTTCAACATAGTATTCTTTTCAGATGCATAATAAACCCTATTTTTTTTTCTAAAACTAAACTCTTCATCCTGGCTTTCGAGGTTTTGTTGTGACTATCTGTGGTAGATATCTGGAGAGAGAGTTTGGCACTCAGCATTTATTCTTATGCCTTTTTCTGCTTTATCCTGTGGGCCAACGCTACAAGCCTGGGAACTATATTTTCCAGACAGCTTTTTCTTTAGTGTTCTGAATAGATTGGCCTTTTGCCTAGCAGATATAATTAGGCAAGATATGGAAAGAAGTAGGGAGATGGAAGCCATTTTGTTTTTACTCTGACAGTGGACTATGGGCTTCACAGAGATAAGTTTTATAATGATTTATTTTTATTTGCCATTAACCTAACACAGGTATGTGAAGGAACTTTGAAATTGTTGTTAATTTTCTGCAAGTTTTTAACCTCTAGATTTCAGTTTCTGACTCTGTCCAGGCCTTTCTATAGTTTATAAGCTTTTAATTCCCTGTATTATATCCTTTCCTGTTTTAAATACATAAAATGGCTTCAGTTTTTCTAACTGAACACTGACCATGTAATATAAACCCTCCTCTAAAAAAGATTCATCAAACAAAAGGCAGAACATGAACTGACACCATGCTTTGGTCCATTTCCTATCTTTCCCTTTGTTTTACCTATTCCAATCCATCTAGGTCTGCCTCCATGCAATATTTCCTGCTCCTGAGTCCCCACCATAGCCACAATTTTTAACTTTTTCAGTGGTAGCAGCTTATAGTAAACAATTTCTCAGTTTCAATTTTAATCCTCTTTTGTACTGCTATTTTAAAATCCTGTTTGTCTCTTTAGTATCTTCCATTGAATTGTAAGCTCTATGAGACCCGGTCTATTATTTTAGTTTTCTTTAGACTTGTTTCCAGAGGCAACACAGTATGAGATGCAAAATGGTTGTACTGAAAGCCAAATAAACAAAATTTGTGGTTTTGTTTTGTGGTTATAAAAATTATACACATTATTATACAACACTTGCAAAGTACAGACATATATAAAAAAGATAGAAAATATTCTTAATTTTCTAATTCAGAAATTATCACTATTAACAGTATATTTTATTCATAAATATTTAAATATAATTTGAAGTACATTAGATATAGGAGTAATGTTTTTTATATTTTTTCTGCAAACATTATAAAACAAATATTTGCCATCATTAAAAATTTCACATGAACATTGAGATGGGTTTACGGCACTTGATTATACAAATGTGCATCATTTGCTTAGCCATTTTTCTACTGCAGAATTTTGGGTTGTTTTTACATTTTTTGCTATAAGTAATGCTGCAGTAAAAATCATTGCACATAAACCTTGTTAGCATCGTAAAAAGTTCTCAGCATATTGTTTTCTTTTAAGTCTGTTTATTTTTTTTTATTATTATTATACTTTAAGTTTTAGGGTACATGTGCACATTGTGCAGGTTAGTTACATATGTATACATGTGCCATGCTGGTGTGCTGCACCCATTAACGCGTCATTTAGCATTAGGTATATCTCCTAATGCTATCCCTCCCCTCTCCCCCCACCTCACAACAGGCCCCAGAGTGTGATGTTCCCCTTCCTGTGTCCATGTGTTCTTATTGTTCAGTTCCCATCTATGAGTGAGAACATGCAGTGTTTGGTTTTTTGTCCTTGCGATAGTTTACTGAGAATGATCATTTCCAGTTTCATCCATGTCCCTACAAAGGACATGAACTCATCATTTTTTATGGTTGCATAGTATTCCATGGTGTATATGTGCCACATTTTCTTAATCCAGTCTATCATTGTTGGACATTTGGGTTGGTTCCAAGTCTTTGCTATTGTGAATAGTGCCACAATAAACATACGTGTGCATGTGTCTTTACTTAGAGGTTATGTATTCAAAACAAATAGTATTATAAGTAATTAGCAAAGAGCTATGGGAATGCAGAAGGGAAAGCAAGGAAATTTTTATGGGGTAGCTTTCTTCAGATAGTAATTTAGTAAATAAATAAATAAATGTATTAGTCTGTTCTCACACTGCTATGAAGGAATACCTGACTGGCTAATTTTTTAATATAAAGGAAAGAGGTTTAATTGAATCACAGTTCCTCATTGCTGGGGAGGCCTCAGGAAACTTACAATCATGGTGGAATACAAAGGAGAAGCACGCACCTTCTTCACAGGATGGCAGAATGGAGTGAGTGCAAGCAGGGGAATTGCCAGATGTTTATAAAACCATCAAATCTGATGAGACTCACTATCACGAGAACAGCATGGGGGAAACTGCCCCCATGATCCGATTACCTCCTCCTGGTCCCACCCTTGACATATGGAGATTATGGGGATTACAATTAAAGATGAGATTTTCGGTGGGGACACAGCCAAACCATATCAATGGTTGAATGAATTAGAGAAATAGTCCTTGAATTAGGCCATTCTCACATTGCTATAAAGTAATATCCAAGACTGGGTTATTTATAAAGAAAATAGGTTAAATTGGCTCATGGTTCTACCGGCTGTATTGAAAGCATGATGCTGGCATCCACTCAGCTTCTGGGGCGGCCTCAGGAAACTTACAATCATGGTAGAATGCCAAGGGGGAGCAGGCATATCACATGGCGAAAGCAGGAGCAGGAGGAGTGGGGGAAGTGCCACACACTTTTAAGCAACCAGATTTCATGAGAACTGACTCAATATCACGAGAACAGCACCAAAAGGATGGTGCAAAACCATTCATGAAAAATCCACCCTCATGATCCAATCACTTCCCACCAGGCCTCCCCAACATTGGGGAATACAGTTCAACATGAGATTGGGATAGGGACACATATCCAAACTATATTAGTCCTGTTGCAAATTCATTTAACCTATGGCACATATAAGTAAAATCGTTGAATGTTGTATTTAGAAATGTACTTTATATCAACATGTGTCATTTATACATACATGATTAGTCTTATTGGTTGCATTCCTTGAAACATGCCGTTTCTTATACTCTATCTTGCATCTATTATTGATTTTGAAGCTTTTCTTTCATAAAATAATTGATCAAAATCTGGTCCATATTAACACTGTCAAGTTGGAATCTAGGCAAGAAAATTATTTCACTTTCCATTTTAATTTAAGAACAAATCACTTTACTTCAGTGAAATCCAGAATAAGGTTATACTGGTGGCCCTTGGAAGACAAGTAAGCAGCACTTTGATACTTTGGTCTACCTGAGTAGAAGCAGATTGCATGAAAGAAAAGTAGGAAGGCAGCACCATGGAATACTGATGTGCGCTAATGCAAATGTTCTTGGCTGAAATAGAATCATTTTGAGAATTAATCATTTTAGATGACTGCTCTCAGGACTGTGGCCTAGCTGAGCAATATGATGAGATCATTTTTCAAATGAAGAAGTTGCAGCAAGTGAACAAAGACAGCTATTTTCAAGTTAGCCTCTGGGCAGTCAATTCGTAGAATTGGCGTTTAGCATATTGGACACTAATGATTTCTTTTTACCATGTTGGTGCTTATAAAAATGGAAAACCGTACCACCTACCAATATAATAGAAGGAAAATAAAAGTCAGATTTTATATAATAAAGGAAATCAATTTGCTCTGCTGAACAATCCCTAGAACTTCAGCACTCAGGATGCTCAGAGATAGCTGAATTATTTTTAAAAAAATCAGAAAAGGAAGCATTTTTAAAATTACCGCAAATTCAATGAATAAGATGCCTTTCAAAAAGTATTGCAGAAGAAAATCTTGAAGGAAGGAAAGCACAACGTAAAATAATGTTGGTTAGGTAATGAAATAAGGTTTCACCTTACAGAAACTTCTAGATGGCCTTCTCTTTTATTTGGCATGAGTGATTAATAACTGGTTCTGCCCATAATTTGTCATCTCCCACACTGGGCTCTCAGCACCCTGATGTATGTGCAGTCCACAGAGCTGAAGAGGTGGTGTCTATCATAGCTTTTGCTTTGGCACTGGATCTTGACAGGAACAGTACTCAAGACAGAGTGTGTATTCTCTTGGTGCACAGTGTTGAGTGACCTAGGATAGATACATGGTAATCTACCAAATATGCATTAATAATGGGTCGCAAATGAGATTTTCATTCTTGAAGACAATCAGAAGCGTTTAAGAAAATCACTTAATATAAGTCTGACATTGTTTTAAGTATGTGTGTTAATTCATTTAGTCCTCACAACAACCATAAGAGATAAGTACTAAAATGATCCCCTACAGATGAAGAAACTAGGAACACACATAAAAACATGTAGAACTCAAGGAATTTTCCTCAGTCCCAGAACAGAGAATTGAACCTGAGAGTTGAATTTTCTGGGATTCAATATAACACCCTTTTCCTTGAAATATCTTTGATGGCTTCCCAATGCTGTGTAAACTAAATCATTACTAGTCTGGTCCTGTCTCATCACCTGCTACTGCCCCATACATTCTATATTCTAGGCACTCAGATTATTCACCATTTCCAAAATGCTATTTGACTCATCTTGTCCTCATTTACCTGATGTACACTTCGTCTCTTTATTGTTTGGCATATTTCAGCTTCAAAGCTTGATTGTAATATCTACTATTTCTAAAGTCAATATAGACATAATTGCAAGAGAAGGTAATTATTCCTGTCTCAGTTCTCCAGTAGCCTTTATTCCTTGCTCTGAATGGCAGTAATCATGTTATATCATTCAGAATTTTGCTATCTTTCAAATGGTGTTCCTTCAGAAGAGTAACAGAAACAATGTGCTACTCGTTTTGTTAATATCACTCATCCATAGCAGAATGTATGATATCTAATATGTACTTGATAGGCTTATGTTGAATTAATAAATGCAAATAAATTATTGGCAGCATAAATGATTATCAAACATCAGAAGAGTAGAAACATTATCAAACACATTCAAAATAAATGGTAATTATTTATCTAAATGTAAAGATGATATCTGTGTGGTGTGATCTAATTAGCTGTTACTATTATATATAACATCTGGAGAGGGTAAACTGCTAATATACCCAGGATTAGCCGTAGGACATTTTTCCTAGAAAAACGTCTCCAATTTTTGCTTCACTTCTACCTTCAACTTTTGCTGTTGCCTTTGTGTTACTCTGGTCTGGTCATTTTTCATAGAAATCATGGACCATGAGGTCAGAGGAACAGCTGCTGGTGAAGGATCAGCACTCATTTCTTACCCTTTCCTCCCTCACAAGTCTCTAATTCCCTGTGATGTTTAATTGATCCTTCCATAAATATTTATAAGCAACTTCTACCTGTGAAACAGTGTTCCAGGGGCACAGAAAAGTATTTAGAAAGATACTCTTCCTTCCCTCGTAGGGTAGGGGGAGTAAGCATGAGAAAAGCAAGCAAATAACCACTGTTTTAAAGTCTTGGTTTCTCCACTTTCACTCTCCTGATTCCACTCTTGCTGAGACCAGTTGCTAAGCCTAGAAACTTTGGTTGTGATCAATAATAGTGAAGGTATTACCCAAGAAGTCAAAATCACGTTGAGCAAAAAGAACAAAGCCAGAGGCATCACTCTGCCTGAGTTCAAAATCTTCTACAAAGCTAAAGTAATCAGAACAGCATGGTATCAGCCTAAAAACATATAGACTAATGAAACAGAGAACCCAGTTATAAACTCATGAACTTATAGCTAATTGATTTTTGACAAAGATCCTAAGAACACATAATGGGGACAGGACAGTCTCTTTAATAGCTTGTGTTTGGATAACTGGATATCCTCATGCAGAAGAATGAAATTAGATCCTTATTTTACCCCATATTAACTCGAAATGAATTAGAGACTTAAATGCAAGACAGGAAATCATAGGACTATTAGAAGAAAACATAGGAGAAAAGCCTTATGACACTGCTCTGGGCAATGATTTTTGGGGGTTATGACCCCAAAAGAACAAGTAAATGAAGCAAAACCAGACAAATGGAGTTACATCAACTAAAAAGCTGCACAGCAAGGGAAACAATCAACAGAGTGAGGAGACAACCTAAAGAATGGAAGGAGATATTTTTAAATCATACAATTGATAAAGAATTACTATTTAAAATACATAAGGAACTAAAAAATTCAGTAGCAAGAAAACAACTCAGTTAAAAATGGGCAAAGGATCTGAATAGACATTTCTCAAAAGAAGACATACAAATGGTCAATCACTATATTTAAAAATGCTTAAAATACTAATAATTAGGGAAATGCAGATTAAAACCACAATGACATCACTTACACCTGTTAGAATGACTATTATCAAAAAGACAAGAGGTAACAATTGTCAGTGAGAATGTGGAGAAAAGTGAACCCACACACACTGTTGGAAGGAATGTAAATTGGTATAGTCATTTCGGAAAATGGTATAAGAGGTCCTCAAACTAACAATAAGATTACCATATGATCTAGCAATCCTACTTCCGGGTAGATATCCAAAGGATATAAAATCAGAATGATGAAAAGACAGCTGAACTCCTATGTTCATTGAAGCATTATGCACAATAGCTGAGATATGGAAATAACCTAAGTGTCCATCAAACGATAAATGGATTAAGAAAGTGTGGTATATATACACAATGGAATACTATTCAGCCTTACAAATTAAGGAAATTCTATCTCTTGTGACAACGTGGATGAACCTGAAGAGCATCATGTTACATGAAATAAGCCCAGCACAGAAGGACAAATAGTGTTTGATCTCACTTATACGTGGAATCTTAAAAAGTCAAACTCTTAGAAGCAGACAGTAGAATGGTATTGCCATAGGCTGAGAGATGGGGAGATTGGGGAAATGTTGGTCAAAGAATACAAATTTTTAGTCAGACAGAATAATTTCTAGAGATCTATTGTATATCATGGCAACTAGACCTAATAACAAAATGTTGTATTTTAAACATTGCTAAGAAAGCAAATTTTATGTATTTGACCATAAAATAACAATAAGTGCATTAGGTAAGACATATGTTAATTAGCTTGATTTAGCCTTTCCACAATGAATCAAAACATCATGTTATACATCATAAATAATACAATTTTCATTTGTCCATTAAACAACAGCAAAACAGAGTGAAGGGATTCTGAGAGGGGACTAGTAAGGCTAGGGTAATAGGTGAAATGAGTAGAAAGCAATGAGGCAAATGCCTGCCTAGCAAGGAGAAGAAATGGGGAAATTCTGCCAGAATATATACATACTTTCCTCTAACAAAAGTATTCATATCACTTTGAGAGTAGAGAAACACAAAAAGCAATAAATAAATAAATAACAATAAAAGCATATAGTACTTATCATGCAATACTGTTCTAAGTATTCAGCATATATTAACTCATATAATTTTTATAAACCTCATAAAGTAGATGGTAGTATAACCTCCATTTTATGGGTGAGAAGACTGAGGTACAAAGAAGCTACATAAGTCAATAAGGGACAAAGCTAGGATTTGCACCCCGGAAGTATAGCTCCAGAGTCCTTGTTCTGAATTACTAAATGAAACTCTCTTAACAAAATACTTTAAGTAAAAACTGATGTAAATTATCTTACTACATTACAGGAAAATCAAGTGCTCTGAAAGCGCTTGATTGCTTTGAAAGTTGGCCCAGTTAAATTTTAATTATTATGAATTGATTTTCTGGTATATAGATTATTGAAATGTTTCAGTTTTTCTTCCTCTCTATGGACAATTTTTGGCTCTGTTGATATACCTTGTATGAAAGAGAACAAAGAGGAAAAATGAATTGCACCATTTCATTAGGCCTAACCACTCAGTGTTCCTCCATGTCTTGATGCCAGGGAAATTTTAAAATTTAATGCTATATATGTAAAGCAATTTTCCATAGAAATGTATGTAGAATTTATTAATAGAATTCCAGATGGTTACCAGGGTGGACTATAGGGAGAGAGGGGGAGTTGATGATGCTGAAGATGATTCTCACATAGGAAACAGGCACTAAGGTTGTGACATATCAGCTGTGGTAGGGAAATAGATAAACTTCCAAAGTAAAAGCATATAGACCTTTACTACAGAATAAATATGACTATTAGAGAAAAATTAGTCTTCATAATGGGTTAGAAAAGGGGTCAACAAACTTTCTCTGTAAAGGCTCTGTGGTAAATATTTTAGGGTTCTGGGCCACATGGTCTCTGTCAAAACTACCTGCTCAACTGTGCTTCTGGAGCTCAAGGCAGCTAGAGACAATACCTGAATGAATGGGGGTGGCTATGTTCCAGTAAAACTTTATTTATTAAAATAGGTAATGGGACAGATTTGGCCTGTGGGCCATAGTTTGCTGATCCCTAGTTTAAAGCCATAGGTGAAAAAGCCAATTGCCACTAAAGAGTGTAATTCATCTTCTCACCATTTACTATGCTTCTTTTAAACGCTGCAGAATAAGAAGACATTGGTCAGGGTTCAAAGGAGAACTTCTCTGGTTAGAAATCCAATAAACTTTACCTTGAATAGAAGTGTTAGGATGGATGCTGGAAATAAAAACATAGATAAAGTGAAGAAGAATGGCCTGAAGTCCAGGAAAAGATGGGGAAAAGCAGATAAAGAAGCAACTTTCTCATTTGAGGGCTTAGAGCCTAGGACTCCAACCATCAGGTGTAGGGGCCAGGGAAGATGCAGAACAGTGGCCTCACAGTCTAAGGCCTGTGACTCCAAAATACTTCTAGGGAGAGAAATGGAGGCTGCTGCTGAAGTCTCCAGGGTAGCTGCAAGGCCATCCCTTATCTGTTCTAGGATAAAAGAGTGACATGATAGAGGTCAGAAAAATTTCTGGGGCTTGGGTGTCTGGTAAATGTGAGGCTAGGATAACTTACTTACCTTAGGATATAGAATCCATATTATATAGACTCATTGGTTTCTATGTTTTGTGCTTTATCTTTACAGACTCGTTGGCTTCTATGTGTTTTGTGCTTTGTCTTTATCTCATTAAAAAATGTTTTCCTAAGGTTTTTTAAAGGATTATTTTGGAAAAATGTCAAGTTCCACCTTCTCTAGGCATATCTTTGCCTAGCCTCCTTTTTGTCAAGTACCACTGCCTGCATTCAGGCTCTCTGGTTTCTAGCACAGTTATTGGTCAAATTCGTCAGTGTGTCTAGCCATAGCCTTGAATGTTCTCCTCCAGGCTGTAATATATCTAATATGTGAAATCTGACCATGCCATTTCTTTGTTCAAAGTCCTTTGGTGGCTTCCAACTATGTACAGAAAAAAAGTCCAATGACCTTAAAATGGAAAAAAATTCCTTCACTATTTTTTTTCTGCTTATCCAGGATCTCTTTGCCAATTATAGTAATGTGTCACGTGATGATGTTTTGGTTAATGACAGACCGCATATACAACAGTGGTCTCATGAGATTATAATACAGCTGAAAAGTCCCTATCATCTAGTGACATCATGCTGTCATACATTGTAGCGCAAAACATTACCTTTTCTATGTTTCCATATGTTTAGATACACAAATCCTTACCATTGTGTTACAGTTGCTTATAGTATTCAGTACAGTAACACACTGTATAGGTTTGTAGCCTAGGAGCAGTATGCTATACCATATAGCCTAGGTGTGTAGTAGGCTATCCCATCTAGGTTTGTGCAAGTATACTCTATGATGAAGTATACTCTATGATGTGCAAGTATACTCTATGATGAAATCGCTTAATGGCACATTTCTTAGAAAATATCCTCATTGTTAAGAGATGCATGCTTGTATTTCTCTGAGCTTCGTATTTGAGCAACATCAAATGATTGTTAGTTTCCTGCTATGCTGAACTATTTCTTCTCTCTGTACCTTTGATCATGCCAAAATCCTTCTTCCTTTACAAGTCTGCCTGACCCTCATCCATACTTTAAGACACAGATCCAATTACTTTCTCCCAATATGTGCACATTCTCTGACTGTGTTAATAAAATATACAATTTCCTTACCTTCTCCTCCACTGGAGTGTCATCAGGGTCTGTTTTCTTGTGTCTGTAGCACAGGGATTGGCACATATTAGATACCTTTCAAATCAATAACAAATGAATAAATAGGCAGGATAACAAGGTGAGAAGAATGTTTCCAGGGGAAAGGTTCAAAATGGGGAAAGAGGAGAGAAGTCAAAACATGGGGACAGAGAAACAAATACAGCACACGTACTAATTGCTTTGAAGCTAGGATGAGTTGTGGACTAAAACAAATGCAGGCTAAATACATAAGAAAAATATAAGCCATTCCACATAGTTTCTTTGTAATTATTTTTGGGGAAAAATGAAAAATATGAGTTTGTATATTGCGTTTTAAGGTGATCTGGGCATTTGTATGACCCTTGAGCAAAACAAGTATTCATAGGAATGTACACCTAATTTTTTTCCCTGTCACAATTTATAGCCTTAACTTTTAATGATAGCCTCTGCACTTGGATCTGCAGACATTCAAAACAATGTGCTTGGGCATTTTAATGTGCAGAAAAAATATGTAATGACATGTATACAATGGATGAATTTTTAAGTCTTTTCTACACTTACGTAGCATGATGTAGTCACATTAGCTCATTACCATGGTGATAAATAGTTGGTGATGCTATCCCTAAAATTTCCTGCACAAAGCCAATAAAAATATCCACAATAACTATTTATTGTTGGTTATGCCTGGGATGCTTGCATTTCACATGCTAAGCACTTTACATGCATAATTTTAACTAATCACAATAGCTCTATGATACAAATTAGGAATCTCAGGCACAAGGCCACTCAGCAGCAGAGAAAGGATTCTGACTCCAGTGACTATGCCCTTTATCATCACACTATGCATTTGCTCTAATTTATTCATTCCTTATGTCTTATGTTCCGATGATTTTAATCCACAGAACATACCTTCTGTGGGATCTGCACACCTACTGGAAATAGCATGGTCTGTTCAATTCCAACCCTCCAGCTGACTGTGTAAGACAGTTCCTAGTTTCAAGCTCAGGCTCAAAGTGTAGCCTCTTTTATGAGATTTCTGGCAGCAAGCTGGTGAAAGAAAGAATTCAAAATCATTTCTTTTGTTGAGAGAGACACATCAAGTAGCTGGGAGGAGGTGAGGCTGCCTGTCTGACAGAGTTCCATTCAGCCTGTAGTCTACTCTCTTGGAGGGCAGCACTGAAGTCTTCCCATAATTGCCTGCCTAGAGGGTGGAACATGGGATGTGCAATGTCACAGCAAATGAAGGCATGCTGAACCCAATACTGCACATCAGGGAGATGGCTCAGGGATTAGTGAGGCACCCTTACCCATTTTCTCATTTTGTTTGATTCAAAGAAATACTGCTTACAATATACAATAATAACCTATGGCTTAAAGTGCTTTCTTCTGACAGCACATATTAGCACATGATTAGAGTTGAAAACTGAGAAACCAATCCTTCTTCAGCTGTGACCTACAGTGTGAAATGCAGTTGGATAACCTTCCTGAGGACCTACCAGAAAGCAAGAATGCACTGTATTAAGTACCTATTAGAAGTTCAGTGTGAATTTTTATGATTTGGATATCAGTGTGAATTTTTATGATTTGGGTATCAAGAACAAAGTTTCAGCTTAACATAAGCGAAACAATGAGCCATGCACAAGACAAGATAATGCCTTTCAGTGCTTAAATGGCTGGCAGAAACTATAGCTATCGAGACCATAATGAGATGAATGATGGCTGGAATGGTCAGGCACAGTGAGCATTTGCTCTTCCTTTCCACAGTCTCCTCATTTTACCTCTTCTGACATGATGCAGGTTTTGCTCTGAGAAATCATGCATCTCCCCTGTCAGGCCATTTAGTTTGGTTGATGACTAAGACAGAAATGTGTCCACAATTGAATTAGGGCCAATGAGGATATCTTAAAAAATATTCCTAGGTTTCCTGTAGTTGAAGACTCACTTATACAAGGACTTTTCAATTAGGTGAAACAATATATTATCTTTTTCTTAAGCCACTTGGCACTGGGTTGCTTGCTACTTGCAACCAAAAGTTTTCTCACTTGGATTCTTTTGTTTCTATGTAGGGTGCCATAGACTTCTGCTTCACAATAGGGCACAGTAGGCGCTGGCAAGTAATGCTCCTACTACAATAGCTAGAAGCAGGTAAATTACAAAAATCACATTTTTCGCTGCATGAGAGAGCAGTGCAAGTAACAGAGTTGAGATAAACTAATTCCTTAGAGAGGAGAAGTGAGTTGACTACCTCCAGCCATTTTTCAACCTGGGCCATCTGCCAATTTTTGGTGTGACCCAAGGGCTAGTTGAGCTGAAGCAGCAGGACTCTGCTGGTGGCAGGAGGAACCATCAAAGCTTTAAGCAGTCAACTAGGACTAGTGTGGCAAATTGGAAACTTGAGACTCAAATGCTTGTTTTCCTCAAGGAACATTTGCTGGAGTTCCAGAGGGGCTAAACCAGAAGCTTCTAAATGCAGAATAAAATATTCAGAGTCTGTTGGTGTTTGAGAAGAAAGATCTGCCAATAAGGGAGCTAGCATCAAGAGCGTCACCTGTCAGCAACTCAAGACGTTTGTTAGCAGGCTTGAGTCATTTACTGAAACTTAAAAATAGCAGAGATGGAAAAAAGTGTACTTGTCTGGGGCTCAGCAGACAGAGACTTAGCAGGGTTCTAATGAACAATCAAGGAGGCTAATTCCTTTGAAGCAGTGAAATCAGAAATGGACTAAATATTACAAATATTGCAATCTAGTTTTGTCTCAAATTAATTTCTAACTCAATTGAGATGATAATTTCTTTATGATATTCACTTAAATGTGGTGAGAACATTGGAGATAAAATGATTGGGACCATGTATGGTTCTTTTATTCATTGTATTTGGCATACGATAAAAAATTAGTAGACCTGTGAAGAGGGAAGATGGAAGAAGGTAGAAAATAGATGTTAAATCACAAATCTAGGTAAAAGAATTATCAGGTGAAGTATTTAGAATAACTATAAATAATATGTTAAAGAATCGTAGGAAAGGACCAAACAGATGAAAGGATATCTATAAAAATCGAATAAAGAACTAAGAAATATACAATTTTTAAAACTGAAAATTAAATGTTTGGGCTTACCAGTAGCAGCCTGGATGTAATAGAACACAGAATTAGTTCAGAACAGGTCAGTAGAAAACATACAAAATGACACAAATATGGGCACATCATAATAAATTTGGTAAAAATAAAGAAAAGGAAAATAATCTTAAAAGCAGAGAAACAGTCACCTTGCCTTCAAATAAAGTGAAATGAAATTCTTAGCCAACTTCCTTACAAACACAATAAAAGCCAAATAGTAGTAGAATAATATCTTTAAAGCGTTGAATAAAAATAACTGCAAAATTAGAATTACATACCCTGCAAGAATATCTTACAACATAACTGGAATGTTTTCACACAAAGGCTAAGAGAACTTTTTTCCAGTAAGTCTGCAGTAAAAGGAAACCTAAGTAGAATTCATCAGCCAGGGGAAGATGATCACAGATAGAAACAAAAGCAAGAAGGAATGAAAAAGACCAGAAAGAATGAAGAATAAATAAATCACAAATACATAGAGATACACAGATATAGATATGAACCTTGATAATATATTTATATATCAACATTGCTTCTACAAAACAACAATTTTGTCTGTGGAGTTTAATTTATATGTAGAACTAAAATGACTAAATAACTAAAACAATAAAAGGAATATAAAGTCCTAAGGTACTATAAAATGGTATATGTAATAACCTGTGTTGGACTATGTAATTCAAGGGTGTGTTTGTAATATTTATGGATGCTGCTAACAGAATATTATAAGAATATGTTTAATGCATAATAGAAAATATAGAGAATAAACACATGATTTAACCAAAGTAAATTAACAAAAGAAGAAAAGGAACCAATAGGAAAAAGTGGGAAATGAGTAAGATGGAAAATATAAACCAAGCTAGTGTTAGAAATTAAATATAAATGGAATAAATTCTCCAATGAAAATCTAAGATATTGAGACTGAATAATAATTAAAAACCCTTTTATGCTGCTGACCAGAGACACACATTACTTACAAGGCCATAGTAAGTTTTAAAGTAAGAGGTCAGAAACATATGTTACTTTACAAACACTGATCAAAAGAAAATATCTGTATTAAGAGACAAAGTGACAATATTAGTAAGAAGCAGGGATATTGTATAATAAGGTTAATCCAGGAAAGATATCCTCATTTTTCATTTGTATAGAGCTAATATCTTAGCTTTAAATTAGATGAAACACACAAACAAAAAACAGAGCTAAAATCACATGTGAAAATTCCTACAATTAAAGCTGATTTTAAAAGCTGACAAAAACTAAGTAATAGTATAGATGATCTGAACAACAAAATTAATTAACATGACCTTACTGACATATATAGAACACTTTATAAAATTTAAATTACTGTCATGTGCACATGATAAAATCGATTATATGTTGTGCCAAAAAAAGCCTCAAAATTTTCAAAAGGTTAAAATTATTGTTTTATTCATACATTGGAATTTAGTTAAAAATCGCTAACATGCACATATTCAAGAAAATCTCAAGCTCATTGAAATTAAACAAAAAACTTTTAAGTAACCCATGGGTAAAACATGCAATCAAAAGGGAAATTAGAAAATAATTTAGAAAATATTTTTAATGGAATGACAAAAGATATTAGCATATCAAAACTTTTAAAATGAATCTCAGTGCTTACAGGAAAATTATTAGCTTAAATGCATTTAAACAAAATAAAAAAGGTAAAAATAAATATTTTAAGCTTTCATTTCAAGAAGCTGGAAAATAAAGAGCAAATAAAAAATTGTATAAAATAGAAAACAAGAAATTATAAAGGTAAGGGCACAATTAAATGATACAGAAAGATGATTTAGTAAAATAAATATTTTACACAGAGAAAGAGTGAGGGAGAGAGGAAAGTGTCAGTACAGATTTTATTTTACAGATAAAGAAGATGTTATGGACTTTCAGCAAATAAACTTGATAATTCAAATTAAATGGACAATTTCTATGAAAAAATACCACATAACCCAAACTGACAAAAGTAGAAATTAAAAATCCAAATAACCTTTTATCTGCTAAGGAAAGAAATCTGGTATTAAAAATTCCTTTTCAAAGAAAACTTTAGACTCACATTACTTTATTAGTGGGTTATTCTATTCACTCCAAAAAAAAATAACACTCAACTTGGACAAACTCTTCCCAAGAAAATATAATGAAGGATCAATTTCTAATACTTTTTATGGGGTCAGCTTACTTGATTTCAACTCTTAAGAGAGAAAAACTACAGACCTATTTCTGTCATGAACATGGATGCAAAAATCTTTAACCGAAATTAGCAAATTCAATCTAGTAATATATTTAAAAAACACAATACTTTACAATCACATGCAGCTTATCCCAGATATGTAGGGTTTGTTTACAGCTTGAAAAATCAATCTGTCTACATTAATAGAGAAAGAAAATTTACATGATTGTTTCAACCTAAACTATACTCTGATTAAATCATGCTAAAGAGCACTAACTCTTTAGTTAGGGATGAATGCTTCTTGACCTTGAAGCATTAACATGAAGAGGAGCTCCTGTTTCCTGCCCTACTACGCTTTCCCACTGGGGATGTTGCAGATGGAATTCCAGCATTGAGTCAGGTTCTACAAGAAGAAAACAAAGCTGGCTTTTAACTCACTGAGCCCATGATTCACATTTTTCATCAACAACAAATTGAATTATAGTTTATCAACTTCCACATGTGCTTACAAGTATAGTCCTAACTTTAAGAGAATTTCCACTTCAAAGAAGTAGGTAACAGTTATCAATTTGATAGTAGTTGCCCAAAATAGTAGAGGAGACTTTTTTAAAAATGAACCATATATGCTGTTAACATAAAGACTATAATTTCCCTCACTGTTGATTTATCCAATGAAACAAATAAACAAAGAGACAATATAGCACAAACCTTAAGAAGATGAGCTTTGTCATCAAAACAGTTCCTCTTGTTTGGGTTCTTGCTTGGCTTTGCATTAGTTGTTCTCTAACCTTTTGGATTCTCAAATCTTTTTTTGCCTTAGCTATTTTATAAGGGAGATCTGGGTCCTAGTGACCTCTATTACCTATAGTTTCTTACAAATCAGTGAAACGCCCCTCTCTACAGAAAAATCCCCCAAGTATTTTTTATCTGTAAGATGAGAATATTAAAAATAACTTACTCATTGAATTGTTATGAAAATTTAAGAGATCATTTGAGTCAACTTTTAACACAGTGACTGGAACTTATTATGTGCTCAATATTTATTAACTGTTACATGAAGAGGATTATTATTCCCATTTTCTTTCTTGTAAATATTCAGAGAAGCATAATTCTCACCATCTCAGAAATATTGCAGATATTTTGATTTGGCTCTGGTAACCACTATTGACTTTCCCAACAAATATTTTCTTTTTTACTCTTGGGTAAGTTTGTAAATTAAAGACCCTGTCATCTTGCTGGCTTCCTTACTTAATCCAATGGCCAAGCCTTTCTAAAGCACAGTGAGATTGACCACAATAGCAAGGTTTCCCTTCTGCTTGAATCTAATTAGATTTCTAACAAATGAGAACAAAATGGAAAGGGTGTTAATTAGTTTTTATTGCTTTTCCTTGGTGGTTACAGGGATAAAAGCAGGCTTTTATTTAGAATAAAAGCAGGCTTTTATTTAGAATAAAAGCAGGCTTTACATGTGGCCAGGAGCTGGGTGGATGGCAGATCACTGCGGGAGGGTTTTATAAAGGCCAGTTTCTCCATGGGCCAGAATAATCCCCAGTCTGATAAAGAGGCAAATGTAAAAGCAGTTCTGTATAGAGGAATCTGATCTTCTTTAATGAACCCCTTAGTGTGATGTTTGTTTCCTCTAATCGGCCTTATCTTTATGCTTTAATATTTATTATGATTTATAGGCTCAGCAAATAGTAGGGTGAAATGGGCTATTTGATTACAGAGGAGAAGAAATCTTCCTGGTGACTCATGGTAGAGATTTCCCATTTCTAGAAATAGTGAGAAAATTTTTTATGAAACTCTAGTTAAATTCTAATCTTAGCTCAAGTAATGTGGTTTGAGATATTATCAAAATTTAGGGTGTATTACCTGGTAGAAAATCTTTTTGCCCTCTTGGGCATCTGCCTGAGCTGATAGTGCTGGAAGTCTGACTTTGGAGGATATGATACCATTCATAGCGGAATGATCCCAGTAAAATAGTCCATAATTATCTGTAGGCTCTGCCAGATATTTTATAATTTCTGGGGGCAGCAGGAAGGAATGTTCCTTTCTCAGCTACATTTCCCATCCGCTGCTGCAAGAAATCCCTTCACCCAACAACACAAACCCTCATTCTAAAATAAGATGTTTAAAATGGCAAACACTCCTAACATAGGTAACATGTTGACTTACATTTAACCTAAGTTATAAATGTCTGTCTGCAGAAAACTTCTGAGACCATTTTTTAGCTATGGATGGTCTATAGGAGCTGGCAGTAAGTAGAGCACCCTCAAGGGAAGAAGACATTAGTCTGTCGTAAGGAAAATATTTATCATTTAGTTTCATCCAGTGTTAGTCTCTACATTGCCTAAAATATTATTTTTCAAAGTTTTGGAGTGCTTTAAAAATTCACATTTCTGGGGCCCCATCACGCTTGATGTATGAATCAAGTCTCTGGTGGAGGTGGGCAACATACAGGAATCTGCATTTGTCTAAGTTCCCATATGATCCTTTGCACATTCAAATTTGAGAATCTCCATCTTGGGTTAATTAACTCTATGAGAGTCCACACATGATTGGGCACAGTCATGTAAAAAGAGGGTACCACACAGGACTGCTAGGGTAGGCTCAATTTCTCACTCTGCTTGCCAGCTTGGGAGGGATGCCATTTAGGAGGCTAGACTTGAGCAGCCACTCTTGACTCTGCTCTTTGCATATTTATAGCTCCTAGCATGACTCAAACCAGACATCAGCCCCTTCATCATTTAAATATTTTTTTCCAGACTCTCTGCCCACCGATACTTTTTTCTTTCCAAACCATTTGACTTATTAATGCTACCCTGAAGAACATGCAGCAATTGTTTGCAACACCCAGGAAAACACACACTCCTCCCCGCAACACCACAAGCCACCATGTTAGGAATATGAGATGATTAATTCTTGCTACTCCCATTCCTATTACACAGCCTAGTGTTCATATGTCCTAATAAAAATAAGATGTCATCGTCATATCCACCCTTTCCATTATACTTGCAGGTGCAGGTGCCGTTTGTCTGTGAATCTTTTCAGTAACAGCCACGGGGTGCTGCTCCGGAGTCCAGCTCTCGTCTTTGCTTTTGTACTAGCTGGTTTGCATGCATTCAACCCTCAGTGGCCCATAGCACTGCTCTCTGAATCTTCAGTCCCAGTTCTAAAGCTTTCTCTGAAGGCCGAGAGAGAGAGAAAGAGACCCTTAGTGGCATCTCTGCCTTGCTCCCAGCTCCTTTTCTTTCCATCCCCCATCTCTCATGCTGACTTGTTATTTTTGTCTTTCTCAGGAGTTATGAGCTTATAGGGATCACTCCTTAGTGTATTCAAGCAGGCTTTGGAGGAGGTCACTTTAGCTGAGGTGAGTCTGGCCTTGGGAATAAGCACAAACCTTAAACACTGGTCTAAGGGGATGCCAGGCCTGTAGCATGGTCATTTCATGTCACAGGCCAACTGACTAACAGGTTGCCACTGCAGCTGCAGCCAGAGGAGCTTGGCTGGCTTCGGTAACAGTCTCCCCAGAGCCGCTGGAATCTGCAAAGTGCCTCCTCAGTGCCTCTGATGTGAAGGAGACCATTCCACATGGGGAACCTTTATTCTTGTGCCTCATTAGGCTGTACAATAGCTGACAGATTGCACACACCAGCTGCCCCTCCCTGCCCCATGTCCTGACAGTATAAGGGCAAGCCATAAGTGGTCTGACTCATGCAGGCTTTACAAGGCTCAGAGAAAGAGCAATGTTACAAGTCAGAAGGATGAGAGCAGGTTTCACTTTGTGCACAGACAGCATTTTAAAATGGATAAATCTCTCTTCATTATGTAGCTTTTCAAAAGGAGAGGTAAAAGGCACATGCACAGAAATGGATCTTTTGAGTTTGTATATGTGTAAAAGGACAAAGAACTATAAAAATTGTATTCCTCTCTTTTGCCAGACCAGGGATATCAGCTCTGCTCCAACCCCATGAGGTCAGAGGCAGCAGTGTTCCGTGCCATCCCCTCCCCGACAGCCCCTCAGCCTCCCAGGACAAATTAGGGTCTCACATCACTGATGGGACACCAACCACTTTCGGAGTTAATTAACATCCTAAACAATGGTTGGCAAGTCTGAGAGATGTCAATAACATAGCTTATTCAGTTCTAACCAATGACATTAAACAGGAATCTGAAAAGCTTTTAACTTTTCAAATATCTTCAGAACAGTGAGTAGCACAGTCGCTTTTGATATCACTGGTTCCTTAATCAGCTCCTTGACCTGAATTTTCTTCTTTTCTATATATAATGTTTCCAAAGTGATCACATGGTTTAGATAAAGTTTTATCCAAGTATGAACCAAATATACTTTTTTATTTTCATTTATTTCTGATATTAATTTATAGTATTTGAGTTTAATTGTTGTTTTGTTTCTCATTGGCTTAAAAATTCTCCCAGTGCACATGCACACACAGGACAATTTCTATTATAGCCAAAAGCACAGAGGTAATTGAAAACACTTGATTTCTACTTTTAATTGTTCCTTGCCCCTTAGCTTGTTCTGAGCCCTGGAGGACAGAGATATCATTGAGAGTGTTTCCAGGGAGAGCAGATTTAGGATGGTCACTGAGAAAGACGAATTGAAAACATAAAAATGGAACAACAAAGAGTTCATTTTCCAGGTGAGAGATATGGAGGTGAGGGGAGGCCTAGCTCTCAGGAAAAACATAGAGAAGAAATGACACAAAGGTCAAGAACAGGAAACGATCAAAGGGAGGAACTGAAATAAATCTACTAAACTATTGATCTGGTGTGGACCTGCTTTAAAGAAGCAGATAGCTTTAAGGGGTGTTGAAAGTCAGGGATAGAAAGATACGTTACCTTCTTTCAAGTGCATCTGCTAGCCATAGCTGAAAAAGGATATATATACACAAAAATTAATAAGACAGTACTACCCTTTGTTCGACAAAATCTGGGCACAGCAGCCTTAGAACAAATACATAGGAATTGTCAAAGGCTGGCAAATGATCACCATCTAGAAACAAGTACCCATTACAGGGAAACACATTAGACAAGGTGATAAGTTTCTTATTTAATGTTCTGCAGACATGCCTTAGTTTCAGGTATGGCAACTACTGCCATGTCTCCAAGACCTTTTGGACATCCTTCCTTGAAGCCCTGAAAACTGTGACTGATGATGCCAAGGTAAATAAGCAATCTGTAGCTGTCCCTAGGCCAACAGTAGAATCTCCTCAAATGGTAACAACTTAAAGGGTCTTGGATTGAAGAACAGACTGAGAGGAATTGCCTTCTACACTAATCACAAGGCTAGACCTCTTTGGGTTAGAATGCTCGTATTATGAATGCTACACGTTAGAGATGGGTTGATCAGAGTGTGGTAGAGAAACAGGGATTGTTTTTATGGATCTGTATACATTTTGTGTATGCATTAGCAATTGGTATAGGAGTTTCTACACATTTATTGGATCTATAAATTTATGAGGAATATTGGGCTAATACTTCAGTTTTTTTAACACATTTTATGATATTTTCACTCTTACTGGAAAACAAAAAGTTTTTTGTTTTTTCCAACTAGCATCCAAACTTTCTTCTTTGCACTGCTTAACTGTGGCCCAATACCTCTGCTTCTGATATGTCTGCTACTTCCTTTATCCCTGTGCAATGTGATTTTTATCCTCAAAACTACTGGAGCTTCTGTCTTGAGAGTCACTAGTGTCTCCCTCTGCCTTACACATTTCTCTTTAACTGTAACATTAGACTCTGGAGAAAGTTTTTTCTTTAATCTCTATGTTGTCCTGGTTTCTATTACACAAGACTTCCTGGACTCTGCTACTGCTCTTCATGGTTCTTTTTCTGTTCCTTCTCCCCCGTCCTTGCTTTTGCTTTTTCATCTCTCTTTTCTTGGTCCTCAGCTATGGTAGCTCTTCATGATTCCTTATCTTGTCATTTCCCTTTCTCTCTATATTTTCATCTTTTGCTGAGGTCATTTATTTTTGTATCTATAATATCACTGTAAAGAAGAGGACTTCAAAATTGGAAATCAACAGCACCAATTTAATGTCTACAGTAAGGATCTAATGTTAAGTTATAAACTTGTCAGAGCACCTTAAAGTCAACATGTATAATCCTTTCTTATTTATTTCCCCTTAAATTAGGCTCCCTCTCCTGTTTCAATTTCTGTCTTTCTAGGACTAAAGTTAGGTTGGGAAGGTCTCTGTCCTATGTGCCTTTTAGCCTATTTCCGGCTCCTGCCATTCTTTTGATGTGTTCTTAAAGTTGCCCTGTCCATTTTATTCCCCTTGCCACTAATTCCATCCAGGGCTTCATCTCATTTTGCCTAGTTTACTGCCAACCCTGTTCTGAACATGTGGTTAGAGGTTGTGTTTATGTGTGAGATGAGTTGTGGGGATGATTACTGACTACTCTCACCCTTACCTCTTCTTTTCCATCGTTTTCTCCTCTCTGTTTCCATAAAACTACCTGCAGGCTGAGCCTTCAAAACTACTGTCATCGAGGCAACACTTAGATGTAATGCAGTGGAACTGGTTCCTAACAAACAGTAAAAATAAGAAAACAACAACAACAAAATGCATTTGCATATTTAGGCAATTGGTCATAGTAAGAGAGATGTGAACTTGGGGATGGCTTGGTATTTCTCAGGTTTGATAAATTAGGACAAGTCTCAACCTCTCTGTGTCCCAGTTTCCTAGTCTGTAAAATGAGCATATTAATAGGTGCTCCACTGTGTTATAGTAAGGATTGATCAAGATGGCCTTAATGTTTCTTTCAGCTTAAGTACCTTTTAGACCAAATTTCCTGTCTTAAGGCCCTGGCCATCTTCTTACCTTGATCCTTGATTCTTAGTCTACATGGCCTAACCACTAAGGTCCCTGTCCTCCCTTTTCTTAGATTATCTACTTTAGAAAACTATAAATATAAATTCTTTTTCTGCCACTTTGAGATGTAAGTAATATAAAAAGCCTCTTTTCAGTTTGACAACCCAGGACTGTTTTTCTTAAGAACCTGGGATCCATCCTTTGAAATGTAATCAATTATTAAGGAATATAGAGTCTCTAGACCCTCTCCTTGTGGGAGAGTGGGAGCCCAACTTGGGTGAGTGCCTTTTCCTTTTACTCTAAGTTGTAAAATTATCTCCTGTCATGAAGATAAAAACTTACTTTTCCTTTAGGCAAGGTCAGTTCACAAACATAGATGGCCTGTGGTCCCCCCATCCCATGTCTTAAAAACTCTCCAGCCCTTTGATTCAATGGATTTAAATTCATACTGAGTTCTGAAAAAATTATGAAAATCCTACCATGCCATGCAAATCCCAAATATGATTATTATAATCCTTTCGGCAGTTTATAGACAAACCAGAAAATGTTCAGAGAATTCTTAATTTTTGTACCAACAAAAAAAATAGTTGGGGCTTAAGGAAGGGATGGGGTCATCCAAAGCACCAAATGATTCCAAACTCACTGTGATGTGTTATGAGTCCTGAGGTGGGCAGCAAACCAAAGTCCAAGGTTAGCTGTGTCCTGAGCTAATGTGCCAGCTGGGAGGCAGGGCACACAGAAATCTGCTGAAGGGCAAGGTGAAAGCAGGCTGTTTTTCCTTTTTTTTTTTTTCTTTAAGTTGCTGAGAATAATTGAGAGTTGATAAATTTTACAGAATGGCTTTAAGTCCTTGGTTCCACACCCCTTTATGCCTTGAATAAGTCCCAATTTTTAGAGTGGAAAAGAAGACATTAGAGATAAGATTTATAGTCATACTTAATGACTCACTTTTCTTCCACTACACACACAAAAAAAAACAAAACTAAAAAACACTCTCAGCCATTTTCATCTATTCTTCATTGTTGGCCAAGATGAAGTGGAGGTCAGTATGGGTTTTTCTGGGAATGGTTTTCTTCACAATAGAATTGCTGCTCTTGGCCTCAGGGCTATTTTCCAGAAGACAGAGATTTCCCAGATTGCCTCAGTCTGGTGCTGCCTCCCAGTTGCCTTGGACTTCTTCCCCTCTTTGCCAGGAATACAGAAGGACCTTGGTTATGCCTTCATCCCAGCTATAGGAAAGAAGAATCATGGGGGGGAAACAAGTTTTGTTAGTAGGCTGCTGAATCTCCCCTCAAAATATCTAATCAATTAGTCTCCAAAAACCTGCCTATTCTGAAATAAGGACAGTATGTGAGTGTGGTGGTAGAGTGTGTGTGTGTCTTTGTGTGAATGTGTTTGTGGTATATTTACAGTGATGGTGGCATTTCAAGTCGTTCAACAGCAAGGTCTTGCTGAAACTTATTATTGCAAAAATAGCAGTGTCAGTATTCAGGGCTATAGAAGGTCTAGAGAAGGATTGATCCTAGTGCAAGGGGCCCAGACAACCCATGATAGACCCCAAATACAGGCAGAAGAGATAGACAGCATCAGGCTCCCCACCACTTTTGACATGTTGTCCAAGGTGAGGGTCCTTCACTGTTTTCACTTTCTACTCAGGTTCTAAGAGATATAGAACAAAGGGACAACAAACACTAACAGCTGATTGTTTCAGCCTGAGTTTCTTCCTTGGATCTCTTCCTGCTTCTTTCCTATAATAAACCAGACTGGACAACTTCAACAATGACCATTTTAAGACTGCCTGTTTACCTTTAGAGCATTCTATCCCATTGTCTCCATAGGCATATCAACTTTTAATCAGAGCAAGCTGCAGATGAGCTGCTGCTACTCCAGCTACCTTAAGCTATAGATTCCTAAGAGTCAACTCTCCCACCTGCTACCAAAAAAAAAAAAAAAAGCAACACATGCACATATGAAATCTTCAGCAAGCTCCTAAACATTTGTATATTTAGAGTTATTGTCCTTATGATCATGTTGCCAAACATCTTGCCTCCCACTGGGCAACATCTGCCTTTGCATTTAGTTGAGACCATGAGATTAATTTCTTACTAATTAATAGTAAGTAAACGTGATGTATAGAAATCCTGGGAAGTCTCTTTCCTCTCTTCCTAACTACTTACACTGATGCTTAGAATGTGGTTGTGATGGCTGGAACTCCAGCAGCCTTTTGCACTATCATAGGGGTCATATCCTAGTAATGACAGAAACAGCCTGAGTCTCCAGTGACTCTGGAGCTATTATTCCAGCCCAGACCTGGCCACCTTCATACTTTTTACAAATATGTTTAAGAAATAAACTTTTATTAGCCTTTCCAAATCTAGTTGGAATACTATTTTTAATAATCTTTTAACTACATTATCAGCATGTGCTAACATACAGGGCTTGATTTTCTCCTATTGTTATTCTGTATTATATTTTTATTGTAGCTATTAACATCTTTATATATCTTCTTCCATTTTAACCTCTCCCTTAAACAAATTTCAGTGACAACCATTGTTCCAAGAACTATGCCAGATTATTGGAAAACAAAGATTAGTAAAATAATACTTCATAGCTTTGAAACACTCATTGCTCCCCTGGTCTACAGAGGCACAGATGAGGGACATAAGATGAATAACTAGTATCACAAAAATCAGCTTTGCTGTAAGCATTAAAAAAAGAACAGTCCTGGTTTCTGGCTTTGGAAAACTTTATCCTAATAGAAAAGGAGAACAGAAGGGCATAAAATAATAAATGTTTATAAGCATTCAGGGAGAGAGCTAGATTAGTGCCTCTTTTGCTTTCAGGCTTATTGTTGAAAAATTACTAATCACCTGGAGGTCTACTATTAAAATGGAGTCAGCAGTGACCTCAAAGGGAGTCCAGGACTTTCAAATTGTACTCCCTCTTCCCTTCACTGACTGGGAGCAATCCAAAAATTGGATGACTATGAATGGCCAGACATCTGCAAAACAGCTTTTCTTTTCTCTAATTTTTGCAATCGTTCTAATACATATTTGAAACAAGCAGTACTTTCAATCCTTGAGCCCTGTTAGAGCCTTCTGAAAACATGGATGAATGTGCACAAGGAAAAAATATCATTTTTTCTCTTTTACCCCTTGCTCTTTTTACCTCTTTTCTCTTTTGAGGTTGGTTATAAGGATTAAAATGTCCAGTTAAGCCAAGTGTTCTTGAAGCTTGTGGGATAAAAGCTGAGGGTTGAGTGTATGAGGAGTATTATGATACTGACTCCCCGCCCTCCTCCTCTTCATACTCCTATGACTACCAGCTTTGATGTGCACACTGTGCACTAGATACTATGCATTATGGCTTCAAGGAGATGACCTTTTTAATCCCCATACCCATTCTGTAAAGTAATATAAGCATTGTTTTACAGGTTAGGAAACTGATGCTTGGAGAGTTGTAACCTGTGCCAAGTCACAAAGCCAGCAAGTGCTGTAGCCAGGATTTCGCTCTAGGCAGCCTGACTCCTCAACTCTGTTTTTAACTGTGATGCTGAAGTTTGTCAAATGATAAGAGCTCACAAGCATAAGAAAGGACCAGAACCTTGTCAGGACAGGGAGCTAAAGCCTCTGGAGCAAGCTGCCTCCTGCCTTCTTCTTTCTGTCACATGGACATGGGAGGTTATGATCTTGTAGAAGGAGGAATCTGGAAGAGAAGTTAATTTAAACTTGAGCATATAATAACTGCCATGAGAGCCTAACTCTTTGAGTGGGCCATGATCCAGGCCCCAGTGTGAGTCTCATGACAGGCTGTGCTATATGACCAGTAAAAGCTTCTAACCAGCTTCTGCCAGACATTTGAAGGTAATTTTCATTACATAAGACCAGGGTGGGTATTACTTCAGGAGGGGTGGGAGACATGCACTGGTTATCTGTAATTCTTCCTTTTCTGATGTTTATCTCCTTTCATTTGAAGTGGAGAGACAGTCTGCTGGACTGTCATCTTGTGCCTTTGGACCACCTGAAAGGACAACCTGTCAGAATGGAGGTCACACTCATACACAGCTCTTATGGCTATGGAAGACTGTCTGGGTCAGGGATCAAGTTCATAATGCTCAAAAGTAAATTAGGAAAAGTGATGGGCTTTATGTTTGCTCTTCTCTTTGTCAGAAATGCTCTCCCCTTCTTACAATTCACCTATCATGTAAATTTTACCTCCTCATCTAGGCTTTCTCTGGGCAGCCAGTCTTTAATATCTCCCTCCAATATCATCCAACCCTGCTTAATTTTCTTCAGAGAAAGTATTTTTACTCTGAAATCCCTAGTTACAATACTACGTGGTAATAGTTATCACCAGTTTTAATGATATATACTAGTCATATCACTAATTACATAACTAATGATATATATAACTAGTGATAGATAACAGTTATCACTAGTTATAAGTGCATTGTTATCACTAGTTATAATTGCATTGAGGACAGGGGTCTTTTCCCTTGTTTCACACTGAATCCTCAGCTTCGACAGTTAGTGCCTGGTATACAGAGGTGGTTATTAAACATTGGTAAGATGGATGAATTAGTCCAATTATATTCTTTTGATAGGACTAGTTAAAACAGGCTGTCAGAAACAACTAGAGTTGGCATAGGTTGGACAAAATGTAGTATGCATTTCACTTTACAATAAATATGTGTGCTATATAGTTTATAGTTTGGCCAATAAACTTTCTTCTAATAGTTGTTTTCTTTTTTTTTTTTAGACATAGTCTCACTCTGTGCCCAGGCTGGAGTGCAGTGGCGCAATCTTGGCTCACTGCAAGCTCCGCCTCCTGGGTTCACGCCATTCTCCTGCCTCAGCCTTCAGAGTAGCTGGGACTACAGTTGCCCACCACCAAGCCTGGCTAATTTTTTTTGTAGTTTTGGTAAAAACGGGGTCTCACTGTGTTAGCCAGGATGGTCTCGATCTCCTCACCTCATGATCCGCCCACCTCGGCCTCCCAGCTTTCTTCTAATAGTTTTGAAAGAGAAATTATGCCCTCCCTCCATTCTTGCCTCCTGAAGAAAAATGACAAACTCTTCCTGAGATAGTTGTTCTGTTTTCTGCAATTGTTTTGTGCTTTCTTTGAGTTGCGTGTGTGTCTGTGTGTGAGCATGTACATATGCATATGCATGTGTGATGCCATCTAATACAGTATCGTGCTAGAAGGTGCTTTAGTGTCTGTCCTACCTCTAGATGAATCCAACAGGAGAATACATGTGACAGGGGCCAGATGCTGGTTGGGGTGGGCCAGGAACCTTGTTGAGTAACTCTCTGCTAGAACTTGAATAGCAGACAACACCCAGTAATGAGGGGAAATCATTCACAGACTTCAAAATAGAAGGGCAAAAATAAGATAAACTTTGCTCTGTAACCCAAAATGAAGATTTGGTACAAGCTTGTGGCATTCTCCACCTGTCTCCATCTCTAGTGCTACCAGGGGGCCTAACCTACTAAAAAAAGCAGGTGTTTCAGGTTCCCAATTGATTAATCCTTTAAACCATCCATTATTCATTCTGTACCTGCTGTGCTCAGCATCATGCTAAGTGCTATAGGGGACACAGAAGACATGGCCTTGAACTCTGGGACCTTATATTCTGGGAGGGGATATGAGACTAATTCTATTTATCACATAACATAATTAACACTATGTTGGCTTTCAGGACAATATTGTGTTGTCATAGCATCATTTCAGGTTTGTAAATCTTACGTACAAAAAAGATTGTGAATTATAGGGATTGTGTGATGTACTCTGATGTTTTTAGTGGCAGTAACTTATGCAGTCCTAGATACATAATAAACCCTCATGGAAAATGGTGACTTAAGTGTTACGGAGCCTTACAGGTTCTAGAGCTATAGAAGTCTGTCTAGGCTGCTATTTTGCTAATTGAGAGGAACAGGAGGCCGGGTAGTGTTCCTGTCCTAATTCCAGGGCACGTTCAAAAGATAGAGTTACATGAGCAATCCCAAAAAGCACCACTAGAAGGACATTGGATTCAAATTGGATCAGACAGTTTCAAGGTATCTTTAGAAAAGGTGGCAGCTATAGGCCACCAGTGGCTCATGCCTGTAATCCCAGCACTTTGGGAGGGCGAGGCAGGCAGATCCCCTGAGGTCAGGAGTTCGACACCGGCAGATCACCTGAGGTCAGGAGTTTGAGACCAGCCTCGCCAACATAGCGAAACCCCGTCTCTATTTAAAAAGTACAAAAATTAGCTGGGCGTGGTGGCAGGCACCTGTAATCCCAGCTACTCAGGAGGCTGAGGCAGGAGAATTGCTTCAACCTGCGAGGCAGAGGTTACTAGTTAGCCAAGATCACACCACTGCACTCCAGCCTGAGTGACAAGAGCGAGACTCCGTCTCAAAAACAAACAAACAAACAAAAAACTAAACAACAACAGCAAAAAATAAAAGGTGGCAGCTATAATATGACATGTCTGGGAGGCCAAAATGGTGCTTTGACACTCCCTATTTAGTTTTACTGTTGCCATAACCTCAGGAGCCCTGGCTCCCTTAGAGGCCTGGGAAGGTCTGCATGGCCACAGTGTCATTGTCTGCCTGCTTTTGTTGTTGGATTCCCTGCTCTTTTACTAAGCTTAAGTTTGGCCTTCTTTTGTTCAATTCCTTTTTCTGACCAGCTGCCCTGAACCTCATTCAAATGCCATGTGTGTGTATCTGAAACTTGGCCATTTAATTCACAGAAGAGCCTTGGGGAAATTTTAGGTTTTATGTTATGCAGGGGTCATATTGCTTTGAGTTTCAGCCTCCAATTGATGCTTTAAAAAGACTCAAAGAAGGATTCCAGCTGTACCTTCTGAGTTTCACCAGGTGTGTTAGCAGAAGCCAGCAGAAAGGGTGGCAGGCAGATTGGAATCATGTCACAGGATTTCAAATGGATTTACTGTACTTGTTATATGATATTTCATAGATAGCTATTACTGTTCATCAGAATAAATGGAAAATACAAGAAAAGAGGAATTAAAAGCCACCACTAAAAAGATCAGTCTTGTGTTACTGAAACCTCAAGCTGAGAACCACAGTACTCAGGATTCCATCTGTCCCAGCTCCAGGCTGCCATTGCTGTCTGTCTTTTCAGCTGAGGCCTTTGTATAAACCCCTGGATTCTGCAGACCCCTACAACCTTATCTGTCAGAATGAGGAAAAGAAACCCTGTTTGGCTTCCTGGGACCTTAAGATTACGAGTTCATGTCTCAGTGGAGAGGTATTCTGGAAACTCAAACAGCTTTGAATCTCAGAAGCAGAAGTGAAGAGAGACCTCAGGAAGTCTCATACCTTTTCTCCAGAGCAGGTGGGGTGGCCACCAGCCACCTCAGAGAGACTGTTATTTTCTGTTTTATTTTGAAAATATTCCTTAAAAATCAAATATTTTCAGTCAAACTGTGTTTCCCACTACCTCTTTTTATAAACTGGAACTACAGCATATATATGACATAGACTAAGTCCCAAGAGGCATAGACTGAGTTATCTCCCTGAGTTATCATTCCATTCGGAAGATAACTCTGATTGAGTATACCCCCTGGGGTCTCTCTTCTTTGTTACTGGTCCTCAAAATCTGCTCCCCCAGTGTGCTCACCCATGATTTTATTCTTAAGTGCAGATTTGCCAGTGAAGAATTATTTAGTTGTTAGAAAGTAAGTCAGGCACATGAGGGAGTGTGAAAAGTTTGAAAAAAAGGGAGGGGCTTTCTCCTCATCATAGAGGAAGCTAGCAAGCATGTTTGCAATTAAATGTTTTTTCTTAACTTTTAAGTCGGTTGGTTCATGGTACAATTCATGCTTGTAGTTACATCATCTCTCCTTCATAATGAAACTGCTATTCTTTAAAGCCAAATCATGCCAGGTTGAAAGTATTTTGAACTTTTTGCTCATCTACAATCTCAGCTCAACAAATAACTTTCATTTTTTCAGAAGCTCTTCAAAGGGACTTCATTCACAGGGAAAAAAAAAATCCTTGCGTGCGTTAAGTTCTTTGGACATCTATTTTTATTTCCTGACTGGCACATTGTCATTTCTTCTGTCATACACAATTTGGCTTCATTGAATTCTTTGCCATTTGATCTCCTTAAGTGCCCCAGCTTCAACAGACTCTTCTCTGACATTGAGAGTTTTTGCTCTGTGCTGAATGCAAATTGCCACTTTCCAGTGCATGAAAAATGACAGTGTTTCTGATTTTATCTGGTTTGTGCATAGTATTATTAAGTATTAAACATAATAAGTATTAAACTCCAGGAAAACATTCCCAAGAGCTGAGGTCCAAAAAGTCGTCAGACCTAAATTTAGGTAAGGACCAAACTTTTTGGCTCTTAAATTCTTCAACTTGTTTTGTACTTTTTAAGTTTATGCATCTGACCTCAGTTACTTTTCTTGAGGTTCTGACATTCCATTCATCAGGAGAATAAATGTTCTCTCTGCTTAAGTTACTTCATTTATAAAATGTAGAAATTAATAGCAATTGTATTGTTGATGGATTAAATGAGATGCTACACAGAACAGCACCTGACATTTAGAGACTGCTCCAAAATGTTGAGTCGCTATTGTTGTTGTAATAATTATTAAATTGGTTATTGAAATGGGCATGGTTTAAATGACATTTGGTTCCAGACATCAGGTGTTAGAAATTTTGAGATTATTTATGACAGAAAACGACTCTGAACGTACAGCCTGCAGGGACATTAGACTAGTTACCACCATCCCAAATAAAAAGAATACTGCCCTCTCACTTTGTTTTTTTTTTTAACTCTCATACTCCAAGTATGTGTTCTTACTTAGTCTGATGTCCCTTGTTACTTACATTGCATTAATCCCTTAAAATGCCCGCCTTTTAATAGACAACTTTAATAGACAACTAGAACAGATGCTTTCCATATCTTGCATGTATCACAGAGGTCACTCAGGTTTTCCTTCTACCAACAGATTGGATGCCAGTGCACTCAGTTTAGACACTGGACATACTCTTCAAAGTACCTTCAGAGGAGAGCACTGCACATTGCCATTTGTAATTTGTGCCAAAATACTGTATAAAAATTTTTGTTTAACCTACCTATGTTTAAGTCTTATTTGCTTTGTCTTCTTTGTGCTGATATGCTTCCTTTAAGACACTTAAAACTATTTCCCTAAGGAGCACCCTGTGCTTTTTTTGTTTTGTTTTAAATGATGCTACTACTAATTTTTCCTTGGTATTATGGAGTCTATATTATCTGTTAACTCAAGTGCAAGAAAACCCAATTTAAACTGACTTAAGAGAGAATACGTCACTTAACTGAGCAAAGCAAAAATACCGTGGCTTCTGCTGCTGTTTATGTCAGGAGCAAAGGATGTCACTTAGACCTGGTTTCTCCCTCTCTATATGTCAACTCTCTCTTCTTCATATCGGTTCTATTCTCCTGCAGGTTCTCACTTCACCTCCATAACATATCCCCATAGCTCTTGATTTATTTTTAGCTTCTAGTCTGGGGGCAAAGAAAAGATCAGAGTAAAACAAACTTAGGTATTTATAAACATCAGTTATAGAATTATGATTGATAATTGGTAATAGGGATGAACGCTTTAGACAGGGTGATGGAGTCAGAACTTTTGGGAAGGTGATTTTACATATATATTTTTTAATTTTTTAATTTTGTGGGTACATAACAGGTATATATATTAATGGGGTACATGGGATGTTTTGATACAGGCATGTAATGCATAATAATCACATCACGGAGAATGTATCCATCCCCTCAAGCATTTATCTTTGTAATACAAATAATCCAACTACAGTCTTTTAGTAATTTTAACATGTATAATTAAGTTATTGTTGACTATAGTCATGCTGTTGTGCTGTCAAATACTAGGTCTTTTTCATTTTTTCTAACTGTTTGGAAGATGATTTTTTTAAGTAAGGGCTACGTGAGGAAACAGTCATAAGAATGACCTAATAAAGATGGGTGTGGTGGCTCATGCCTGTAATCCCAACACTTTGGGAGGCCGAGGTGGGTGGATCATCTACGGTCAGGAGTTCAAGGCCAGCCTCGTCAACATGGTGAAACCCCATCTCTACTAAAAATACAAAACAATCAGCCGGCGTAGTGGAAGGAACCTGTAATCCCAGCTACTTGGGAAGCTAAGACAGGAGAATCTCTTGAACACAGGAGGTGGAGGCTGTGGTGAGCCGAGATTGCACAATTGCACTCCAGCCTGGGCAACAAGAGTGAAACTCTGTCTCAAAAAAAAAAAAAAAAAAAAGATTGATTATCCAAAGCAGAAGAGACAGCAGGTACAGATGTCCTGAGACAAATATGAGTTTGACATATTCTAGGTGCAAGAAGGCCATTTATAAAGGACCTCTTTCCTTTATAAATTACCCAATCCAAGGTATTATTTTGTGAATGATAGGGTTTGGAGGAAGAGAAGCTCAGAGGTTGACAGGGTTATACTTTATGGACCCCTATAGATCATCACAAAAAGGGGTTTTGGTTTCATTTTTGTTTTGTAGTAAAATAAAGCCACTGGAATATTTTTAGCAGGATTTATTGATTTGAATTAACTTTCAAAAGCCAATTTCAACTGTTGTCTTAGTCTGTTTTGTGCTCCTATAAAAGAATACTTGAGACTGGGTAATTTATAAGTAAACAGAAACTTATTTCTCACAATTCTGGAGGCTGGGAAGTTCACAATCACGGTGCTGACGTCTGGCAAAGGCCTTCTTGCTGCCTTGCCCATAGCATGGTGGAAGGCATCACATGGTGGAAGAGCAAGAGAGGGAATAAGGAAGAGAGTGAGAGAAAGAAAACTGAACTTATCCTTTTATAAAAAACCAACTGCTGTGATAATGAACTTATTCCTATGATAATGGCATAAATCCATTCAAATGGGGAAAGTCCCCATGTCCTAATCACCTCTAAACAATAGAACTATAATCTTTATAGTTCTTCCTTTTTAAAAATCCACAGAAAATTGGGTCTAAAAACAACAACAGCTGGGTCTTGTATGTTAAAATCTCTATATTTTTCTATAATATTGAATGATGAGCTTTCCAAGTTTTGTTGGAAACTTCAATATAGATAAAAAAGCACAAATGCTTTGAGAGTGAAAAATATTGAAAATAGAAAACCTGATAGCAAACTTTGAGAAGATACCCTGCTGGACTTGATTATGTTGACTGATTATAATAATTTTTGCTGAGCAATTTGTTATAGGGTCAGGCATTTATTTAGCATTTTGATGTATCTATGAATAGAGCTTTATGATTTGAATGAAGCACTTTAAATATTTCATATCTCTAAGTTTATTTGGGATCCGAATATATCATAAAAATTTCTGTGAGCTAATTTC
Source organism: Homo sapiens (assembly GCF_000001405.40). Lineage (NCBI taxonomy): Eukaryota > Metazoa > Chordata > Mammalia > Primates > Hominidae > Homo > Homo sapiens. The sequence continues at coordinate 110,273,254 of NC_000005.10, forward strand.
AATTTCTGATCACTTTCAAAGGACCTATGTCTTAAAAACTAAAAAAAATAAAAAAATAAAAAAAAAAATAAAAGGAGGACCTTGGAGAAAACAGAAAAATTGTTGGGAGTAAAGAGCCTGACACCACTTTGGAGGGCCTGACACCACAATAGAAGATAAGAGAATGACATGTCTGCCTGTTTGTGTTTTGGGATCAATAACAAGGTGAGACTCAGGAGAGACTGTGTGTATCTTTTCACTCAGCAGAGGGTCAGCAAATACAGAGAAAGAACTCAAGCCAGGAGGCATTTAAAAATATCCCACTAAAAGAGAAAAATAAAGAAGAGACCCCAGACTGTGAAAGATAATATTGTTAAAGTTTTGTGGAAGAATTCCCAATAAAGATAAACAGGAAATAAGGACACCTCAAACAGAGAAGAATAATGCTGCACGCGTCACTCAAAGATCAGGTGACTAACCTACACCCATTTGGGGTGGTAAGGGAGGAGGAAATATCTTAACTTGAACCAATACACACAGGCTGTGCTGTAGGGCTGGCTGTCTCGTGGGATCCATGTATTCTTGGGGAGGTCTGATTTTCTAAAAATTAATTTCTCCATCCTGGTCTTATGACATGGTTTGTCTGTGTCCCCACCCAACATCTCATCTTGAATTTAATCCCCATAATTCCTACGTGACAAGGGTGGGACCAGGTGGAGGTAATTGGATCATGGGGGCAATTTCCCCCATGCTATTATGATAGTGAGTCTCATGAGATTTGATGGCTTTGCCTTCGGCCATGATTGAAAGTTTCCTGAGGCCTCCCAAGCAATGTGGAACTGTGAGTCAATTAAACTTCTTTCCTTTATAAATTATCCTGTCCTAGGTTTTTCTTCTTCTCCTTCTTCATTTTTTTCTTCTTTTCTTTTTTTTCCCCCCCAAGACAGAGCCTGGCTCTGTCGCCCAGGCTGAAGTGCAGTGGTGTGATCTTGGCTCAGTGCAACCTCCACCTCCTGGGTTGAAGAAATTCTCCTGCCTCAAGCCTCCTGAGTAGCTGGAATTACAGGCACTGGCTACCATGCCTGGCTAATAGCAGTGTGAGAATGGACTATTACATTTTACTTGCCACTTCCTTTAGCATTACTGTTCAAATATCCAAATTTGATAGGTTATTTTTGGAGGACATGCTTCCCTTCCTGAGGTATCTATGATATCCCACTCACTTCTCTGATGGCCCCAAAGAATTTTATACTCCCAAGCTTGAAAGCTGTTTGTCATAGGAGGCTATCATACACAGCTAGATTTTCCTTTCCAATATAATTCCCTCTCTGTGGGGGTCTTTTCAGGATTCAGTTTTCTTGCCCCAGGCCTTTAATCCAGAATCCAAAGTGTAGCTTAAGCCTGAAGAAAAGATAGAAGACAGACACAAATCACAGGTGAGAATCCTATTGCACAGCAAAATAAAACCCTGAGTTGATTTTGTATTTGTTGAGATAAAAACACAGCAGGTGCTATCATAGATAAGCCTGGAAATCTCAGTAACTTAATAAAGTGAAATTTTTGTCTTGTTCCTCTCAGACTTGTTCTGGCCAGTATGTAAACAAGCCCGTAGGTGGAGGGGATTCTGTTCTACACAATTACTAAGGAGTCAGGTTCCTGCTTTTCATGCCCCTGTCTTCTGGGAATGTCTTCTCTGTCTTCTCATTCTGATGGCAAATGGGGAAAGAGAGGTCTGATCTCATGTGGAAGAGAAGTGGGTGTGTGAGGTCCCTGGCCCAGCCTCGAAGTGGTGTGTATCACTTCTACTTCTATTCCATTTGTCAAAACTTGGTGCAAAAGGCCACATCCAAATGCAAGGAAACTGTGGTACATCTGTTTTCCCAGGTGGCACCAGCAAGCCCTGCCACGTGTATCCTGTGTCTGCTTCTTTCCAGCCCATTTGCTGTCACTAAGCCCATCCACCAAGTGGAGGGCTGGAGAGGACCAGTGCCAGTTCACAAAAGCCAACTGTCAAATTTCCAGGAATTTTGAAAGCCAGTTGTTAAACACAGCCATTATTAAAAATTTATACATCTATTATTTAAAACCTATTTAAAAATCACTTGCTATTTTAAAATTAAAGACAAGACAAATATTGAAAATGCATTACTTTTAAATTATTTTACTATACTTTTTCTTAACTATGCTCTTGAGGCTATATCTGATGTGTCTGTGTGGAGGAAATCCTACATAACAGCATGCTACTGTACTACTCTCCCCAAATTTGCATTCATTGGCTTTACGTTGCTAGCTTGAAATCAGTCATGGTGGGAGTATGCACACTCTGGCAATAGGCAAATACTACAAATCGGGCTTGATTTACTGTTTTGTTGATTGTTTGAATTTAAGAAAGTGATTGAGAAAATAATGATAATTCAGATTAAATTTAAAAGTTTTGTATCTATAGTCATTACATACCATTACGTACTAGATAGCACTAAACTTAAACATTCTTTCAGTAGTCAAACTATTACCCAATTCAGCAAAGTGTTCACATAGTTGAGGAAAGCGTGGAGTTCTGAAATGTGGTAGTACAGAAGCTGAAGGAGGCTTTGAGTTAATGAACATAATTTGTATTAGGGTGAGACATAATTTAAAACTAGATCATACAGATTCTTCAAAATATTACAAATAGAGCTACCAAATGACCCAGCAATCCCACTTCTGGGTATATATCCAAAGAATCGAAATCAGGATCTTAAGGAGTTATCTGTACTCTCATGTTCATTGCAGCATTATTCACAATAGCCAAGATATGAAAACAACTTACGTGTCTATTAACAGATAAATGGATTAAGAAAATGTGGCATATCCATTCAATGGAATATTATTAAGCCCTAAAGGAGAATAAAATCCTGCTATGTGTGATAACATGGATGAAACTGAAGGACATTTTTGTAAGTGAAATAATCCATTTAGAGAAGGACAAATACTGCATAAGTCTACTTATAAGAAGTATGTATATAACAGTCAAACTCACAGAAGTAGAGAATATAATAGTGGTTGACAGCAGACTGGGGAGGTGGGAAATGGGGAATTGTTCAAAAGGTATAAAGTTTTAGTTACACAATATGAGTAAGTTCTAGAGATCTGCTGTACAGCATAGTGGTTATTGTTAATAATGCGATATTGTACACTTAAACCAGGCACATCTCATATTAAGCATTCTTACAAAAAAACTCCCAAAACCAACACCAAAACCCAAACAAAACCAAAACCAAAACTGGAACCAAAAACAAAAACAAAGTACCCAAGGAAACTTTGTGAGGTGTTGGATATCGTCTATTCCTTTGATTGTGAAGATGTTATCATAACTGTTGGCCTATGTCCAAACTCATCAAATTGTACATTAGATATGTGCAGCTATTTGTATACAAATTACCTTTTAATAAAGCTGCTTAAAAAATAGGTTTATTGGGCCGGGCGCAGTGGTTCATGCCTGTAATCCCAGAACTTTGGGAGGCCGAGGCGGGAGGATCAGGAGGTCAGGAGATCGAGACCATCCTGGCTAACATGGGGAAACCCCGTCTCTACTAAAAATGCAAAAACAAAGCCAGGCGTGGTGGTGGGCACCTGTAGTCCCAGGTACTCGGGAGGCTGAGGCAGGAGAATGACTTGAACCTGGGAGGCGGAGCTTGCAGTGAGCCGAGATCGCGCCACCGCACTCCAGCCTGGGAGACAGAGCGAGACTCCGTCTCAAAAAAAACAAAAAAAGCTTATTATAAGAAACAGATGTAATGACAATAAATTATTAGGAAAAGTTAGTGGATTGAGATGTAACACCAATTGTCAAATTGTAGTTGATTTGAAACTATAGGTTGATCAAAGATAGAAGAGTTTGGTAAAAATCAACAAAAACATTTTTTTTTTTAGAGAATTAGTTGGCTATATGGGACTTACAATAAAGAGTACTGTATATTTCATTAATATTTGTAAATAAGGGGCTATCAATCTGCTGTCGCACTGGTATAAAGAAATACCTGAGACCGGGTAATTATAAAGAAAAGAGGTTTAATTGGCTCATGGATCTGCCACCAACAGGAAGCATGGCTGAGGAAGCCTCAGGAAACTTTCAATCATGGCAGAAGGCAAACGGAAAGCAGGTACTTTTTACATGACTGGAGATGAAGGAAGAGAGAATCAGGGGAGGTGCCACACTTTTAAACAACCAGATCTTGTGGGAACTCTATCACAAGTCAGCATGAAGGGGATGGTGCTAAACCATTAGAAACCACCTCCATGATCCAATCACCGCCCACCAGGCCCCACCTCCAACACTGGGGATTACAATTCTACACGAGATCTGGGCATGGACACAGATCCAAACCGTATCAATGAGCTACACATCATTCATGTCAGTAAAATTTACAATAAGGTTACATTTATATGTTTTTATATATTACGTCAATATATACATTTATATTGTGTGTACGCACATTTTCCTCCCTGAAGACTCAGTCATTAAACGTTTACCAGCAAACTGCTGCACTCATCTCTCACTACAGCCAGGTGTAACTCCCAGCACTATTCTGAATGTTCTCTTACATCTCTCTCACCTCCTTGCCGTTTCTTCTCCCTCCTCTCCTTTTCCCGCCCAACCTTTGCTTGCACACATCTTATTTCTTACAAACTCACCTCAGCTGTCATGTTCTTCAGGAATTGTTTCCTGGTCGTTTTCACCCTTAGCTTCCCAGAATGAGTTAGGTGTCCTTCCTATATGCCCCCACAGATGCCTTGGGGGCTAACTGCTATTCTGGTTTTCAGGTTTAGTATTGACTCGCTTTTTGTTACGGTTTTATTGTTGGCCCTCTATATCTGTAGGTCCTGCATCTACAAATTCAACCAACTCTAGATAAAAAATATACATTTTTTAAATAATAAAAAGTAACAATGAAAGAATAAAAATATAACAATTATTTACATGGCATTTGCCTTGTATTTGAAGCATTATAAATAATGTAGAGATAATTTATAGAGGAACTTCAGTATCTGTGCATTTGGGTATGGGGGGGGTGGGCAGTGTCCCGGAACCAATACCTTGGGGATACTGAGGAATGGCTGTAATACATTTAAATATATATTTAAAAAAGAATGCTTTGAAATTTATGTAAACTATAAGATATTTATGTATTCTTCTAAATCTTGCTTTCTACTCAACATTTTGTGTCTGAGATTCATCCATATTGAGACCTATAGCTACAGCACATTTATTTTCACTTCAGACTGGCATATCATTGTATGATATACCACAATTCATCCATTCTCTGCCTACAGACACTTAAGGATGTTCCCATAAGTTTGTCACTATTGAAAGCATTTAACTATTAGAAGCATGAACATTATGACGTGTATTTCCTAGTTGTCTTTTATTTATTTATTTATTTATTTATTTATTTATTTATTATTATTATACTTTAAGTTTTAGGGTACATGTGCACAATGTGCAGGTTAGTAACATATGTATACATGTGCCATGCTGGTGTGCTGCACCCATTAACTCCTCATTTAGCATTAGGTATATCTCCTAATGCTATCCCTCCCCCCTCCCCATACCCCACAACAGTCCCCAGAGTGTGATGTTCCCCTTCCTGTGTCCATGTGTCCTCATTGTTCAATTCCCACCTATGAGTGAGAACATGCGGTGTTTGGTTTTTTGTCCTTGCGATAGTTTGCTGAGAATGATGGTTTCCAGTTTCATCCATCTCCCTACAAAGGACATGAACTCATCCTTTTTTATGGCTGCATAGTATTCCATGGTGTATATGTGCCACATTTTCTTAATCCAGTCTATTGTTGTTGGACATTTAGGTTGGTTCCAAGTCTTTGCTATTGTGAATAGTGCCGCTACAAACATACATGTGCATGTGTCTTTATAGCAGCATCATTTATAATCCTTTGGGTTTATACCCAGGAATGGGATGGCTGGGTCAAATGGTATTTCTAGTTCTAGATCCCTGAGGAATCGCCACACTGTCTTCCACAATGGTTGAACTAGTTTACAGTCCCACCAACAGTGTAAAAGTGTTCCTATTTCTCCACATCTTCTCCAGCACCTGTTGTTTCCTGACTTTTTAATGATCACCATTCTAACTGGTGTGAGATGGTATCTCATTGTGGTTTTGATTTGCATTTCTCTGATGGCCAGTGATGATGAACATTTTTTCATGTGTTTTTTGGCTGCATAAATGTCTTCTTTTGAGAAGTGTCTGTTCATATCCTTCACCCACTTCTTGATGGGGTTGTTTGTTTTTTTCTTGTAAATTTGTCTGAGTTCATTGTAGATTCTGGATATTAGCCGTTTGTCAGATGAGTAGGTTTCTCCCATTTTGTAGGTTGCCTGTTCACTCTGATGGTAGTATCTTTTGCTGTGCAGAAGCTCTTTAGTTTAATTAGATCCCATTTGTCAATTTTGTCTTTTGTTGCCATTGTTTTTGGTGTTTTAGACACAAAGTCCTTGCCCATGCCTATATCCTGAATGGTATTGCCTACGTTTTCTTCTAGGGTTTTTATGGTTTCAGGTCTAACATGTAAGTCTTTAATCCATCTTGATTTAATTTTTGTGTAAGGTGTAAGGAAGGGATCCAGTTTCAGCTTTCTACATATGGCTAGCCAGTTTTCCCAGCACCATTTATTAAATAGGGAATCCTTTCCCCATTGCTTGTTTTTGTCAGGTTTGTCAAAGATCAGATAGTTGTAGATATGCGGCATTATTTCTGAGGGCTCTGTTCTGTTCCATTGATCTATATCTCTGTTTTGGTACCAGTACCCTGCTGTTTTGGTTACTGTAGCCTTGTAGTATAGTTTGAAGTCAGGTAGCGTGATGCCTCCAGCTTTGTTCTTTTGGCTGAGGATTCACTTGGCAATGCGGGCTCTTTTTTGGTTCCATATGAACTTTAAAGTAGTTTTTTCCAATTCTGTGAAGAAAGTCATTGGTAGCTTGATGGGGATGGCATTGAATCTATAAATTACCTTGGGCAGTATGGCCATTTTCACGATATTGATCTTCCTATCCGTGAGCATGGAATGTTCTTCCATTTGTTTATATCCTTTTATTTCATTGAGCAGTGGTTTGTAGTTCTCCTTGAAGAGGTCCTTCACGTCCCTTGTAAGTTGGATTCCTAGGTATGTTATTCTCTTTGAAGCAATTGTGAATGGGAGTTCACTCATGATTTGGCTCTCTGTTTGTCTGTTATTGGTGTATACGAATGCTTGTGATATTTGCACATTGATTTTGTATCCTGAGACTTTGCTGAAGTTGCTTATCAGCTTGAGGAGATTTTGGGCTGAGACGATGGAGTTTTCTAGATACACAGTCATGTCATCTGCAAACAGGGACAATTTGACTTCCTCATTTCCTAACTGAATACTTTTATTTCCTTCTTCTGCCTGATTTCCCTGGCCAGAACTTCCAACACTATGTTGAACAGGAGTGGTGAGAGAGGGCCTCCCTGTCTTGTGCCAGTTTTCAAAGGGAATGCTTCCAGTTTTTGCCCATTCAGTATGATATTGGCTGTGGGTTTGTCATAGATAGCTCTTGTTATTTTTGAAATACGTCCCATCAATACCTAATTTATTGAAAGTTTTTAGCATGAAGGGTTGTTGAATTTTGTCAAGGCCTTTTCTGCATCTATTGAGATAATCATGTGGTTTTTGTCTTTGGTTCTGTTTATATGCTGGATTATGTTTATTGATTTGAATATGTTGAACCAGCCTTGCATTCCAGGGATGAAGCCCACTTGATCATGGTGGATAAGCTTTTTGATGTGCTGCTGGATTCGATTTGCCAGTATTTTACTGAGGATTTTTGCATCGATGTTCATCAAAGATATTGGTCTAAAATTCTCTTTTTTTGTTGTGCCCTGCCCGGCTTTGGTATCAGGATGATGCTGGCCTCATAAAATGAGTTAGGGAGGATTCCCCCTTTTTCTGTTGATTGGAATAGTTTCAGAAAGAATGGTACCAGCTCCTCTTTGTACCTCTGGTAGAATTCGGCTGTGAATCCATCTGGTCCTGGACTTTGGTTGGTAAGCTATTAATTATTGCCTCAATTTCAGACCCTGTTATTGGTCTATTCAGAGATTCAACTTCTTCCTGGTTTAGTCTTGGGAGGATGTGTGTGTCGAGGAATTTATCCATTTCTTCTAGATTTTCTAGTTTATTTGCGTAGAGGTGTTTATAGTATTCTCTGATGGTAGTTTTTATTTCTGTGGGTTCAGTGGTGATATCCCCTTTATCATTGTTTATTGGGTCTATTTGATTCTTCTCTCTTTTCTTTATTAGTCTTGTTAGTGGTCTATCAATTTTGTTGATCTTTTCAAAAAACCAGTTCCTGGATTCATTAATCTTTTGAAGGGTTTTTTGTGTCTCTATTTCCTTCAGTTCTGCTCTGATCTTAGTTATTTCTTGCCTTCTGCTAGCTTTTGAATGTGTTTGCTCTTGCTTTTCTAGCTCTTTTAATTGTGATGTTAGGGTGTCAATTTTGGATCTTTCCTGCTTTCTTTTGTGGGCATTTAGTGCTATAAATTTCCCTCTACACACTGCTTTGAATGAGTCCCAGAGATTCTGGTATGTTGTGTCTTTGTTCTCGTTGGCTTCAAAGAACATCTTTATTTCTGCCTTCATTTCATTATTTACCCAGTAGTCATTCAGGAGCAGGTTGTTCAGTTTCCATGTAGTTGAGCGGTTTTGAGTGAGATTCTTAATCCTGATTTCTAGTTTCATTGCACTGTGGTCTGAGAGATAGTTTGTTATAATTTCTGTTCTTTTACATTTTGAGGAGTGCTTTACTTCCAGCTATGTGGTCAGTTGTGGAGTAGGTGTGGTGTGGTGCTGAAAAGAATGTATATTCTGTTGATTTGGGGTGGAGAGTTCTGTAGATGTCTATTAGGTCCCTTGGTGCAGAGCTGTGTTCAATTCCTGGGTATCCTTGTTAACTTTCTGTCTCATTGATCTGTCTAATGTTGACAGTGAGGTGTTAAAGTCTCCCATTATTATTGTGTGGGAGTCTAAGTCTCTTTGTAGGTCACTAAGGACTTGCTTTATGAATCTGGGTGCTCCTGTATTGGGTGCATATATATTTAGGATAGTTAGCTCTTCTTGTAGAATTGATCCCTTTACCATTATGTAATGGCCTTCTTTGTCTCTTTTGATCTTTGTTGGTTTAAAGTCTGTTTTATCGGAGACTAGGATTGCAGCCCCTGACTTTTTTTGTTTTCCATTTGCTTGGTAGATCTTCCTCCATCCTTTTATGTTTAGCCTATGTGTGTCTCCGCACATGAGATGGGTTTCCTGAATACAGCACACTGATGGGTCTTGACTCTTTATCCAATTTGCCAGTCTGTGTCTTTTAATTGGAGCATTTAGTCCATTTACATTTAAAGTTAATATTGTTATGTGTGAATTTGATCCTGTCATTATGATGTTAGCTGGTTATTTTGCTCATTAGTTGATGCAGTTTCTTCCTAGCCTTGGTGGTCTTTACAATTTGGCATGATTTTGCTGTGGCTGGTACCGGTTGTTCCTTTCCATGTTTAGCGCTTCCTTCAGGAGCTCTTTTAGGGCAGGCCTGGTGGTGAGACAATCTCTCAGCATTTGCTTGTCTGTAAAGTATTTTATTTCTCCTTCACTTATGAAGCTTAGTTTGGCTGGATATGAAATTCTGGTTTGAAAATTCTTTTCTTTAAGAATGTTGAATATTGGCCCCCACTCTCTTCTGGCTTGTAGGGTTTCTGTCGAGAGATCCGCTGTTAGTCTGATGGGCTTCCCTTTGTGGGTAACCCGACCTTTCTCTCTGGCTGCCCTCAACATTTTTTCCTTCATTTCAACTTTGGTGAATCTGACAATTATGTGTCTTGGAGTTGCTTTTCTCGAGGAGTATCTTTGTGGTGTTCTCTGTATTTCCTGAATCTGAATGCTGACCTGCCTTGCTAGATTGGAGAAGTTCTCCTGGATAATATCCTGCAGAGTGTTTTCCAACTTGATTCCATTCTCCCCGTCACTTTCAGGTACACCAATCAGACGTAGATTTGGTCTTTTCACATAGTCCCATATTTCTTGGAGGCTTTGTTCATTTCTTTTTATTCTTTTTTCTCTAAACGTCTCTTCTCACTTCATTTCATTCATTTCATCTTCCATCACTGATACCCTTTCTTCCAGTTGATAGCATCAGCTACTGAGGCTTCTGCATTCATCACATAGCTCTCATGCCTTGGTTTTCAGCTCCATCAGGTCCTTTAAGGACTTCTCTGCATTCGTTATTCTAGTTATCCATTCATCTAATTTTTTTTCAAAGCTTTTAACTTCTTTGCCATTGGTTCAAATTTCCTCCTGTAGCTCGGAGTAGTTTGATCTTCTGAAGCCTTCTTCTCTCAACTCGTCAAAGTCATTCTCCATCCAGCTTTGTTCCATTGCTGGTGAGAAACTGCATTCCTTTGGAGGAGGAGAGGCGCTCTGATTTTTAGAGTTACCAGTTTTTCTGCTCTGTTTTTTTCCCATCTTTGTGGTTTTATCTACCTTTGGTCTTTGATGATGGTGACGTACAGATTGGTTTTTGGTGTGGATGTCCTTTCTGTTCGTTAGTTTTCCTTCTAACAGACAGGACTTTCAGCTGCAGGTTTGTTGGAGTTTGCTAGAGGTCCACTCCAGATGCTGTTTGCCTGGGTATCAGCAGTGGTGGCTGCAGAACAGCAGATATTGGTGAACTGCAGATGCTGCTGTCTGATCATTCTTCTGGAAGTTTTGTCTCAGAGGAGTACCCAGCTGTGTGAGGTGTCAGTCTGCCCCTACTGGGGGGTGCCTCCCTGTTAGGCTACTTGGGAATCAGGGATCCACTTGAGGCAGTCTGCCCGTTCTCAGATCTCAAGCTGCGTGCTGGGAGAACCACTACTCTCTTCAAAGCTGTTAGAGAGGCACATTTAAGTCTGCAGAGGTTACTGCTGTGTTTTTGTTTGTCTGTGCCCTGCCCCCAGAGGTGGAACCTACAGAGGCAGGCCGGTCTCCTTGAGCTGTGGTGGGGTCCACCCAGTTCGAGCTTCCCGGCTGCTTTGTTTACCTAATCAAACAACTAACTTGGCAATGGCAGGTGCCCCTCCCCCAGCCTCGCTGCTGCCTTGCAGTTTGATCTCAGACTGCTGTGCTGGCAATGAGCGAGACTCTGTGGGTGTAGGACCCTCCAAGCCATGTGCAGGATATAATCTCCTGGTGTGCCATTTTTTAAGGCTGTTGGAAAAGTGCCGTATTAGGGTCGGAGTGACCCGATTTTCTAGGTGCTATCTGTCACTGCTTTCTTTGACTAGTAAAGGGAATTCCCTGACCCCTTGCACTTCCCGAGTGAGGCGATGCATGGCCCTGCTTCAGCTCGTGCACGGTGCACTGCACCCACTGTCCTGCACCTACTGTCTGTCACTCCCTAGTTAGATGAACTCGGTACCTTAGTTGGAAATGCAGAAATCACCCATCTTCTGCGCCGCTCATGCTGGGAGCTGTAGACTGGAGCTGTTCCTATTTGGCCATCTTGGCTCCTCCCCTAAAAGTTTTAAAAAGCTTTGCTTTTCCCCTTAAAGTCAAATCTAATTTTGGATGACAAATTCTTTCCCCAGTTCCATTGATAATATTGTCTATTCGTTCCACCCTGATTCATCATGCATCATGTTTCAATATATGCGTGGATCTACTTCAGGACTCTATTCTGGTGCACTGGTTTTATCTATATCTGTGCTAATACCATGTTATCTTAATCCTAATAATTTTTTTGAAAATCATGATATCTAGAAAGGAGAGTTTCCCTGCCTTATTCTTTTTCTGGAGTGTCTCAGTTATTTTGGACCATTTTTTATTCTATGTCCGTTTAAAATAAACTTGTCAAGTTTAATAAAATACCTGGTTGACAACTGATAGGGCTTGCATTTAATCTTTATCATAATTTTAGGAAAAGTGACATCTTTACATTATTGAATCTTCCTCTACATGGATATAAACCTCCGTTCTCTCCCCACTGCCCCTCCTCTCTGTTTCTTTATCTCTCTCATTTAGGCTTTCACTAATGTCTTCTAATAAACTTTAATAATTTTCCCCATTAAGAACTTGTAAATTTTGTTGGATTTCCACCAAGAAATATTATATCATTGTGGCTACTATAAGTAATATCTTTTTAATTTTATATTTTTAACTATTTGTGTGTGCATGTCAGCATGTGGGTTGTATTAGATCAGATAGTGATAGCTGCTCAAACAAAAAAACACCAAAGCAGTATAAGGCCTCAAATTCATTTCCTGCTCACATGACAGTATTTGGCAGGTGATCAGGATGGAAAAAGGCACTCCTTCATCCATTTCCTGGGACTCATGCTCAGTGAGATTCTGTTATCTTTGAAACATAGTTTTCCAAGTTGCCCTGAGGGATTGAATCCATTGCATCTTGACTAAGGGAAAACAGTTTGGAGGACACTGCTTCAGGCATGATAGGTCTTGGGTGCACATAGTGTTCACCGCTTCTGTTTTATCGCAGTGGACAGCACTTGGACACTGGGCCATGTTAACTGCTTGTAATAGTCCATTTTCACACTGCTGATAAAGACATACCTGAGACTGGGCAATTTATTAAAGAAAGAGGTTTAATGGACTTACAGTTCCACATGGCTGGGGTTGCCTCACAATCATGGTGGAAGTCAAGGAGGAGTAAGTCATGTCTCACATGGATGGCAACGGGCAAAGAGAGCTTGTGCAGGCAAACTCCCCTTTTTAAAACCATCAAATCTCAAGAGACTCATTCACTATCATGAGAACAGTGCAGGAAAGACCCGCCTTCCCATAATTCAATCACCTCCCGCCAGGTTTCTCCCACGACATGCAGGAATTGTGAGAGTTACAATTCAAGATGAGATTTGGGTGGGGAAACAGCCAAAACATATCACTGCTGAATGAGGGCAGGGTCAGAAATGCAGTTGAGGCCTGGAAAGCCAAATTCCAGAGATAACTCTGCATCCATGAAGTGAGGACATGCAATTCTGGTGGACAGCTACCTGTCCTTGACAAAGTCTACCCCACTGGCTTCCAAATATACTGTTGCACTTTGTGCCCACATATAGACCACTCTCCTCCTCATAAGCCTAAAATGGTTACCCCATCCAGCTCAAAGCCTACAATATCTGGGTGTTGTACTGTGCCATATGTTAGGTTTAAAGAGGCTTCATGTCCAGCAACTCAGGATCTAAAAGACAATGCCTGTCTTGAGAGGGACGCTGGGGTGCTCCATTTGGACCTCCATTCCTGATTCTAGAATGTGCTACCCCCAGCACTAGGTGTGCTGATCTCTGACAGGTATTAGCTGCCTTCTCCAACATCATGATGCCCTCTCAGGTCTAGTGACTGTTCACTGTGGGACAAAAAGACCCAGTTTTGTCAATCCACCTCAGGATAGTACTAAAGGCACATTCCATCTTTATGTTTGGAGCTCTCCATGGGGTAGCTGAAACTTGCACTGAGGCTGTATCACAGACCTACTTCTCCATCTTCTTAGTCCTATTTTTTTGGCTTCTCTTCACAGATGTTCACAAGAACATTCTCTTGCAAACCCCCTGCTATTAATCTCTGTGATACAGTTTGCTTCTTGCTTCCTGTGACATTACCAAATAGCAGAATCAGGATTTAATTAAAGAACTTGTTCTACTGTTAGATAAGGGACCTCAGAAGGCTTGTTCTGATAGTTACTTCATTGCCACAGATTAATGTCTCTGGCGTATTTCTCATTCTTCCCTCTTCTAGATGGACCTGTTCACTGCTATTATCCACTTCCCATTGTACCATTGTTTTCTGGGCTGTCTTTGATAGAGGTGGGTGAGGGTGTGACCATAAAGCATTAGCAGGAGGAAATTTCTGTGGGGTAAAGAAATTTCTGTCCTATTTTCTCGTTATGGTGGTAGTTACATGAATGTATCCATGTGATAATATTTCATAAACCCTAAATTAATTAAAAGAAAGATTATGTAAAAATTTGTGAAATCTTAATAAGGTCTATTGTTTAGTTAATAGCATTATGTCAAATATACTTCCTTGTTTTGATCATTTTATTATAGTTACATAAAATGTTATTTGCAGAAGCTGGGTGAAGGGTACACAGGAGCTCTTGGGGATATTTTTTGAAACCTATACATGAGACTGGAATTATTTCAGAATCAAACTTTTTTTAAATCTTATTCATTGTTTTTAAACTTAGGTTCATGGTGGACGTTACTTAAATAATGAGGGAGAAAACCATCTATTTCCACACTCTTGGTTTGTATAAAAGGAGCCTGAGACTGATGGAATGAAAGAGGCTACTGACTTCATTTCTCTCAGTCAGTTGCCACCAGGGGATATTTACTACATGTAAAGCATTACACTACACTTCACTTCTAGTTCTTGAGCAGCTGGGACTGTTAAGCCTCCCATAGACTAGATTTTCTATTTCTGAACTTCCCAGAGATTACAGATTTGGGGACACTGACAAATGGAAGATAGCTATAGGAGAGACCAGTGCTGCTCCCAAAGAGCTTATAGTTTCATCTGGGAAGCAGAAGAGGCCAAATGAAAGGATTTGGCCCTCCCAGGTATCACATGAAATAACTGTAAATGAGTAGATAAGTAAATAAGCAAAAAGGCAGTGAAAGTGGTGAGGAGGAAATATGAGGAAAGGACAGAATTCTAACCAAATTAATTCTAACACTTCAATGAGGCCGGTTTAGTTTTGTGGTAGAATAAGAAATGGTTGAAAATTCTTTGATATTCTTCCCATTGAGGGGTTGGGTCTCTTTCCTGTCCCCTTGATCCGGGTTGGTTTGTGACTTCTTTGACCAGGGAGATACAGTGGAAATGGTGTTATGCTCTTTCTAGGCTAGTCTTTAAGATGACTGGGCAGTTTCTTGCTCTTTTGAAACCAAAAATCTCCTTATTACAAGTTCAAATATTCTGTGGAACAGACTACATGCGAAGTAGAGGCGTCGAGTAGAGCCCAGCTTTCAGATGCCCTGCCGAGGTGTCACAGATATGGCAGAAGCTGCTTTCGACTCTCAAGATAGTCCAGCTACCAGCTGGGGACTACCTAGTGACCCAGTCAACAACTGAGGCCAGGAGAAATGCCCTGCTGAGTTCTTCCTAAACTCCTGACTCATGAAAGTGTGAGATGGTTTTGATCAGGAAATAAAAGACATGAAATAAATGATTTATTGCAGAGATTAGGTGTTATAATACTCTAAGAAACCTGGGGAAGCATAAGTCTGGAAGGGATGATTGGATGATCAGAGAAACTAATCAGGGACCACAAAGGGAAAGAAGTCTAAGAAAAGCTCTTGCTTCTGCTACTGGAGCAGGCTGTAATCACTGCGGTTACAGGATAGGCAATGGGGAAGACAAGCTGGATGTAGGCCAGGGACATAGGAACCTGCAGGGACAAATGGAATCCACAAGGACAAACTGGAACCCACGTTAGCCTCTCCCTACATCTCGCCTTGATGATGGGGAATATTGCTGGAGGATCTGAGGCCTTTTGCTGTAGAGCTGCATATGAGCCTGGAAATAAATGAAAGGAGATTAGGTGGGAGTCAAAGGGCTGCAGGCCCAATTTTCTGCTGAGTAATGCAACAAGGTGGGTTATGAAATCAGCAGCAGTGTGTAAGAGCTTTAGAGGCTCCTCCTGGGAATAACGGCTGCTGGTACACCCAAACCTCCTAATCCTATACAGATGTCCCCTGTGGCCAATCCTAACATGAACCACACAGAGAAGGGAGCTCCGAGAAGTGTAGTTCCAGCTTAGCTAAACCACAAACACCAGTTTCATATGTGAGTAATCTACTTACTATTTAGAGGCTTTAATGATGATCAGAATCAGGCTTTATGGACTTTTTGGAGGGATTGAATGACTTGGGAACACCAGAGCCTCATGTGTTTTAAGATTTAATAAACGTGAAATCAAGAGAAGCAAAGTGAATGGGTTGCTCATGGATGTTTTAATAAGCCAGAAGTATAAACAGGAATGAAAACTGAGATCCTTGGCTTTGCTTCCAGCTCCTTTCTTGACAGCAAGTTGAGGAAATTTTAAATTCATTCATCTCACTTTGTGTCTTCCTTCAGAAGCTCAGAGTTATGTAAATGGCTTCCTTTTGTGAGAGGAAGGCTTGTTGCATTAGCTATTTCCTCCTGTCAGGATTGAAAGTCACATCATTAGCAGATAACATCATTTTCATTTCTCCTCAGGGGACCTGATGGGTTGGAACTTTAGCAGAAACAGTCAGTGGAGACCATAACCTGCGATTTGGGTTAAATGTGACATAATACCTTAAGTACTCAACCCCTTCACACCAAAGCAGCTTTATCAAAGATACAAGGTTGTTCATGGCTTTCTAGGATTTAGTGTGATCTCAGAATCTTGAACACTTCACACTTCCTTTGAGGGAAAACGAGCTTTTCTCTCTTGTTGTTTTCATGTCTAATGAATGTGTTTTTCTTGGGAGGCTTTGATGGCAGGTTATTTCTCACCCAGAGCTACACTTTAATGTGTTATCTGTGGAGTGCAACTAGTAGAGCTTTACAGTGCTATTAAGTTAGGTAGGCCTGGGAGCTACTGCAGCAAAGGAAGGCTGAAATCTTTTCATTTTATTATTAAAGAGTCCCCATTGGAAAGGGAAATGGGGAATAAGCTTTACTTGGTCTACGGTCTTATGAGGGAAGGAGAGAAGAAGGTTTCCTGTTTGCATTCTGCCATTACGGGATTTTAAATAATATACTATACAAAGGTGATTACAGTTAATTTTAGGCTTTATGAGAACTTAGCTACCAGGGTTCAGTCTCTCTAGAGAGGCTGGGTTGCAGAGAGAACAAGAAAAATTGCTGGTTTCAGAATGAGGGAAAAATAACAACATAAAGAAACCTCCCCATTTTGTTCTTAATGCTTTGGGAGTGGACTCCAACCAGTGGGATGGCCAAAACAGATTTTCAGTTTGAAGGATTTCTGAGCTCCTACAGGTTAAGGAGCACCTAGACTAACAGCACTATTGGGAATTCAATTTAGAGTTTTATGTAAGGCAATATCCACTTCTCATGGGTATAAATATTTTTTATCTACACATAGGGGTTGGCTCTTGGGATTAAAACAAAGTCACCTATTGGGTAATTTCTTCTCAATTTTTTTATACAAGCTAAAACAACAGTGAAGTCCAATCTAGCCTGTGATAATAATGATGATGATTAACACCTTCACTTTTTTTAAGTTCAGTATAGCTTATTCTTGAGCACAAACATAAACTGACTTGAATTTATGCACAGAAGCATAATAAATACTAAGAGAAATGCTACTCTGCATTAATGAATGCATTGCATTATAGTTGGCTAGTAGTGGTCTCTCAGCAATAGAGATGTTACTAAATGTCATTATTTTTGGATTTAGCTTTTGTGACCTTTAGAGGCTAGCTAAACACCGAGGAAGAGAGGAAGACATATCTTATTGTGCAGACAATGTACACTGTAAGACAGGTGGCAAAAAGCTATTGGTTTCATCACATAAATCTCCCTGCCTCAGAGAGATTGAAAAAATCTTAGTGATTCATGGGCACACACTTTAATTTACTATTTTTTCCTGGGTGCCACTGAGGAATAACAGGAGGGAGAAACCTTATTACAAGGAGCACTACTCTTTTATTGGAAAAAGGGATGAGAAGGTAGGATTCAAGAGTTGCTTATCATCATGCATTTGCTTGCTATCAAAAAGACTGAGTAAAATTTCTTTGCAAAATTGAGAAGTCTTGCAGCTCCATTAATTTTCTTTTGAACTGCACACAAATGCCAAGGCACTAGTCTGGTTAAGTTCTCTGTCATGTTGGGATAACTAAAGAGAATTATTTTCCCAAGCGTATCTTTTTACGTGTGCCCATTTTTTTGGTCTCTCTTGAAGTAATGTGTGATAGATGAAGTAGTGTTGAAAATATAGTGAGTGACAAAATACACAGAGATGTATTGTGTACTCTTGTTTCTCACTGGGATTTGTCATGCTTTTTGGGGGAGAAGGTTCAAAATATAAAAACCAGGTAGAAAAGAACAACCTCTTTTGTCTGTGATCTCTTACTTGTTTGTGATGTGCTAAAAGAGGCCTAAAGCATCCAGACTGTGGTTTTGCTTCTGATAATGATATATGGGCCCATTTCCCAGCACTGTGGTGGAGTCTTTTTTATTATTATTATTTCCAGTTATCTTCGGGATGCAACAGTTACTAAAACACATCTCTGGCAGACACCAAACCCAAAGCATAGATGCTTTAACATCTCATTTAACACTGAGGCAGCAATATCAGAGACATGAAGCCACAGGAAGTCCCTCAGAAAGTGATTTGTTGGTGTTCACAGTACCACTAGAAGTCCTCACACCTGCCAGTAATAGGTGTCCTTGGCACTGTTTTGCAGAACATAAATCTCCTTTCCCAAGGCCCTTCCTAAACAGAGGCTCTCTTGAGGTGACACTCTAACACTGGCACAAACTCTCCAATGAACCCAGAATCTCAAGAGCACGAATCATGCCGGCAAACAACATTTAATATATAAATCAAATAGCACCCTCATTATCTCCAAGGACCTTGAAGCTAGCACTGGAAATTAAGTTGAGTTTCAGGTTGCCTTTGTTCTGCTTTGAGAGAAACAGCAGATAATTGGGAATCTTTTCAGGGACACCAATAATACTGTAGTTTGGGAATGCAACCCTTAGTGAAACTAGTGATTCATACTTCTTGAAAATAATAATGATGATTAAAACAAAAGGGGAGTGTTTTTTCTTTTCTCAATAATATTTACAATTTAACAGGTAAATCACATCAACTGAACTGATATCATGAAGGAAGTTCTCTCATATGCTCTTTGCTCCTGGCATAGCAGGAAGAACATTCTAGATTAAATCCCTATCCTTCAGAGGCTGATAGACTCAAGATAGCTTACTGCAGGTATAATCTGATACATGTTATATTGGAACACTTGCCATTTTTTTTCAATTACATGTCTTTGAATATTCTTAAATTGTTCTAAACCCATTGGCATTGTTTTGTGTGACAGGAGAGTATATTAAAATATTAATTTTTGTTTGTTTTTCCCATTTTTTTTCCCAGCAGTTAGACAGCTCCTTATTTTTTTCATGCTTCAAGGTGTTTTTGTAGGGCCAAAAGCAAAGCCACCTGATATGGTTTGTCTGTGCCCCTACCCAAATCTTGAATTGTAGCTACCATAATTCCCACATGTCATGGGAGATAATTGAATCATGAGACCATTTCTTAAATACTGTTCTCGTGGTAGTGAATAAGTCTCATGAGATCTGATGGTTTTTTAAGGGATTTCCCCTTTTGCTTGGCTCTCATTCTCTTTTGCCTGCCACCATGTAAAATGTGTCTTTTGCCTTTCACCATGATTGTGAGGCTTCCCCAGCCACGTGGAACTCTAAGTCCATTAAACCTCTTTTTATTTATAAATTACCCAGTCTTGGGTATGTCATTATCAGCAGGGTGAAACAGGCTAATACACCACCTAAAGTCTGTTTTTTCTTGCCTTTTGTATGGGCCTAAGTTCTTTGAAGGAATGATATTGGTGTCACTGAAAAAGGAGGTGGAAATGGGCTACTCAGGAGTAACCAGTGCACACCTTCTGGATGCTGTAGCACAAAAAATGATGTTTGCAAAACCCTGGGGGAAGAAGGAGCCACAATCATGTCTGTAATTAAACTAAATATTGGATTTAAATTTATTTAAAGAGAACATAGTTAATATTTCCTATATAATAGAGTTTACAGGATGCAATAATACCCTCCCATATATTTTCTGTGTTCTGGAGATTATGTGATACGTCTTTTAATAGTTTGCATAAGTCATTCTACAAAATTGTAAGCCATAAGGGTGAGCTAATGAATAAACTACTGTTATGGTTTGAATGCATCCCCAAAAAGTTTATGTGTTGGAAACTGAATTGCCATTATAACAGTATTAAGAGGTGGGGCCTTTTAAAAGACGGCTAGGTTATGAGGACTTTGCCCTGATGAATAGATTAATGGCATTACTGAAGAGTGATTAATTATGATGGGAGTAGGATCCTGATAAAAGAATAAGTTGGACCTCATTTCTCTCTCTGTCTTGCATGCCCTCTTGCCCTTCTGCCATGTTATAACACAGTAAGAAGGTCCTCACCAGATGCCAACACCATGTTCTTGAAATTCCCAGCCTCCAAAGCCATAAGCCAAATAAATCTCTTTTTTTATAAATTACCCAGTCTGTGGTAATCTGTTATGGCAGCAGAAAATGAACTAAGAAAATTGGTATCAAGAAGTAGGACTGTTGCCATTTAAAAAAAAAACCTGAAAATGAAAGCACCTTCAGAACTAACAAGGAGTAAATGCTAGAAGAATTTGGAGGAGAAGGCTAAAAACAAAAAGCCTATATTGTGGTGAATAGAGTGTTGGGGAAAATTCTGGTGAAGGCTCAGAAGAAGGCAAATGTAGAAAAGTCTGAATCTTCTTAAGGATTACTTAGATGATTGTGACCAGAATATTAGTAGAAATACAGACAGTAATAGCCATTCTGATGAAATCTCTAATGGAAATGAGGAATAAGAAAGCCACCCATTCTATAAAGTAGCAAAGACCTTGGCTGAATTGTTTACTTGTTCTAGGACTTTGTGGAATGAAAAATGTGAGAGTGATAAACAGAATAAATATCTAAACATGAAAGCCTTTAGGCTGTTGTGTGGTTACTTTTAACTGCAAATAGTAAAACGTGAAGGAAATGGAATGACTTAAACACAGAATTTATAATTAAAAAGAAGGCAGAGGGGAAAGAATTGGAGAATTCATAGCCTGTCCATGTAAAGAGGACAAAGACAGCTTTAGGAGATCAAACCAAGGGAGTGGCAAATGACTATTTATTAAAGAGATTGCCATAGATAGAGGGAGCCAGGTGCTATTCCTCAAGACAGTGAAAGAAAGAACCCAAAGGCATTTCAAATATCTGTCTATGAGGCTGCTCCTCCTATCAAAGGCCCAGAGCTCTAGAAAGGCAAAATGATTTTGGCGGATGGCCCTGAGGTGCCCTCTACAAACTTTTCCCAGAGCTGCCTCACATCTCTGCTCCACATATTTCAGCACAGCACTCCTCAGCCACCCCAGCTGTAGCTCAAGTGGGCCCAGGTGCAATTGCACCTACTGCTCCAGAAGGTACAAGCTGTAAACCTTGGTGGCACCCACAAGGTGCTAATTCTGCAGGTGTACAACATCAAGAGTTGTGGGAATATGCTTATCTCCACCTAGATTTCAAAGGATGTGGCAGATAGCTTGAGAACCCAGGCGGAAACCTACCATAGGGCAGAACCACCATAGATTCTCCACTAGAATAATGTCTGGTGAAGCCGCAGAGTGGGAGCAGGACCACTCATGAGACTTCAGAACTGTAGAGCTACCAGCAAGTTACTCCAGCTTGGGAAGATGCAGACATGTGACTCCAACCCAAGAAAGCTAACATGTGTCCTGAGCCTAGCAAAGCCATGGGGGGCTGGGTTGTCTGAGGCATTGGGGCCCAATCCTCACTCCAGTGTATTAAGGAAGTATGACATGCAGCCAAAGGAGATTATTCTCTAGCTTTAAGACTTAATGTTTTTTTCTCTGTTGGGTTTGGAATTTAGTTGAGACAAGTTAGTCCTCTTTTCTTACCTATTTCTCCCTTTTGGAGTGGTAATGTCTAAATGGACTAAGCCTGCTACTCTTTGAAGCTGAGAGCTTCAAACCCATGATTTTGTGCCCTGCTTTGTGATGCTAGGGTTGAGACTCTATAGCCACATATATGATTTGCCCTATTGATTTCCTTTTAGGTTCTGCCCATAGGGAACTAGAAGGAGATGGAAGGCTAGAAAACAAGGAAGAGGCACTTACCTTTTGATTATCTTCCTGTTTTTGTCCGTGTTACCCTAACAACACTCCTACCTCCCAAATGTGTCAGGAAATTCTAGTAGGAGCACTTGATTTGAGTTTGTTGTCTTCCCACTTAAAAAATGAACAGGAGTTTGCCCTCTCAGATTCCAGCATCAGCTAGCCAGCCCTTATCACAGATCTGATCACTAACCACATACATCTCTTCTGCTGAGCTGAGAGACACTAGTACCTGCAGGCTGACTCTTCCTTAAAGGTCTGAGTTTCAGATCGGTGGTTCCTACCTCCAAGATTTCAAATTTTTAATATTCCACCCTTTTCCCTCTAATTTTTCAATCCCAGGCATAAAATCTATGTCCTACTACCGTTGTGATAGCCAAGCAGCTCTTTGATGCCTTTTCAGTTTTTTAATATAGTAGTTTCCCCTTTCTGTGCTTTTGCTTTCCATGGTTTCAGTTACCTATAGCTATAGTCATTCATGTTCCTAAGATATTAAATGGAAAATTCCAGAAACAAATAATTCATAAGTTTTAAGTTGTGTACCATTCTGAATAACATAATGAAATCTTGTGCTTTGTCCCATCCGGAATGTGAATCATCTGTTTGTTCAGCCTATCATTGCTGTATATCCTACTTGTCCATTGGTCACTGATATCATCTGCTCCTGACTTCCAACCATTAACATTACCATGGCTCCTTGATGATCCAGAATCACCTGAAGCAACTGATTCATCTTCTGGTGTATTGTCAGAGGTCAATAGTAGCCTAATGTTCTATCACAGTGCCGACATCATTCACCTTAACTTTATCTCATCATTTAGGAATTGTATTATCTCACATCATCCAAAAAGGGTGAGTACAGTACAATAAGATATTTAGAGAGACATCATTCATGTAACTTTTATTACAGTATATTGTTATAATTTTTCCATTTTATTATTGTTATCAATATCTTACTGTGTCTAATTTATAAATTAAACTTTATCACAGGTATTTACATATGGGGAAAACATAGTATATGTAGTGTTTGGTACTCTCTGTGGTTTTGGGAATCCACTGGGGATCTTAAAATGTATTCCCCACTTGTAAGGGAGAACTATCATAGCTAGTTAATTGTTCTGTACATTCTGTATGTAACATTTTCCCTGTTAATGTAACTCATATTTTTTCTATTTCCTGACTAGACCTTGATGGACACAAGGTAATTTTTCTTGCTTGAGCCACTTTTGCTTCTGATGCTAGAATGGCATCTTGCACTTAATATGTGCTTAGTAAATGCGTCTCAGTTTGATTTAATTTGATGCCATAATATAGCAAGAGGGTAGTCTTTAAAGCATAGTGGTAAAGACCAGGAGCTTTGGAATTTGACAGAGATGGGTTCAAATCCCAGTTCTGCAACTTAGTAGCTGTACTGCTTTAGGCAAGTCATTTAATCCTTTTAAGCTTTAATTTCCTTATCTGTAAAATGAGTATAATAAAGCGTTCACCTCATGATGTTGCAGTAAATATCAAAAGGGCCACTCTATGAAAAACTCTGAGCACCTGGTAAATGTTCCATAAGTATTAGTTATTATTATTTCCACAAAGGGGATCAAATTCAGAGGAAGAAAGAAAGTGACCTTGCAAATTATATAGCACTGAAGAAAGGTGAGAGAAAGCAAGAAATGGGGAAAGGTTAGGAAAACAAGAGAGCTGAGCGTGTGTATGGGGGCTGTTGGGGGATGGATGTTGATACAGGGAGGAAAGTGAATAAATGGTAAAGGTACCTGAACTGATTTTTAATAAAATATGTAATCATGTATTGAACGGTCTATAGTATAGTTCATGTTGTCCTTTGTCCATTTAGGATAAAACCATGACAAGTCACAATGATGTTTGCTTTATTCAGTTC
This sequence comes from Homo sapiens, assembly GCF_000001405.40. Lineage (NCBI taxonomy): Eukaryota > Metazoa > Chordata > Mammalia > Primates > Hominidae > Homo > Homo sapiens. The sequence goes on from NC_000005.10 coordinate 110,297,074, forward strand.
AAGATAACTGAATTTCTGAATATCAAATATTTGTTCATATTTAACTGCTTCTGTTGGAAATATTCCTTAAAAAGATTACATATTACCTTCTTTTATTCTTTCCACGGCTCTTTACTTTAGAAGAGAAATATTACTTCCTGCTTTGATAGCATGTCAAATGTTTCTTCTTATCTCTTCCTAAAAATGCTTCCTTTTTTTCTATTGAATTTAAAGGTCCATGCCCTTAAACATGGATCTTGTAACACTTCTGTCACATCCCTAAATGGTATTGTAAAAGCATAAAACTCATTTGCTCAAGCTGAGATTCAATTCTGTGGGAATGACAGAGTGCAATTTGCCTACAGGTTCGTGAACCGATAATTGGACTGAGCTCATATCATATGATCTTTTTCCTTGTATATTTTCTAGTGTTTGTATCTTATGCTAAATGCTATGTATAAATCAGTCAACACCCATAAAAAGCATGCTGGTGAGATTGAAAACAGAACTTCAGGTCTTCAGAGGAGGTCTCCTGTGGACCAAATTACCCATAATATGTTGTCTTTGACAAATAAATCAGTAGGGATGACATTAACTTCAGCTCACCTGTAATCACTGTTCTGTTTCGAGAAAAAAGTCACTGTATTTGCCACAACATTCATATGTACACCATTTATACTGGTCACCATGAATGTTGTACAGATTTACTTGACCCTATACTGAGTGGTTCCAGGAGACTATGATTTATAAAGACAAGGTAGAATTGTGAGAAAAGACATAAAAATCTAAAATAAAATTCAACTCATATTTATTTGTGCAGCATATATGGATCAATGTATGTATGTACATACACATATACATATTACATATAGAAATATACATGTGTATATCACACACACACATAGATGTTTCTTTAACTTTCTCCAGTTTTTGTTTTTAAGGACTTCATGGTCTCCTTTCTCCCTATCTTCCCATTAACCATATCTCTCTGTATCCTACTGGAAAAAAAATGGACACAATTACCCTGATGGCTATGGGTTCTAAGAAATTAAAATCAAAGATGGGTCTTCCTTTTGGTTACATTCCTAGTGCCTGTATAAGTAAGGGAAGCATCAAAATGAAGTGTGTGTGTGTCTCAGAGAAGTGTGTGTGTGTGTGTGTGTGTGTGTGTGTGTGTGTGTGTGTGTGGGTGTGTGTGTGTGAGAGAGAGAGAGAAATAGAGAGAGAGAGAGAGACTGCTAGCTAACAGTCAAGGCAGAAGACTGTTAGAGGGACCAGGGCAACACGAGATGGGTATCAAGATACACAGAGCCACTAAAAATAAAAGAATAACTAAATTAGTTGGAACAAAAGGCATCTTAGTTAAATACAAGTGACAGTGTCAGTGATGTTGTGTGGTCATTTATGAGTATAGAGGGTAAATTTGTGTTAAAGGACATTAACAATTTAAAGGGCTGGGGACAGAGTAGGCAGGAATTGACATCTGCTTGTCTTAAGAAGACCCCCAAATTCCTTTTCCTTAAAGTTTTCTACTATACCCTGTTAGGCCTTAAAAATCCAGGCAAAAACATTGTTAGACTGTTGTTCACATTATAGTTAAACAGTTGTGAATCCACAAGTGGTTCGATGTGTATAATAGATTCTTGAAGATTACTATTTTATGTTCTTTCAGGAGAGTAAAGATTTTTGTGTACGTAACTGTCACATATGGAAATAATGAGTTACTGGATTTTAGTATTAAGGATGTTTATTGAGAAAGCCTGAGTTAAGAGTGTGGAGAATTAAGTTTTTTCAACACGAGTATAGTATAATTTCATAATTAATTAGAAATTGTAAATTTAAGAATCCATAAAATACTGGTAATAAGGCGTCTTATTAGAAAGAATATTTATAACCACATGAAGAAAAACTGATTTAAAATAGTAGTTTCACCTTCTAAAAATTTTATCTGGGCCAGGCACGGTGGCTTGCACTTGTAATCCCAGCACTTTGGGAGGCCGAGGGGGGTGGATCAGGAGATCAGGAGTTCAAGACCAGCCTGGCCAAGATGGTGAAACTCCGTCTCTACTAAAAATACAAAAATTAGCCAGGCGTGGTGGCTGGTGCCTGTAATCCCAGCTACTCGGGAGGCTGAGGCAGAGAATTGCTTGAACCCGGTAGGCGGAGGTTGCAGTGAGCCAAGATCACGCCACTGCACTCTAGCCTGAGTGACAGAGTGAGACTCCATCTCAAAAAAAAAAAAAAGTTATCTGTAAATTACAGTAACCAAGCAGCTAAATATTCCACTATAATTAAATAAAGTATTATAAATTCACTGTAAAGGCTCTGCACTCAGCAACGGGTTAAAGAATCAATATGTCAAATAAAAAAATCAAAAGATAAAATGGAAGGCAATAAAAAAATTTACTGCACTTACATAAAAATTATTAGAAGTGTATTTCCCAATTAAGAACTCTTTTAGTCTTTGTTCTGAATATGAACTTCTCATTCCCACTGGTTCTGCCAAAATCTCTTCTCAATAAATTATGTTTTATTTATTAATTAATTTAAAAGACATCACTGAGATGCCTATAATATGCCAGAATCATCCTAGCCATAGACAGTAGAGTGATAAACAAGACAGAAATGGTCTTTTTCCTCCTGGAACTTTCAGTGGAGTAGACATAAAATGACTGAGAAATCCAATGAATACATCATATGTTTTCAAAATAAGTTCTCAAGAAAAATGAAGTGAAAAAGAAAATGGAGAGAAAGCATATAGGAGTATATTAGATGTGGTGTTAAGGCTTCCTTGAATAGGTGGCCTTTGATTACTATTGAATGCAAAAAGTGAATCACGTAAGGATCTAGGCTTCCCAGATAGAGGTAACACCCAGTTACAGAACTTAAAACAAAAATGTGCTGTCATGTTCAATGAAGAGCAAGAAAACCTTAGACAAAGATGAAGTGAGGAAAATAGTAGAAGGTAAAGTTGGATAGATGTTTTAGTTACCTATTATTATCTATTATGTACAATTAATATCTTGAAACAGCAACCACGTTTGGTCACAATTCTGCAATATGTGCTGGGCTCAGCTAAATGATTTTCTGTTGATTGTGTGTAGACTGCAATCATCTGGTGGCTTGATTGGAGCCAATGACCTAAGATGGTCTTACTCACATATCTGATGGCTGGTCCCTGGCTCTTGGCTGCTCATGTATGCCCAGTCAGAGTTGCTTTACATAGTAGTGTCAGTATTCTAAGAGAGTAAGCCCTAATTCCCAAGCACATAACATGCTTCTGCTTGCATCACATTTGCTGATGTCCTAAACAGCAAAGAAATCTTATAGTCAGGTACAGGGTCAATGTGGGAGGAGATGTCATGAGGGTTATAATACTGCAAGGCATGATTCATTGGGAGTTACAAGTATGAAATATACCACAGAAAGCGGGAAGGAGCCAGGTGATTTTATTTTTCCTTATATTGTTATTCTTTTTATCTTTTTTCTCTTCATTTTTTTATGCTCTGGACCGAGCATAAATCTTTATAGTTTTTCCAAGAGTTTGGTTATTTGTTTACAATTTTTTCCTTTTTTATTTTTTAAACTATTGTGGGTACACTGTAGGTATTTATTTATGGAGTACATGTGATATTTTGATATAGTCATGTAATATGAAATACACACATCATGGGGAATGGGGTAGCTATCCCCTCAAGCATCTATCCTTTGAGTTATAAACAATCCAATCACACTCTTTAAGTTATTTTAAGATGTACAGTTGAGTTATTATTGACTATAGTCATCCTATTGTACTACGAAACAGTAGGTCTTATTCATTCTTTCTAACCACTTTTTGTACCGGTTAGCCATTCCCACCTACTTCACCAGCCCCTTGCTACCCTTCCCAGCCTCTGATAACCATCCTTCTACTCTCTGTGTCCACGAGTTCAAGTGTTTTGATTTTAAGATCCAACAAATAAGTGAGAACATGCAGTGCTTGTTTTTCTGTGCCTGGCTTGTTTCACTTAACATAATGATCTCCAGTTCCATCCATGCTGTTGCAAATGGCTAGATCTCATTTCTTTTTATGGCTGATTAGTACTCCATTGTGTATATGTACCATATTTTCTCTATCTATTCATCTGTTGATGGACACTTATGTTGCTTCTAAATCTTAGCTATTGTAAATAGTGCTGCAACAAACATGGGAGTGCAAATATCTCTTTGAAATACTGATTCCTTTTCTTTGGGGCATAGGCACACCAGTGGGATTGCTGGATCAGATGGTAGCTCCATTTTTAATTTGTTGAGGAACCTTCAAGCTGTTCTCTATGGTGGTTGTACTAATTTACATTCCCACCAACAGTGTATGAGAATTTGCTTTTCTCCATAGCCTTGCCAGTATTTGTTATTGCCTGTCTTTTAAATATAAGCCATTTTAACTGGGGTGAGATGATATTTCATTGCAGTTTAACTTGCATTTCTCTGATGATCAATTATGTTGACCCCTTTTTCATATGCCTGTTCATTAATTGTACACCTTCTTCTGAGAAATGTCTATTCAGATTTTTTGCCCATTTTTAATAGGATTTAGAGATTTTTCCTAGTTTTTCAGCTTCTTACATATGCTGGTTATTAATCCCTCATCATATGGATAGTTTGCAAATATTCTCTCCCATTCTGTGGGTTCTCTTCACTTTGTTGATTGTTTCCTTTGCTGTGCAGACACTTTTTAAATTGATGTGATCTTATTTTTCCATTTTTGCATTGGTTGCCTATGCTTGTTGGGTATTACTCAAGAAATCCTTGCACACTCTGATGTCCTGGAGAGTTTCCACAATGTTTTCTTCTAGTATTTTTATAGTTTGAGGTCTTAGATTTAAGTCTTTAGCCTATTTTGCTTTGATTATTGTGTATGATGAGAGATAGGAGTCTAGATGCATTCTTCTACATATGGATATCCAGTTTTCCCAGTACCATTTATTGAGGAGGTTGTTCTTGCTCAAATATATGTTCTGGGCATCTTTGTGGAAAATGGATTTACTGTAGATGTATGCAATTTTTTCTGGGTTCTCTATTCTCTTCCATTAATCTATATGTCTGTTTTTATGGTAGTACCATGCTGTTTTGGTTACTATAGCTCTATAGTATAATTTGAAGTTAGGTAACGTGATTCCTGCAGTTTTGTTCTTTTTTGCTGAGAAGAGATGTAGCTATTCTGGGTCTGTAGTGGTTTAATATAAATTTTAGGTTTTTTTTCTAATTCTGTGAAAAATTTCATTGGTATTTGATTAGGATTACATTGAATCTGTAGATTGCTTTGGGTAGTGCAGACATTTTAACAATTGATTCTTCCAATCCATAAACAGAGGTTTTTTTTTTATTTTTTTAGTGTCCTCTTCAATTTCTTTTATCAGTGTTTTATAATTTTCATTATAGAGATCTTTCACTTCCTCGATTAAGATAATTCTTACTTTTTTAATTTTATGTGTAAGATCTTGAACTATTAGAAATGGGATTATTTGGTTTATAATAGCCATTATAATGGCTATTATAAATGGGATTACTTTTTTATTGTTTTTTTCCAATTGTTCACTGTTGGCATATATATTTTTGTATGTTCAGTTTGTATCCTGCAACTTTAATAAATTTGTTTATCAGTTCTAATAGTTTTTCTCTGGACTCTTTAAATTTTTCAAAATATAATATCATATCATTTGCCAACAAGAATAATTTCACTTCTTCCTTTCCAATTTGGATGCTCTTTGTATCTTTGTCTTGTCTGATTGCTCTAGCTTGAACTCCCAGTACTATGTTTAATAATAGTGGTGAAATTGGGTACCCTTGTCATGTTGAAGATCTTAGAGAAAAGGCTTTCAGTTTATCCTCCTTCAGTATAATATTAGCTGTGGGTTTGTCATATATGGCGGTTATTACATTGAGGTATGTTGCTTCTATCTCCAATTTTTTAAGGGTTTTTAACATAAAGGGATGTTGAATTTTATCAAATGTTTTTTCAGCATCACTTGAAATGGTTTTATCATTTTACCATATAATTTTTATCGTTCATTCTACTCACATAATGTACACATTGATTGATTTGTTTATATTGAACCATCCTTGCATCCCCAGGATGAACTCCACTTAGTCATGATGTGTGACATTTGTAATGTGCTGTTGAAAATTGTTTGCTATTATTTTGTTGAGGCTTTTTGCATCAATGTTCATCAGAGATACTGGAGTATAGTTTCCTTTTTGCAATGTGTCTTTTTCTGTTTTGGTTTCACGATAATACTGGCCTTATAGAATGAGTTTAGAAGTATTCCCTCCTCCTCTATATTTTTGAATAGTTTGAGTAGGATTGGTATTAATTCTTCTTTAAATGTTTGGTAGAATTCAGCAGTGAAGCCATCAGGTCTCAAGCTTTTATTTTCTGGGAAACTTTTTATTGCAGCCTTTACCTTGTTACTTGCTGTTTGTCTGTTCAGGATTTGAATTTCTTCCTTGTTCAATTTTGGTAGACTGTATGTATCTAGGAATTTGTTAATTTCTTCTAGACTTTCCAATTTATTGGCATATAGTTGCACATAGTAGCCACTAATGATCCTTTGAATTTCTGCATTACCAGTTTTAATGTCTCATTTTTCATTTCTGATTTTATTTATTTGGATACTCTTTTTTTCCTTAGTCTGGCTAAAGGTTGTCAATTTTGTTTAACTTTAAAAAAAAAAAAAAACTTTTTGTTTCATTGATCTTTTGTATTTTTTTCACTTCATTGATTTCTACTCTGATCTTTATTATTTATTTTCCTCTATTTATTTTGGGTTTGGTTTGCTCTTGCTTTTCTAGTTCTGTAAAGTGCATTGTTAGATTGCTTATTTAAAAATTTTCCTCTTTTTTGATGTTGGCAGTTATAGCTATAAACTTCCCTATTAGCACTGCTTTTGCTGTATCTCTTTGGTTTTGGTATGTTGTCTTTACATTATCATTTGTTTCAAAAATTTTTCAATTTCCTTTTTAATTTTTTTATTGACCCACAGGTCATTAAGGAATATATTGTTTAATTTCTGTGTATTTGTATACTTTCCAAAATTCTTCTCATTAATTTCTGGTTTTATTCAATTGTGATCAGAGAAAATGCTTGATATTATTTCAATTTTTTTGAATGTTTTAAGATTTGTTTTGTGACCTAACATATAGTCTATCCTTGAGAATGATCCACGCTGAGGAAAAAATGTGTGTTCTGCAACCTTTGGATGAAATGTTCTGTAAATATCTACTAAATCCTTTTGGTCTATAGTGGAGATTAAGTCTAATGTTTCTATGTTGATTTTCTGTCTGGAAGTCATCCAGTGCTGAAAATTGGATGTTGAAGCTACCAGCTGTTAGTGTATCAGGGCCTATGTCCCTCTTTAGCTCTAACAGTCTTTTCTTTATACATCTGGATGCTCCAGTGTTGGGTGCCTATATATTTACAATTGTTACATTCTCTTTCTGAACTGACCCTTTTATCATTGTATAGTGACCTTCTTTGTCTCTTCTGAGTTTTTCTTTTGAAATCTTTTTTTTCTAATATAATGATAGTGACTCCTGTTCTTTTTTGTTTCCATTGGCACAAAATATCTTTTTCCATCCCTTTATTTTCAATCTCTGTGTGTCTTTGTAGATGACGTGTGTTTCTTGTAGGCAACAGTTCAATGCGTTTTGTTTTTTCATCCATTCGGCCAGTCTATGTCTGTTAATTGGCAAGGTTAGTTCATTTACATTCAATGTTATTGTTTATAAGTAGAAACTTACTCCTGCCATTTTGTTGTTTGTTTTCTGGTTTTTTTTTATGTTATTTTCTTCCTTTTTCCTTTCCTTCTTGTCTTCCTCTAGTGAAGGTGATTTTCTCTGAAGATATGATTTAATTTTTTGCTTTTTATTTTTTGTGTACCCATTGTATGTTTTTTTGGTTTGAGGTTATCATGAGGCTTGCAAGTACTATTTTATAACGCATTCTTTTCACCTGATAACAACTTAATAGTATTTGCATAAACAAACAATCAAGAAAACTCATAAAAACTCTATGCCTTAACTTCAACCCCCTGCTTTTTAACTTTTTGTTTTTGCTATTTATATCTTATTTTACTATGTCTTGAAAAGTTGTAGTTATTATTTTGATTGGTTTATTATTTAGTCTTTCTACATAAGATCAGTGTAGTTTACACACCATAGTTACAAGGTTATGATATTCTGTGTTTTTCTGTGTACTTCCTATTACCAGTGAGTTTTGTACCATCAGGTGATTCTTTATTATTCATTAATGTCTTCTTTCCAATTTAAGTACTCCCTTTAGCATTTCTTGTAGGACAAGTCTGATGTTGATGAAATTCCTCAGCTTCTGTTTGTATGGAAAAGTCTTTATTTCTTCTTTATGTTTGGAGGATATTTTCACTGGATATACTGCTCTAGGGTAAAGGTTTTTTTCCTTCAGGATTTTAAACATGTCATGACACTCTCTCCTGTCCTGTAAGGTTTCTATTGAAAAGTCTGCTGGCAGACATATTGAAGCTCCATTTTATGTTATTTGTTTATTTTCTGTTACTGTTTTTAGGATCTTTTTTTTAATCTTTGACTTTTGGGAATTTGATTATTAAATACCTCAAGGTAGTCTTCTTTGGATTAAATCTGCTTGATGTTCTATAATCTTGTAGTTAGATATTAATATCTTTCTCTAGGTTTTGAAAGTTTTTTGTTATTATCCCTTTGAATAACCTTTCTACCCCATCTCTTTCTCTACCTCCTCTTGAAGGTGAATAACTCTTAAATTTGCCCTTTTGAGATGAATTTCTAGATGCTGTAGGCAAGCTTCATTGTTTTTTATTCTTTTTTCTTTTGTCTTCTCTGTGTATTTTCTATATCAGCCTGTCTTCAAACTCACTAATTCTTTCTTCTACTACAGCGATTCTATTAAAGGACTCTGATGCATTCTTCTGTATGCCTATTGCACTTTTCAGCTCCAGAATTTCTGCTTGATTCTTTTTAATTATTTCAGTCATTTTGTTAAATGTATATGATAGAATTCTAAATTCCTTCTCTGTGTTATCTTGAGTTTCTTTGAATTTTCTTAATACAGCTATTTTGAATTCTCTCTCTGAAAAGTCATATATCTCTGTTTCTCCAAGATTGGTCCCTGGTGCCTTCTTTAGTTCATTTGGTGAGGTTATGTTTTCCTGGATGGCGTTGATGCTAGCAGATGTTCTTCATTATCTGGGCATTGAGGAGTTAGGTGTTTATTGTAGTCTTCACTGTCTGGGCTTATATTTAGCTGTTTTTTGGGGGGAGGCTTTTTATATATTCGAAAGGACTTAAGTGTCATGATCTAAGCTGTATCTGTTTCAGGAGCACCCCAAGCCCAGCAACACTGTGGTTCTTGCAGAGGTACTGCCTTGATAGTCTTGGACAAGATCCAGAAGAATTATCTGGATTACCAGGCAGAGATTCTTTTAATCTTCCCTTACTTTCCCCCAAACATATAGAGTCTCTCTCTCTCTCTCTCTTCTCTCTCCTCTCTCCTCTCTCCTCTCTCTCCTCTCTCTCCTCTCTCTCCTCTCTCTCTTCAGAGGCATCTAAAGCTGGGGGTGGAGTGACACAAGCACCCCTGTGGCCATAATCACTATGACTGAGCTAGATCAGACCTGAAACCAGTACAGAACAGGATCTCACCCAAGACCAGTTCCTGGCTGCTGCCTATGTTCCTGGATACTGCCTATGTTCACTCAAGGCCCTGGGGCTTTACATTCAGCAGGTGGCAAAGCCAGCCAGGCCTGTGCCCTTCCCTTCAGGGCAGTGAGGTTCCTCAGGCCATGGGTGCGTCCTGAAGCACCGTCTGGGAGTTAGGGAGTCATCAAAAACCTTAGAGGTTTACCTGGTGTTCTATTGTCATGTGGCTGAGCTAGCACTCCAACCACAAGATGCAGTGTTTTTCCACTCTTCCCTCCCCTTTCTAATGGCAGAGGAGCCTCACCCCATAGCCGCTGCCACCCTAGGCCCAAGGAGTACTGCCAGACTACTGCTACTTGTTCCCGTGAGACCCAAAGTCTCCTAAGTCAGCTTTTCATGAACACTGCCTGGCCCAGAACTTACATTTCAGGGCAATGGACTCCCCTCTGGCCCAGGGCAGGTCCAGAAATGCCATTCAAGAGTCAAGTCCTGGAATCAGGGACCCCAAGATTCCCCTTGGTACTCTAGCCCCCCTGAGGTTGTGCTGGTACCTAAGTTGCAAGACAATGTCTCCTTTACTCTTCCCTCTGCTTTTCTTAAGCAGAAGTTTTCCTCTGTAACCACCACAGCTGGTAATGTGCTGAGTCTCACCTGAAGCCAGAAAGTCTCAGAGGCTCACTCAAGGCCCTTGATGTAGTACCTGGTTATTGCTGCTGGTTATTCAGGGCCCAAAGGTTCTTCAGTTATCAGGCAATGCATGCAACCAGGAATGGGTCCTTTCTTTCAAGGCAGCAGGTTCTCTTCTGGCCCAATGTGTATCTAGAAATGTTGTCTGGGATCCAGTGCCTGGAACAAGGACCTGATGACTTTGACTGGTGCCCTATTCTGCTGTGGCTGAGCTGGTATCCTAGATGCAAGACAAAATCCTCCTCACTCTTCTCTCTCCTCTCCTCAAGGGGAAGATTTGGAGCCACAAGCTGTGCAGCCTGGGGTTAGGTGAGGAGTGATACCAGTACTCCCTTGGCTGGCCCAGTTGGTTTCTCAGTATGTTGCATGCCACCTCAGTCAGTGGACTGAGTGGGCCTAGTTTAGCCCTAGGACTCACCTAAGTGTTACAGTCCTTATGGCCTAGACTGCCTTTCAAGTTTACTTGGAGATTCAGAGTACTGTAGACCTCAGTAGCAAGATTTGCAGGCACTCACGTTTGGACCACTGGGATGGGTGATTCCCCTTTGGCTAGGGCTGGTTTAATAGCTCCCTCCATGGGTGGGCATCAGCTGAGTTTGGTCTGGGTTTCCTTTCTGCTCTAACTAGACAGCACAGAGTTCAGTGCCACACAATTGCTGTGTTCTCTCTCCCCCAGGGCCCAGAGACACTCTGCACCATGCTGCCACTGCTGGGTGTTGGAAAGGGGTGGCATCAGTGATTCAGGACTGTTTTTATGAGTGCTCAACTGATTTTTTGATACTTACGAAGTTGTTTTTTTTTTCTATGTAGATAGCTGTTAACTTGCTGTCCTTGTGATGGTGTGGGGGTGATTGGTGGATTCTATTCTGCCATCTTTCTTTTCCCTCTCTCTCCTAAGGGTTTTCTGTCATTCTAGAGCAATTAAAAATGAGGGGACTTCCAGTTCCAAAATGGCCACATAGAAGCAGGCTTGAACCGCCCCCATCAATAATCCCAGAAAACAAAAAACAAGTATACAGTGCTGAGATTAGTACTTGAAATATCCCCAAACTCAAACATAAATATAAGACAATTCCTGGGGCCACAGAGAAGTGAAAAAACATAGAGATGATTGTATGAGAACCAAAATTCCACATCCATGACACCCCTCCTTCCCATTCTGCCCAGTACCAGATGTACAGAGAATTTTGCCCCAACTCACTGCTCTCACCCTGAAAAAAGTGATATCAAGGTAGACAACAACTTTCTCACCTTCTCGAATTCCCTGGCAGAATATTTGTCCTTGTCTTAACCCATAAGAAACATCTCAGGTGCCAGAAAGGAGAAATATCCCTGAAAACAGACAGAGAAAAAGTGGGGAGGCAGAAATACCATCCCCAGTCCTGGAAACTCTGCTTTATAACTCAGCCAAAGGTATGCCAAATCAGAGTGGCTGTTTAGCAGCACCATACTGTAGGAAGTTTGTTTCATAGGTCCCCAGGAGCAACTCCCTCACCAGCCTTTTCACACTGCTGGGACATGCTATTTACAATCCTTCCCCATTTGGAAAGGTTAATGTTCAAATCATTTACCAGAGGCAAAGCAAACCTGGACTTAAGGATCTGGCTGGGGGTGGAGGCAATGACCAAGAGACAAAGGGATCTCTGTGAAAAACATATCCAATAAAAAGCAAAACAAGGAAGACAGAGAAGACTAGAATAAATTCTTTAATACAAAGACATAGACATACATGCACAAGAAACAACAGCAAACAGGAAACCATAATCTCTCCAAATGGGCAAAGCAAAAAACCAGTAACTGACCCTGTTGATATGGCTATATGTGAGCTCTCTGACCATGAATTCAAAGTAGTAGTTTTAAGGAAATTCAGTGACCTCCAAAATAACACAAAAAAGCAGTTCAGAAATTTATCAGAGAAACTCAACAAAGATATTAAAATAATGTAAAAAATCAAACAGAAATCCTCGGAACTGAGAAACACATTTGCTGTGCTGAAAAATTCACTAGAGGCTTTCATCAGCAAAGGAATCAAGCAGAGAAAAGAATCAGTAAAATTGAACACAGGCTACTTGGAAACACACAGTCAGAAGAGAGAGAGAAAAAAAGTAAAAATGAATGAAGACCTCCTGCAAGATACAGAAAATTACCTCAAAGAATTAAATCTAAGAATTATTGATGGTCAAGAGGGAATTGATTAAGAGATGGGGTAGAAAGTTTATTTAAATAAATAATAACAAAAAAATTTTCAACTTGAGAAAGATAAAAAATTCAGGTACAGCAAAGTCAGAGAACACCAAACAGATACCCAAACAAGACAATCCCAAGGTATATAATAATCATGTTCTCAAAGGTTCAGGACAAGAGAGAATCCTAAAAGCAGCATGAGAAAAGAAGCAGATAATGAAAAGGAGTTCCAGTTGGTCTGGCAACAGACTTCTCAAAGGAAGCCATACAGGCAAGGGGAAAGTGAAATGACATTTTTAAAGTGCTGAAAGAAAAATACTGTCATTCAAGAATATTGTACCCAGAAAAGTTATCCTTCAAATATGAAGGAGAGATAAAGTCTTTCCCAGACAAACAAAAGCTGAGAGAATTCACCACCATCAGACCTGTCTTACAAGAAATACTAACCGGAGTTCTTTAAGCTGAAAGAATAAAACAACTGATATGGTTTGCTCTGTATCCCCACTCAAATTTCATGTCGAGGCCGGGCGCAGTGGCTCATGTCTGTAATCCCAGCACTTTGGGAGGCCGAGGCGGGTGGATCACCTGAGGTCAGGAGCTAGAGACCAGCCTGGCCAACACTGCAAAACCCCGTCTCTACTAAAAATACAAAAATTAGCTGGGAGTGGTGGTGGGCACTTGTAATCCCAGCTACTCGGGAGGCTGAGGCGGGAGAACTGCTTCAACCCAGGAGGCGGAGGTTGCAGTGAGCTGAGATCACGCCATTGCACTCCAGTCTGGGCAACAAGACAGAAACTCTGTCTCAAAAAAAAAAAAAAAAAAATTCATGTCGAACTGTAATCCCCACATGTCTTGTCGAGGGAGGGACCTGGTGGGAGGTGATCGGATCATGGAGGTTGTTCCCCCATGCTGTCCTCATGATAGTGAGTTCTCACGAGATCTGATGGTTTAAAAGTGTGGCACTTCAACCCCTCTCCTGTGTCCTGCAACCATATGTAAGACATATCTTGCTTCCCCTTAGCCTTCTGCCGTGATTGTAATTTTCCCACGGCCTCCCCAGCCATATGGAACTATGAGTCAATTAAACCTCTTTTCTTTATAAATTACCCAGTCTCAGGTAGTTCCTTATAGAATTGTGAAAATGGACTAAGACAACACCAATGTTCGAAAATAAAATAATAAACAAAAAACATACAGAACATTTAAAGTTATAAAACCACTGGTAAAATTAAGTAACTGGACAAACCCACAATACTCTAATATTGTAATTGTGGTGTGCAATACACTCATAACTCTAGCCCCAAAGATAAATCCATCGAAACAATAATAGCTACGACAACCTATTAAGAGATAGGTAATATAAAAATATGTAAGTTGAATATAAAAGTAAAATGTGGGGGAGATGGAGTTAAAGTGTAGACTTTTTTTCATTTTCCTTTTGTTTCTATTATTTTTTATCTAAGATAAGTTGTCATCTCTTTAAAATAGCATTATATCTACAAGATGGTTTTTGCAAGCCTCATGGTAACCACAATGCAGAAACCTGTAATAGATTTGCTAAAGATAAAATGCAACAGTTTAAAACATACTTCCAGAGAAAATCACTTAGCCATTAAGGAAGAGGATAAGAAAGGAGAAAGAAAGAGATAATTTACAAAACAACCAGGAAACAAGCATAGAAATGGCAGTAGTAAGTTTTTACTTATCAGTAGTAACATTTTATATAAATGGATGCAATTTTCCAATTAAAAGGCATACAGTGGCTAAATGGATAAATAAGACCATCTATATGCTTCCTATAAGATATCCACTTTATCTGGACACACAGACTGAAAGTGAAGGACTGGAAAAAGATGTTCCATGCAACTGGAAATCAAAAAAGAGCAGGAGTTGCTATACTAATACAAGGTAAAATAGACTACAAATCTAAAATGGTACAAAGAGACAAAGAATTTCACTACATAGTAACAAAGGTGTCAATTCAGTAAGAAGACAAAACAATCATAAATATTTATGGACTAAAAATTGAGGCGTCCAAGTATAAAAAACAAACATTAAAAAGTCTGAGGGGAAAGACAGACTTCAGTATGAGAATAGCAGCGGACTTTAACACCACACTCTTAGTAATGGACAGATCATCCAGATAGCAAATAATAAGGAAACATCAGAGTTAAACTATACAATACATCTAATAGGCCTAACTGACATTTTCAGAACATTTCTCCCAACTACTGCAGAATACACATTCTTTTCATCAGCACATGGAACATTCTTCAGAAAAGATACCTTAGGCCACAAAACAAGTCTGAAGAAATTCAAAAAGTTAGAAATTATATCAGGTACCTTTTCTGACCAGGATGGAATAAAACTACAATAACAAGAGAACCTCAGAAATATCACAAACACATGGAAATTAAACATGCTCATGAATTATCAATAGATCAATGAAGAAATTAACAAAATTTTTAAAATTTATTGAAACCAGTGAAAATGAAAATACAAAATATCCAAATCTGTAAGTTCCAGTACTAAAAAGGAATTTTATAGCAATAAACATGTATATCAAAATAGTAGAAAGACTTCAAGAAATAAATCTAATGATGCACCTCAATAAACCACAAAAGCAAGAATAAACTGAACCCAAAATTAGAAGGAAAGAAATAATAAAGATCAGAGCAGAAATTAATAAAATTGAAATTTTTTTAAAGTACAGAAGATCGATGGAACAAAATTTGATTTTCAAAAAGCTAAAAAAAGTACCTTTAGCTAGATTAAGAAAAAAAAGAGAGAAGACTCAGATAAATAACATCAGAGGGAAAAATAACAACTGAGACCATAGAAATACACTAAATCATTAAAAATATTATGAACAGCTATTTGCCAAAAAATTGGAAAACTTAGAATATATGAGTAAATTCCTGGACACATATAACCTACCAAGATTGAACCATGAAGAAATCTAAAACCCCAATAAATCAATAATGAGTAATGAGATAAAAGCTATAATGAAAAGTCTCCTATGAAAAAAACAAAACAAAAAGCCCAGGACCTGATGGCTTCACTGCTACTGCTAAATTCTGCCAAATGTGTGAAAAAGAGCTAATACCAATTCTCAATCCTCAATCCTCAAACTCCTCAAAAATACAGAAGAGGAGGAAATACTTCCAAACTCATTGTACAAGCCTGGCATTACCCAGAAACCAAACCTGGACAAGGACATGGTGAGAAAAGAAAACTACTAGCCAATATCACTGATGAACATAGAGGCAAAAATCCTCAACAAAATACTAGCAAATCAAATTCAACAATGCAATATAATGATTATTCACCATGCTCAATCAGGATTCATCCTAGGGATGCAAGGATGGTTCAACATATGCAAATTGATAAAACTGATACACGACATTAACAGAACCAAGAACAAAAACATGAATACTTCAATAGATGCCAAAAAAGCATTTGATAAAATTCAACATCCCTTTATGATTAAAAACCCTCATCAAACTGGGAATAGAAGCAAGATACTTCAAAATAATAGACTATATGTGACAAACCCACGGATAACATTGCACTGAATGGGGAAAAATTGAAGACATTTCCTCTAAGATATGGAACAAAACAGGGATGCCCACTTCCAATGCTTTTATTCAACATAATCGGAAGTTCTTGTCAGAACAAGTAGGCAAGAGAAAGAAATAGTGGGTTTTCAAACTGAAAGAAAGGAGTCGAATTATTCTTGTTCTCAGATGACATAATCTTGTACTTAGAAAAAAATCAGAAAAATCTGGCAAAAAACAGAGCTTATAAATGAATTTGGTAAAGTTGCAGTAATACAAAATCAACATGCAAAAATCAGGAGCATTTATATATGGCAACAGTGAACAATGTGAAAAAGACATCAAGAAAGCAACCCATTTACAATAGCTACAATGAATATTGATTAATTAGGAGTCAATTTAACCAAAGAAGTAAAACATCTGTACAAGGAAAACTATAAAACACTGATGAAAGTAATTGAAGAGGACATCAAAATAAATACATTGCATATTAATGAACTGGAAGAATGACACTTCTATCAAAAGCAATCTACAGATTCAATGCAACTCCTATCAATGACATTTTTCACAGAAATAGGAAAAAAAAATCTAAAATTTATATAGACACCAGTAAGAGCCCAATAACCTAAGCAATCCTAATCAGGGAATTAAACTAGAGGCCTTACACTGCCTACTGTACCTACTGTAAAATTTACTACAAATCTAGAGTAAAAAGATTGATTAGCATGGTACTGGCATAAAAACAGAAACATAGACCCATGGAACAGAGTAGTGAACCCAGATATAAACATGCATTTACAGCTAACTAATCTTTGTGACAAAGGCACCAAGATCATGAAGTGGGGAAAGGACAATCTCTTAGATAAATGGTGCTGAGAAAACTGGATGACCATATGCATAAGAATGAAAATAGACTCATAACTCTCACTATACAAAAAAATCAAATCAAAATGGACTAAAGATTTAAATCAAATACCTAAAGCTATGAAACTACTAGAAGACAACTTTGGAGAAATCCTCCAGGACATTGATCTGGACAAAGATTTCTTGAATAAGATCGCAAAACAAAAAACAAACAAACAAAAAAACACCCAGCACTTTGGGAGGTCGAGGCAGGTGAATCATGAGATGAGGAGATCAAGAACATCCTGGCCAACATGGCGAAACCCCATCTCTACTAAAATACAAAAAATTAGCCAGACATGGTGGCGCATGCCTGTAGTCCCAGCTGCTTGGGAGGCTGAGGCAGAGGAATTGCTTGAAACCGGGAGGCAGAGGTTGCAGTGAGCCGAGATCATGCCACTGCACTCCAGACTGGTGACAGAGCAAGATTCTGTCTCAAAAAAAAAAAAAAAATACAGGAAACCAAAGCAAACATAGATGCATGGGATTATATCAAGCTAAAAAGCTTCTGCATAGCAAAGGAAACAACCAACAAAGTGAAAAAAAAAAACTCAGAATGGGAGAAAATGTTTGCACACTAACCCATCTGACAAGGGACTAATAACCAGAATATATAAGGAGCCCAAACAATTCAATAGCAAAAACTCAAATAATCCAATTTAAAAATGAACAAAAGAACTGAATAGGTATTTTTTCACAAAAAGACATCCAATGGCCAACATTAATATTTTAAAATGCTCAACATCACTAATCATCAGAGAAATGCAAATCAAAATCACAATGTGATATTATCTGACCACAAAGTGGCTTTTATCAAAAAGACGGGCAATAACAGATGCTGGCAAGGATTCAGAGAAAGGGGAACCCTCATACACTATTGTGGAAATGTAAATTAGTAAAATTACTAATTAGTACAACTACTATGGAGAACAATATACAGCTACCTCAAAAAACTACAAATAGAATTACCATATGATCCATAAATCTTACTGTTGGGTATATACCCCCCAAAAAGAATATATCAAAAGACATTTGCACTCCTGTATTAGTCAGTGTTCTCTAGAGGAACAGAAGTAATGGAATATATATTATATATAACTAATGGAATATATATAATATATATTCCATATAACTAATGGAATATTTTATATATATATATATATATATATATATATATGAGTTTATTAAGTATTAACTCACATGATCACAAGGTTCCATAATAGGCTGTCTGCAGGCTGAGGAGCAAGGAGAGCCAGTCCAAGTTTCAAAACTGAAGAACTTGGAGTCCAGTGTTTGAGGGCAGGAAGCATCCAGTATGGGAGAAAGATGTAGGTTGGGAGGCTAGGGCAGTCTCTCTTTTCACATTTTTCTGCTTGCTTATATTCTAGCCATGCTGGCAGCTGATTAGATGGTGCCCATCCAGATTAAGGGTGGGTCTGCCTTTCCCAGCCCACTGACTCAAATGTTAAATGTTTGACAGTACCCTCACAGACGCACCCAGGATCAATACTTTGTATCCATCAATCCAATCAAGTTGACTCTCACTATTAACCATCACAAGTCTATCCGTTGTCAACGTGAACCCTTACACATCTTCTGAGATTATACATAATCTTCGAATAAAGACAATAAGCTCATAACTGCGTCTAACATAATACAACTATCCTTCGTACAAGCAGAAATGCACCAATCCCCAACCCAAATACCATTAAATAAAGTTAACAATACTTAAACGCTGATGTGAAGCCAATAAATCTTATGTCACATGATAAAGGAGAAAGGAAATGAAATGAAGATATTTTCTTAGTACAAGCATATGAATGCACAAACATGTTTTTAACAAAAGGAGGAAATATGACAATTACAGTCCTTGTTTCTGCAGTTGACCCTGTGGTCATAGCTGGTATTAATGACTACCTTCTTCTAATATCCATCTTTCAATCCATCTTTGAATCCATATTTCAGCTAACCAAGCAAATAAACTATTAGAACCTTTTTTTTTTTTTTTTACCTCTCTGAGCTGCAACATTAAATGCAGAATCCCTACTTAGTGGTCCCAAATCAATAAATTCAGCCTAATTCATCCCTATGTTCCTTCCATCATTATCCCACACCCTTAATATCCATTCTGATGCTTGTTATTCAGATTTCTGTTTATATAAATTAGACAACTCAAGCAGTTCTTTTTGAGTGTAGCTCACCTTCTCATGGGTCACATTCTCAACCTCCCCTCTAGGGGCCCACCAGGACTTCACTGTAGTTATAGGTCTAGAAGTAAACAGGGGTGCTGGGGGTGGCTCCTGAGGAGAATCAACATTATCTTGCCTGGCAACTGCCTAAGGGGAGGCCGTCACTGTTCGGCTTCAGGCAGTGCAAGGTTTATCTCCTCAGACAAAGGTGGAAAGGCTGATGGCAGCATGGGTTGGGGAGGGAATGTTGCCACTACTGGGGATGGGGAAGCTGTTTATTCTGGCGAAAAAGTTTCATCAGAGTTTATAAGCTCGGGGTCCCCAGCCTCATCAGGGTCCTTGAATACATCCCCATTCCAAGTTGCAGGGTCCCATTCTTTTCCAATCAATGCCCTCACTTTAACAGTAGACACCTGGTAAGGCTGTGACTGAACCTTTCATTGCAGGTCAACCACTCTCATGATAAGAGCTTGTGTCTGAATTTCCACAATTTTAGCTCTTTCTCTACAGGAGATAAGATGGTGACTCATGGCAATCTTGGCAGATTTGAGGTTCAGTATCCGCTTCTGAAGCCAGGAGACAGAATCCCTGAGTTCATCATTTTCTTTCATCACTTTGTCCACTGAACTTAGGAGCAACCAACCAGCTTCATTATATTCCTTGGTTCTCCACATATGGTCAACGGTATCATATATAGAGTCACTAAACTCCTTGTCTCTCATGAGAGGTGAATCAGGAGTGTCAAATGCATTTATTTTGTATAACTCTTTAAATAGTTCATGCCAAAGATCATCAATATTCTCCATACTATTAGAATTAGAGTCCTTAGCATTTTCGGGTCTAATAATATTAAGCAGCCAACTCCAGAAACCCCAAAACCAACAAAAGAACTTCATCCTTAATATTCTGTTCCTCCAGAACTACTCCTGGTACCAAAATCTGTATTAGGGTTTACTAGAGGGACAGAATTAATAGAATATGTGTATATATAAAGGAGAGTTTATTAAGTATTAATTCACATGATCACAAAGTCCCACAGTAGTCTGTCTTCATGCTGAGGAGCAAGAAAGCCCAGTCTGAGTTTCTAAATGGAAGAACCTGGAGTCTGATACTCGAGGGCACAAAGCATCTAGCATGGGGGAAAGATGTAGGCTGGGAGGCTGGGCCAGTCTCTCTTTTCACATTTTTCTGCCTGCTTATATTGCTGCCATGCTGGCAGCTGATTAGATTGTGCCTACCTAGATTAAGGGTGGATCTGCCTTTCCCAGCCCACTGACTCAAATGTTAACTCTCCTTTGGCAACACCCTCACAGACACACCCAGGATCAATACTTTGTATCCATCAATTCAATCAAACTGACACTCAGCATTAACCATCACAACTCCCATGTTTATTGCAGCATTATTCTCAATGACCAAAATGTGGAATCACCGTAAGTGCACATCAACAGACGAATGGATAAAGAAAATGTGATATATCATGAAAAAATGCTCATCATCACTGGCCATCAGAGAAATGCAAATCAAAACCACAATGAGATACCACCTCACATCAGTTAGAATGGCGATCATTAAAAAGTCAGGAAACAACAGGTGCTGGAGAGGATGTGGAGAAATAGGAACACTTTTACACTGTTGGTGGGACTGTAAACTAGTTCGTCTACTGTGGAAGACAGTGTGGCAATTCCTCAAGGATCTAGAACTAGAAATACCATTTGACCCAGCCATCCCATTACTGGGTATATACCCAAAGTATTATAAATCATGCTGCTATAAAGACACATGTACACGTATGTTTATTGCGGCACTATTCACAATAGTAAAGACTTGGAAACAACCCAAATGTCCATCAATGATAGACTGGATTAAGAAAATGTGGCACATATACACCATGGAATACTATGCAGCCATAAAAAAGAATGAGTTCATGTCCTTTGTAGGGACATGGATGAAGCTGGAAACCATCATTCTCAGCAAACTATTGCAAGGACAGAAAACTAAACACTGCATGTTCTCCCTCATAGGTGGAAACGGAACAATGAGAACACTTGGACACAGGGTGGGGAACATCACACACTGGGGCCTATCCCGGGGTTGGGGGAGGGGGGAGGGATAGCATTAGGAGATATACCTAATGTAAATGACAAGTTAATGGGTGCAGCACACCAACGTGGCACATGTATACATATGTAACAAACCTGCACGTTGTGCACATGTACCCTAGAACTTAAAAGTATAATAAAAATAAAAAATTAAAAAAATAAATTGTGAATATCTTCACAACTTCCAAAAAAAAAGAAAATGTGATATATATACACAATGGAATATTATTCAGCCGTAAAAAATAGTGAAATCCTGTTATTTGCAGCAACGCTGATGGAACATGAGTCATTATGTTAAATGAAACAAACCAAGTAGCCTGTAATCCCAGCATTTCGTTAGGCCAAGGTAGGTGAATTGCTTTTGCCCAGAAGTTACAGACCTGCCTCAGCAACATGGCAAAACTGCATCTCTACAAAAATATACAAAAATTAGCCAGGTGCGATGGCGTGCACCTGTGGTCCCAGCTACTCAGGAGGCTGAGAAGAGGGAGGATTATTTAAGTTTGTGAGGTGGAGCCTGCAGTGAGCTGAGATAGCACCACTGCACTCCACCCTGAGTGACAGAGGGAGACTCTGTCTCAAAAAGAAAAAAAAAAAAGAAAAATATTACAGATTTTTAGTCATATGTGGGAGCTAAAAAGGTGGACCTCATGAAGACAGAGTGTAGCTTAGTGGTTGCCAGAGGCTTGGAAAGGCAGGGAATGGGGGTGATGAAGAGAATTTGATAATTGGATACAAGTATACAACTGATAGAGAAATAAGACCTGGTATTAGAACAGTAGGGGGATTATAGTTTAAAATAATTTATTGTACATTTCAAATTTGCTAGAGAAGAACTTGAATGGTTCCAGCATAGAGAAAAGACAAATATTTAAGGTAATGGATATTCCCAGTATACTTATTTGATCTTTATGAATTATATGAATGTATTAGATTATCACATATACCCTGAAGCTATGTATATCTCTTATACATCAATAAAAAGTTATTTAATTGTTCATCATAATAGTCATAGTTACAGATTTTTATATTTTTCTCCAGCGCAGGCAAAGATTAGGAGAAATAGGTATATTTCAACATCAGTGAGATGTTTAACCAATAGTAGTTACTTAAAAATAGATGTCTACTTATACAAGAAAAATAAACTTTTCCTTTAAGCCAATTTTAAAATTTCTTGAATCAAAGAGAATTCCCAACTGATATCATTTATTGAACAATTTATTTGTGATAGATATCATGCTAAAACATTATATGTATAAACATACAAACCACAGGCTCAGCTTGACAATATATTCATAGAAACATCAATCCAGTGTTCAAAACAATTAGAACATAATTTAAATAAATTATTTCCTCAAAAAAATTCAAAACAGAAGTCATGGTCATAAAACACAGTAAAAATTCTTAGAATCATGCTCCTCACTCTCCTTCTAATGTCTTTCCACTGGAGCACCTGCCCCCGAATTGTCTCTGCAGTTTTTCTCTCTCTACATGAAAGTCCTCAGAACTCTCTTATAACTTCAGCCATGTCATCCCTTTTGTCTGTTATTTCCAATTTAATTTCAACTCACTCCCTAGTTTTTATCTTCATGTGTTATCTTGAATAAACACAGAGGCTATGACAAAGTCAAAAATTCACTGTGGTGGGCATTACTAATGTTTACTAATATATGTTTCTCCTCTATTTCCAAGTACGTACAATATTACTGCCCAGCTCCTGAACTTAGGTGTGGCCATGTGACTGCCGTGACCACTATAGTGAAAACAAAAGAAACATGCATTAATTTTGGGTGGAAATATCAACCATGGGTGCTTGACTCTCTAGCATTCTGTTTTCCTGCTAGCATGTTGTGAAAGCATGTGTTGATATAGAGGTGCCATAAGATCCAGAGAGCAGAAAATGCTGAGCCAACAGTGGAGGACAGCTCCTCAGAGAGTTGTCTGCACACAGCTTAGCTGAAGATGGTGGAGGTTGTTTGTTATCACAGAAAACCTAACCTGTTTTTACTTATACATTTATCCCTGGTGGGTAAGGGAAGGGAAGGGGCTCTAAATATTTATATGTTAACATTCTTCACACTTGCATCTTCTCATTGAATTATTAAAGCAAACCTACAAATTTACCACATTTACATCTGTTTTGTAGATAAGGATACAATAGCTCAGGGAAGTGAAGTTGTACCAGGGCAGTAGCTTCTAAAATGACAGAGCTGGGGCTTACACCCAGGTCAGAACTCATGCTCCTAGACTTTACACTCTGTTACCTCCAATAGTATTTGTTCATTTGCCAAAGGAAGCACTAAACACTTTTCTAATTGACATCGCAGTCCTCACACATCTGATGAGTACCAGTTGTGTTCACAGCCTCATCCCAGATGGTTACATAATCATAATAAATTTAATGATAGAAGAGGTGCTTTTTTGATTTCATAGAACTTTTATTATCTTCTGGTTACAATGATGTGAGAAAACTGAATAAAAACAAAAGCAATTAGCCTATACTTGATAATATTTTAGACTTAAAAAATTGTTAAAAGTAGATCTCATTTTAAATGTGCTTACTACAATATAAAAAATAATGTTTATTACACTTATTTATAACATATAATTATTTCCAAAGATGATGCTGAGAGGCTACCCAATTTATGAGTTAAACATATCATAGTGGTGGTAGACACATAACTAATCAATGAAAGGCATAGTTAACCAAATATAAGCAGAATGAGATTGGGTCATTTGGAATGTGGTGCCTTCAAATAACCTGTTTCATTTCAATTCCCCATTCTAGTTGACTGATTCAGTAGAAATTTTCAGTTTCTTTGGACAACTTACTCCAATGGTCCATTCTACTGACCTTTCTCTCAGCTGCTTTTAGAAGTCACAAGTTTCTTTCAAACTACTCCAAGTCTTGCAGTAACCACACTTCACAAAGCTTTATGAATCATCAAGTTCTTGTCTCTGAAACAAAAGTCTAGTTACATTCATCGTGAATGCCTTTCTTTAGCTGGGTAAAATTGAAACTTTCTGTTTTTATCTCTTCAAGCATCTACCAGGTTATTTAGAGGCCACAGAGAAATCAACAGAAATGCTTGCTGCTCTATACTTTTGTGGCTCCAGTTACTGCAGTTAGTGAAAAGGATGCATTTGCCTGATACGCTACCTATTTTTAAGTTTTACCTATGCCTTCCATATTCAATATACAGTGATTCAAAAAATAAATGCTATTTATAGATGTATATTGTCTACGCCAAATATTTTCATTCAATATTTTATATTTTCTAAAGTGTATAAGTTTAGGTAGATGTTATTATAGTCCATGACCTCTGGCATCTAGACTTGGTATTGCATTTGATAAAAATTAGCCAAAAATGTAATCGTTGGAATTGATTGTAGTTTCTGATAAAATAATCCTTTATCAGCTTGAATCATAGTTTAAAGAACATCAGAACAACCAACTAGAATTTACAAATGTTATTAATGTTCTGGGTGTTCTTATAAAACAAGAAGAGACATTTCAAATTTAGTACTTTCACCCTAAAATAGACTCTTTAAGTTGTACTTAAAATATGAAGTATAGATTGATATGTGAAAACATCTGATTAAATGCTTGCTGATTCAGGGGTGGTGAAGGCAAAATAAAAAGTCAGCAGAAAGTAGCAATGATGACTACCTACAAAGACAAACTCAAGTGGTTTTGCATTACAGCCCCACACCAACTTTTTTCTGACTGTGCTTCTTTACAGGATATAGGTTCAGAGTCATTACTTTGCTGAGTGGAGGGGATCAATATTGTGGTAGTAACTGCCACATAAAAGATCAAGGAATCTAAGCTGGGTGCTGGCTCATGCCTGTAATCCCAGCACTTTGGGAGGCTGAGACAAGAGGATCCCTTGAGCTCGGGAGGTATAGACTTCAGTGAGCGATGATCTCACCACTGTACCTCAGCCTGGGTGACAGAGCAAGACTCTGTTGCTAAAAAACAAACAAACAAACAAAAACCCATACAAACAAACAAATAAAACAGCAAAACGCTAGGCAAGGTGGCTTACACCTATAATCCCAGCAAACTGGGAGACCGAGGTGGGTGGATCACCTGAGGTCAGGCATTCAAGACCACCCTGGCCAACATGGTAAAACCCCATCTCAACTAAAAAATACAAAAAAAATAGCCAGGTGTGGGGGCGCATGCCTGTAGTCCCAGCTACTCGGGAGGCTGAGGCAGAAGAATCGCTTGAATCTGGGAGGCAGTGGTTGCAGTGAGCTGAGACCATGCCATTGCACTCCAGCCTTGGCAACAAGAGTGAAACTCTGTCTCAAAAAAAAAAAAAAAAAAAGTTCAGGGATTCCAAATTCACACAGTGCTATGTTCTCATTTCGCCTATACCACCACAGAAAGCTGGGTGTAGAACATTGTGGTCATAAAAACATGATGAAAACTCTATAAACTTTGCAGTGAAATCTATGTACTTATCAACAGATAATTCAGTTGGCATCATTTGCATATCTGAACATCTCAAAGCTCCCAAGGAATCTAATTTATAAGAAAGATAACTCATGAGACATTCGCAATTAATAGAAATTGAGTATTCTTCATATGATGTTAACAAGCTGTTAATAGGAGTCACATTTTAATTCAGACTTTGATGTGTGCTTTGGTAGTCTATTGCTGCATAAAACTTACTGCAAAACTTAATGATTTAAAATACAAACAATTATTCACTCTAGAGATTGTAATTTGGCCATTTCAGTTTTTCAAACAATGGAAATTGTAAATTGGGCAGGATTAGGTGTGGTCAGTTTGTCTCTATTCTATATGGTGTCACCTGGAGTGGTGCAAATAAGGCTGACAGATCCATGTCTAAGCTCACTTACTCAGTGGCAAACAAATTGTTGATGGCTGCCAGCTGGTAGCTCAGTTGGCGCTGCTGTCTACAGGCCTTGATTCTTCTTCCTATGGACTTTTCCACGAGGTTGCTTGGGCTTCCTCACAGCACAGGGGCTGGGTTCCAAGAGGAAGAAAGCAGAAACTGCTAGTTTTGTTAAAGTCTAGGCCCCAAACTGGCACAATAGAATTTCCACTGAATTTAACGGTCAAAGTAGTCCTAGGCCAGCTCATATGCAAGAGGGTGAAGGAAGGAATAAACTCCACTTGAAAGGAGAGTTGCATGCCTGTATAAAAAAGCAATAAATTAATAGTGGCCATCTTTGCATGTAAATCCCCACAGTGTAAACAGAGGATACTAGATGTGAAAGTAGGAATGAGTAATATTAGAAATTTGATCTTTGGTCAATATAGTCTTCAGTATTCATTTCAGAAAAGTGTACAAACTCCTTCTTTGTTGAATAATCAATTTCTTCATCATAAATGTCAGTTACTAGTGATTATTTGAGATAAATAGAAGGCTGAAGCCCATCACAAAAATCTATCAGTTACAGAGAAAACAACTAGTTTGAAGAGGGGGAACTTGAAACCATAGTATGACTCTCCACTAATACCTTCTGATATGATAGTGTGCAGGAATGCCTAAGAATCTGACTAGCTTTTTGGATTTTCATATTTCTCAATATAACCATAACTAATATTAGGTACATTTTTTGCTACAGATTGAAAAAGAATCTTTAGAAATCAAGATATGAAATAGCAATATATGAAACACAAAATAGCTGAGTTTGCAGGATTTTTAACTCAGAATAGAAGAATAAATGCTTGCATGCACAAAAGTAATCAGGTTTTTGCCAAACTCTTTTACAGAATTTTATCTGAGAGGATGGTTTCTCTCTAGGCAAATCTAAAATGAACATTTTCTGGTGAGGCTCCTGGTCTCAGTGTCAACTTGGGTATTTCAAGCTTGATATAATGTGGTGAGTGAACTTGAGAGGGTTATCTCTGGGTGTCTCAACCTCAGCACTATTAGAATTTTGGGCAGAGAAATTCTTTGTTGTAGGGGGCTGTCCTGTGCGTTGTGGGATGCTTAGCAGCATCCCCGGCCTCTACCCACTAAATGTCAATAGATTTAGTGGGCAACGAAAACATCTCCAGACATTGTCAAGTGTCCCCTGAGGGTAGAATTGTTTCTGGTTAAGAACCACTGGGTTTTAATAAATTTATAACTAAAAAAAGTATTTTTCTCTGAGGCAAGTTTTTTTTTGTCGCAATAGTGTTCCTCGGTCCTTTCATAGTTGAAGGCATCTTCATGAGATATATTTGCTTTCATTTAAATAGAAAAAGATTCTTTCAACTTAAAATTTAAGTTGTTATCTCAGGAAGTAGAAATGGATATGTTAGCTTGTTTTAATGCATTTCCCCTCCAAGACTACTTGTGGATAACCCCAATAAGTGATGTTTTGATTCAAAAATTTTAAGAAAGAACTTCATAAAATAGGAAACATAAGGCAAGAATTTATGGACCATACTGTTGTAAAGAGCCTTCACTATCAGCTGTCATCAGACACATACAACAATAGCACTAAAAGGAGTTTAGATAGCATGTTGTCCAAACCACTTATTTACAAATGAAGAAATTGGGACTTTAGAGACATTGTTTGACTTGGTTACATCTTCAGAGTTAATCACAGGCAGAAGCAAAATTAGAAACCAAAGCTCCCAATTTTCAGCTCAGTTCTCTTCTTACTACCCCGCTTTTCAAGGGAGCCCTCTCTTGTTATCTTCATGACATGGTATTTTTACATAAACATGTGCTGCTGTATTTTTAGATAGAAGCATATAACACTGTGGGTGTAAGATTGAGAAATTAGAGGAAGGAATGAGATTGCAAGGAATGCTTATTTTAAGGAAATTCCATGTCTGTGGAGACTGTTATATTGAGGCTTAATAGTAGTAATGAACACTTGTGTGTATGTATATACATGTGTCTATATTTGTATGTATGTGTGTGTATATATATATATGCTATATCTACTTACAAAACTATCTCTTCCTCTGTTCTCCTATCCCAGTAACTGCTTTGACACCAGCAGCATAGTGGAGGTATGATTTACCACCTATTTAAGACACAGTCAAATCTAGTTCCAAAGTTATTTGCTAGCATAACATTTACACCATAACTTGAATATAGTTTGATGGTTTTCCCAGATAAATTAAGCCTTAGGAGTGAGATGAAAGGAGGGCCAAACAGCAACCTGTCTTGCAGTGATGAGGAGAAGTGTCCAGAGAAAGGCTCCCTTGGGAAGTCTACAAGCCAGCACTTTCTTCTCCAAAGTTCTGCTGTCTCTACTTTCTAGATTCCTCCCAAACCTTTCTGTCACTGTGCTGCCCTTTTGCTATCCCTGATGCTAGAAAACTTTATTCTTTGAGTTCATTCAATCCATTTTGTATTTACTCTTTAAAATTTAGAATACGTCTTTTTTAACTTTTAAAAATATTTAAATAACAAATAAAAATGTGTATTTTCAAAGTGTACAATATGATTTGATGTATGTGCACATTGTATAATGATTACCATAACAAAATGAAGTTACACATCCATCACCATCCACAGTCACCAGTGTGCATGTGTGTGTGTATGTTGAGGACATTTAATATATGCTTTCCTATCAAATTTCAAGTAGATAGTATATTATTATAAACTATAGTCACCATACTGTACATTAGATCTTCAGAACTCAAAACTAAAACTTTGTACGCTCTGCCCAACATCTCCCCATTTACCTTACACTCTAGCCCCTGGCAAACTCCATTCTACTTTCTTGTGTGCGTTTGACCTTTTTAGATCCCACACATAAGTGAGATCATACAGGATTTGTTTTTCTGTGTCTGATGTATTTCACTAAGCATATGTCTTCCATGTTCATTTATGTTGTTCTAAATGGCAGATTTTTCTTCTTTTCTTTAGCTGAATAAGATATCGTTGTCTGTGTGTATATGAACACACACACACACACACACACACACACACACACATCAAGGACCTTGATCAGTACAGGTTTGAACAGCATGGGTACTTAGATGTGGATTTTCTATCCAATATAGGTTTGAACAGCATGGGTACAGTTATATGTGGATTTTCTTCTGGCTCTGCCATCCGTGAAACAGCAAGACCAACCCCTCTCTTCCTCATCCTCCTCAGCCCACCCCGCTTGAAGACATTGACATTGAAGAATTTTATGATGATCCACTTTCACTGGGTGAATAGCAAATATATTTTTTCTTCCTTGTGGTTATCTTAATAATATTTTCTTTGCTCTAGCTTACTTTATTGTAAAAATCCAGTACATTTTATATATATATATATATATAAAACATATAAAATATGTTTTAATTGACTGCCTATGTTATCAGTAAGTCAACAGTAGTCTTTTAGTCTTTAAGTTTTTAGCCAGCCAGAAGTTATACATGGATTTTTGGACTACACAGGAGGTTGGTGTCCCAAACCCTGCATTGTTCAGGAATCAACTGTATATATTCTATATTTTCTTTATCCACTCATCTTTCACTGAACAATTAGGTTGTTTCCATATTTTAGATATTGTGCATAATGCTGCAATGAACATGGAGTGTAGAGATTTTATTTTTATTTTTAAACATTTAATTTAATTTTAATTTAATTTTATTTTTAAAAGAGATGGAGTATTGTTCCATTACCCAGGTGTGATCCTGGTTCACTGCAGCCTTGATCTTCTGGGCTCAAGCAATTCTCCCACCTCAGCCTTCTGAGTAGCTGGTACTATAGGTGCGTACCACGACATCCAGCTAATTTTTTGTTTTGTTTGTTTTTTGTAAAGATGGTGTCTGGCTACGTTGCCTGGCTGGTCTCAAACTCCTGGCCTCAAGCAATCTTCCTGCCTCAGCCTCCCAAAGTGCTGGGATTACAGGAATGAGCCATCATGCATAGCTCAGATTTTTTTGCATGTATGTGTGTGATACTGATTTCATTTTCTTTGGATATAAACCCAAATGTGTGATTGCTGGATAGTATAATCTTTTTTTTAATTTTTGATTTTTTGAGGAAACCTTCACATTGTTTTTCATAATGACTATACCAATTTACATTTTGACCAAAAGTGGATAAAGGATTCCTCACATCCTTGCCAGCACTTGTCATCTCTTGTCTTTTTGGTAATAGATCTCCTAACCAGTGTGAGGTGATAGCCTATGGTGGTTTTGATTTGCTCTTCCCTGATGATTAGTAATGTTGAGCACCTTTTCACATATCTGTTGGACATTTGTATGCCTTTTTGAAAAAAAAAATATTTGCAGGTCCTTTGCTCATTTTCTAATCAGATTATTTGTTTTTTGCTGAGTTGTGTGAGTTTCTTACATATCTTGGATATTTACCCCTTATCAGATATATGGTTTACAAATATTTTCTACCATTCCATGTTTTATCTTAATTTTGTTTGTTTGCTGTGAAGAAGCTTTGTAGTTTGATGTAGTCAAACTGCCCTGTTTTCTACTACTTCCTTCCTTCTGCTAACATTGGGCTTACTTTGTTCTTCTTTTTCTAGTTCCTTGGAGTGTGAAGTTAAGTTGTTTATTTGAGATTTTTTTTCTCTTAATGTAGGCATTTATCATTATAAACTTCCCTCTTAGAACTACTTCTTTTTGCATATTGTATGTTGTTGTATGTTGTATTTCTATTTTCATTTGCCTCAAGATACTTTTTGATTTTCATTCATATTTATTCTTTGATCAATTGGTTTCTCAAGATCTGTTCAGTTTGCATGTATTTGTAAATTTTCCAAAATCTATCCTGTTATTAATTTCTAGTTTTATACCATTGTGGTCTGAAAATCTACTTGAGATTATTTCAGTCATCTTAAATTTATGGAGACTTGTTTGTGGCCTAGCATGTGACTTATCCTGGAGGCTGTTTTGTGTACACTTGAGAAAAAGAAAAGCACTATATTTTGCTTCGTTGGAGGGAATTTCTGTATATATATGTTAGTTCCATTTGTTCTATAGTATTATTCAAATCTGCTCTTTCATTATTTATTTCTATCTGCATGATCTATCCATTGTTGAAAGTGGGGTATTAAATTCCCCTACTATTATTATATTACCATCTATTTTTTCTGAATTTTATTATTATTTGCTTTCTATATTTAGGTGTTCCAATGTTGGACATATATTCTTTTAATCAACTAACCCCTTTATCAATATATAGTGACCTTTCTGGCTTTTGTGATACATCTTGATTGAAAGTCTATTTTGTCTGAAATAACTATAGCTATTTCTGCTCTTGCTTGATTAGTATTTTCATGTAATATCTTTCATCAGTCCTTCACCATCAGCCTATATATGTCCTTAAGGCTAAATTGTGTCTCAGGTAGGCAGCATATGGTTGGATCTTGTTTTTATTTATCTATGCAGCCACTCTGTGCCTTTTGATTGAAGAATTTAATTCATTTACACTTAAAGTAATTAATGATAGGCAAGAAGTTACTACTGCCATTTTGTTATTTATTTTCTAATTGATTTTTAGTTCCTTTGTTCGTTTCGTATTCTCTTGGTGCCTTCCTTTGTGAATGTTTTTTGAAGTAGTATGCATTGATTCATTTCTCTTTCTCTTTTTCTTTTTGTTAAATAGACTTTCGAAATGTTGGGAAAAACATTTTTAGAGAGTAATGTAATAGACATTTAATATGGTCTTACATATAAGGAAGAAATGGAAACAATTAATACTCCAATATAGTGGAAATATGGTACATCCAACTATGTGGAGTGTATGGGACACTCTACAGCCATGAAAAAAAAAGTCTTCAAAGATGTAATTGGTTGAAAAAAATGCTAATTAAAAATGGCATGTACTGATTCCTGTGCATGAGGAAGGGGTTGCAAAGATTATTTTCTATCCTTATAAAAAGAAGTTTTCACATGGGAGAAGGACATTACTAGGTCATTGGCCATTGTGCTAGAGGGTGGAGTTTTTATTATGGAGAAAGAAAAAGACAATAATTCTGACATTTACAAAGAAAGCATCCTTTAAATTTCTTTGCTCTTGGAATTCTTGTTTCTCTAAATTTTGTCTTTTAAAAGTACATGAGTATAGGAGTTAGGAGCTAGGAAACAACGAAGTCTATTAGTCTAATCCTAAATTAGAGGGACTGACATAGTCCCTTGACGCCTATCAGATATGGTGAAATTCACTGGAGATGGGGTTATACAAAGAGGCTTAAAGTTAAAGCCTAACTGTAATAACAAGAGCAGATGCTCAATGTTTTGAGAATTTATGGTCCCTGCTGTCTCTCAATCTCATGCATGATATATTTTATATAAAAAATTAGTCTACCAAACAGCGTGCATGATACTAATAAAATATATCAAAAATGCAATGGATATAATTCAAAGCATTTATAGTGGTAATTTCTGATAGGAGAAAATATAAATAGCTTCTATTTATTTCCTGCATTTTCTATAAGGATTTATTTTTTTATCAGAACAATGACATATATGCAGACTAATACACACAAACATACATGCCCACAGAATAAAAAATAAGTGAGGGTGGAGTCTACTTCAAATTATGTGGGTATAAGTTTAGAGGTAAAATCAAAAGCCTTAGCTCAAATATGTTAACTGCTTATCCAAAAAAATAGCATGCTTTGATTCTGCTTGAATATTAGTTTAGAACAGTGTTCATGTGGTTGTATAATTTTATATAGAGTGTCCATTTCTTTAGAATTTCTGTACAAAGCAAGACTTATTGTTTAGGGTCTGTCCAACATTACACCCTTATTTAAAAAGGTTGCTTGGTTCCTGCTCAAGGATGAGATAAGCAGCTCGCTGAACAAAGATAAAGATCTGTTTGCTTGGCTCAGCTCTCTCAGGGCCAGTGATATAGGAACTGGGAGCCAAAATGTCAGGAGAGCCAGGATTTCTCCTAGTTTCACACCTTGGTGAAGCCAAATGGGTTATTTTCAGTCTGATTTGGAGGGGCACAGTCACAGGAAGCAATAGACACATACAATGAAAGCAGATTAGGCTGGCTTATTGTGGGTGACAGAAAATCGTCTCTGTATCACCTCCTTCAGGGCCCGGAGGCATTTGTAGCCAGATCCTTAGTGTGTATGGCTTTCCATATCTAAATTTCTATCCAGTAATTCCATCCTTTCTCTCTTTACGGAGGGGTCTCGGTTGAGCTACTGTCATAATTCTGCACAAAATCCTAACCCTTTAGTCTCCAGATGAAAAGCTGAAAATTGAGACAAAGAACAGAAGGAGGGAAATCGAACCTCTTCATGGCTTAACCCTGAAAAATTGTAGTCTATTTCCAGAAATCTTCTAGTACCACACACTGTTCTGGGTGTTCAGCAACTATTCTTTTGGGTCCTCAGAAATTCTGGGGATTCCAAATCATCTCTAGATCCACAGTGTTTCGGAGATACCTGGGGAAGCCTGGAGTGCTACGGGCATTGCTCTAAACACTCATATCCCACGCCAACCTCACCAGGAACCTCTGAGGCATCACTAACCTGGAGATGGTCTTATTATCTCAGGACCGAGGCTGATGTCATGTTAAAAGTCAGCCCAGGAAGTACAGTTTGTCATCCCATGAGATCTTTAATTTAGTGATCATCCATGAATGATTGTGGTGACCTGAATTCTGGAGATGTATATGTGGAAAGCACAATATGGCAGGCAGAATTCTGAGACGGGCCTGGACCCAAGATTCCTGACTTCTAGTATACATGCCTTGTATAATTGTCTTCCATTAAATATGGGTAGAATCTGTGAATATGATGGAATATCACTCCTACGATGACATTACAAATCAGTTGACTTATCTGATTTGGACTGACCTAATAAAGTTAGCCCTTAAAAGGTCATGGTCCCTTCCTGGAGAAAGATTTGAGTGTAAGAATACAGAGGGCCAAAGCGGGGGGCAGAGGATGGTGGTATGTGGCAAGAAACAAGGAGTAGCCTCTAGTATCTTAGAGAGTCCCCTGTCCAAACAGCAAAACAACAAGGACTTCAATTCAAGAGTTCCAAGAAACTGTGCACCTTGCAACCAACCAGAGTGAGCATGGAAGAGGGCCCCAGGCATTAAGAGGACACCCCAGACCTAGCTGACTCCTTGATTCAAACTGGTGAGCTGCAGATAGCCCACATCCAGACTCCTGACCCATGGAAACAGTGAGATAAATATGTATTGTTTTAAGCTGCTACTTTTGTGATAGTTTGCTATAGAGTAATAGAAAACTAACACACACCTCATAATTCATTTAATTTATGACCCCAAAACTATACTAACAATGTCCACAAAAATGATTATGCAGCTTCTCCTTATATACTGCTATGGTATCAATGTTTGTGTTCCCTCATCCTCAAATTCCTATATTGAAATTCCAATTCCCAAGGCGACAGTAAGGCTTAGGTCATGAGGGCAGAACCCTCATGAATGGGATTAGTGCCATCCTAAAAGATCCCAGAGAGCTGCCCTTCCCCTTCCACATGTGAGGGCACAGCTGGAAGACATAACTGATGAACCAGAAAGCAGGCCTTTACCAGACACCAAATCTGCTAGCACCTTGCTCTTGGACTTCCTAGCCTCCAAAACTGTAATGAATAAATTTCTATTATTGATAAGCTACCCAGTTTCTGATATTTTTGTTATAGCAGCCTGAATAGACTAAGACAAATAGCTTCAATAACAGGGAACTCATTCTCTTTCAAAGCAACTCATTCAATTGTTGAAATTTTTAATTATCAGGCATTGTGTTTCTTTTCATTCTGAATTGAAATCTGCTCTGTAATTTTTACTTATTGATCTTAGATCTATATTATGGGTAATGTAAGATGAATTCCCAATCTTCCTCTCATATGTTAGTTTTTCAATGATCTAAAGAGAGCTATCACAATCAACCTAAATCTAATGTACTTCATTTAAAAATCCAAGCTCCTGACTGATGCTTCCTCATTTGATGCTTTTTATAGCTATTTCACCAGCTTGTGCATTTGAGTTTGTCAGACACTCTTAAAACATGGACCTAAAACACTGCCCAAGGTATGGTCTTATAAGTACAGACACTGTGCTTTCATCACCTCTCTTTTCTGAGTGTGTAGCAGCTAATGATTGTCAGTATTTGTCTTAGGGTAGCTGCCCTGGAAAACAGACCTCAACACATAGTTTCACTTGCAAATAATTCAGTGGGGAGTACTCCCAGGGAGAACATCAGTGAGGTCCTGAGGAAAGCAGAGTGAGGCCAAGGAGGCGTTGAAGTGTAATGCAGGCACAACAGAGCCTCAACCTGTTACACAGGCAGCTCTGGAGCTCTGATGGCCTTCAAGATTGTCCCAAATTGAAGTATGGGGATTGGACCTTTATATCTCACATCAACTAAAAATCATTGATGAAACTGCTCCCAGAGAGGAGATATAAACTTGCATGACGTTGACAGCTTTTTCTGAGGTCAATTTTTAATCTTTGAGCCCTTGGCTGGCAATACCCCTGGCAGCAGGGGAAGGAGCATCTCAGGGGATCTTGGTGGCACCTGATAGCAGTCTGTAAAGTCCATTTATTATGCTCCTAAGATCCATTGCTTCATATAAAACTTCTCTCCCATTAGAGAAAAAGCTTGTCCAGGGTTCTGGTTGGTTTTCCTTCCTGCAGAAATAAAAAGAAGTTTAGTGGCATGAACCACAGCCTCTTGCCACTAAAGTTCATCTCAGAGGTGCAATGCATTCTCTTTTCTTTCTCTTGTATTACTCAATTTAGATTCTCCCCACCCTCAGTTAGCCCCCCTTTTGGTCTAGGTGAATTATTTGATAAGGTGACTCAAACACTCATCACTGAAGGGTTGGAGTCCCTACTCACCTTACTTCTTTCAGGCTTTGTTTGCTGCAGTTGTCTATTTATTGTTGAAAATATGCAGAAGAGTAGCAAGATATGCCCCAATGAATCACCTGAATTCCCAGGTGTTCTTTCTTACCTTCACTTTGAAAGAACAAACCTACCTTTTCCTTATAATTGGGGTAAATTATGCCTGAAAGGATGTTAATTCTTCCTTGCTTATTTGTCTCTTGGCACCAAGAACCTGAGGCAATAGAGTGGCAGACATAGCTTAAAGTTTAACATGATTCCTTCTGCATCCACTGGTAAAAGTATTTCCTCTTAGGAACCAGTACTTCTATAGACATGAAGCCTAGAATTGTGAAAAAAAAAAAAAAAATTCTCCAAGTAGGTCACTGGGAATAAAAGTAAGCAGGACCACTGCTTTTATCTCTTTGTTTCACATTCGAGGACATAGCGCCTTCCAGTGGTCGTTCATTTAGAGCATATACTCTGTTCTGGTGGGTGAGTAGCGGAGCACCATAAGCAAGATTGAACCTCAGCTGTGCCTTCTAAAGGCCATTTGATTTCTCTGTCATGTTGCTGGTTTCCAAGGGCTGTTATATGTGATAGGATTAGTGGCTTCTATAGCCATATGCCCATTGCCACATATCTATTTCTATAAAGCAGTATCCTTAGGTAGATGCATGTTGTAAAACATCCTTCTTCAGTGAATTAAAACTCTGTAAATCCTCTGATAAGCTAAACAGATAAGACTCTCTGGGAATACATACCAAGAATATATGTCAATTTTGCTCAAGATAAAATGCTGACCCTTTCAACAATTCCACCAGAATGAAAAAGCTTCAATATAATAAACCTGCCAATATTAAGGGCTAGTTAGGCTCCTCATGGAATGGTACCCTATCAGTGACTCAGCACTGGTCTTTTTTTCTGGCAGGTTGGACATTTGGCAGTGGCAAAAACTAGAATGGCTTTTGTGAGTAGAGTCCTATGCATAGCCTCCACTCCTGCCACCAAAATGACTGCATGAATGTTAATTGCAGATTGAAATTGATTGATTAAGCAGGTTAAAATCAACTGGCTAAGCCACCATGTCAAATTGGTTGGTGGGTCTCTTTCATAGTAGATAAATTCTGGTGGCCATTAATATGCGATCTGAAGATCTTCACCATTTTGCATGTTTCTGTTGCTGTATTCACATGCTTCTTTTGAGATTTCCTTGTCACAATCTTTTAATCTTCTGTTTCTCCATCCAGCCCCCAGATTAACAAACTAAGCTACTCTTCACTTTCAGTGCATTTTTATATATTATTATACCAGGCTACTTCTCTACCTACAGAATGTAAATGACCAAGTTCACTACTTGAAGTTTTGTCTGTTGAAATTTCCTCTTACTATTGGCTTTCAACACCATATCTGAGTAGGACTATAGTGTAGCTGCAATTCACTTCTGACTTATATCAATGTATTCAACCAACTCATCCATGAACAAGTCTTACATAGCTTTTTCCCCTCCATTTGGTTCCTTTGGCAGAGGATTGAGTGAACTGTAGTCATTGGTATATGATATTGCATAGTCCTTACTGCAGACTGGTCCTCTTCTTTAGAAAATGAATTCTGGGCCCCAGAATGGGCTAACTTCAAGAATCTGAGCAAGGGATCATGACTTTTCATTGAGGTGACTGCCTTCAACTTTCTAATCTTCCACTTTTCTTTTCTTTTGAATATACAAATTAAATAATACTTGTTGAATACCATATATTTTGCTCCTAGCAACTCCATGTTCCATACCTTTCTATGGGTCAAGTTATGCTGGTTCCCGCTCTGAGTATGCCACTAATTTAGATAATTGTGTCTAACTTGCTTCTACTGGATAAATATCATCTGACCTCTATTACTTAGAGGATTTTTTTAAGTTCCCATTGCTCTCAAGGAGTAACAGCTTTTGTTACAGTCAGCCCTGACCTAAAGAAGAAAGGCATGACTGAGCTGCTAAATATTCCCATTCCTTATTGTTTTTAATAAACAGGATGAATATACTTTGAGATCTATTTTTAAGTATAGGCAAAATTACTTGCTGATTAATTAGATGTGGGAAATAGGATAAAGAGAGGCAAAATGGATGACTCCTAAATTTTAGGCTCAGGCACGTGGAAAGCTGCAAGAAGAGCAGGCTGGATAGAAGGAGCTAGTGGAGGAGCATAGAAACTTGTATATATAACATTTATTTTTTGACTTGAAGATAGAACTTTGCACATAACCTACTACATTTCATCATTTTATTTTTGTTCTGCCTGGTTGGGCTGGCATATTAGGAAAGTAGTCATCTGCCTTTAATTAAAACTTATATACCAAAGCCTGAGTCAGAATCAAACCAATGTCTGGTATGGTAAAACATGCGATAAAGGAGCAAGTTGTTTGCCTGGCACTCTTCCAGTTCTTCCCATTTCTTAACATTCCATAAGGCTCTGCTTCTTGGGCTGCTGGAAGCAACTGTTTCAGGGGGAGTCATTTTGAGAAGAAGGCAGAGGAAGAAGTGCCACCGTTGACATTGTAAATCATGGATTTTCAAGGAAATTAGATAAGACACAACCGTGAGGAGCACACTCAACTGGAAATGGCTCTAATATTATTCAGGGGCTACAAAATCTGACCTTCTTGGCTTAACTCATTAATGGGGCAGATGATTCTCCTTACTGCACTGCTAAGCTTTCCTGAAAGAATTAACCATCAAATTCACATACTAGCTTGTCAGCAAGCTTTCCTCATACTCTGACTGTGGGGGAGACTGAGCCAGATGCCTCATTAAGAGTCTGGCTTTAAGACAGAGCAGATTATGTTGGAGAACCAGAAATGGTTACACCATTTTACAAATGGAATAATGAGGGGGTGAGGGGAAGTTTTTGTTGTTCTTGTCGTTAAATTCATATTGAAAAATGTCAGCAAGCCTGGAAAAGAGGGAGGGGTGCTTGCCAATTTGGGGAACAATTAAAGGGAAATCTGCCCTGTGACAGAAAGATATCGCAAAAAGATTGACTCTGGCAGCACCTGTACCCATTGGCATGCTGATAAAATTATTGCAATCGGATTGAAAATAGATCCTACAGGTGGAGGTGGTTTTTAATGGTCCAGCTCTCCACCTCTAAAAATGTTCATTTGAGCCCACTTATAAAACATTACACAGGAAAGACCCTTTGCTGAAACCCTTTGCAGCCTCCATCAACCGTCCCTCAAACAAATGTTGACAACTCCCTCAAATTACCAGCTTCCATTCAAAATATACCAATTAAAAATATATTTTTTTATTTATATTCATTTATTATTTTTGCATGCAAAGCTCTCTTTTAGGGGGCTGGAGATTTGGATCTCAGACTCTCTGACAACTGAGTCTTTTCACACTTGGCAGTTTCTTACATTATATGATGATACTTTTAATTCAGAAAAATTTTAAATGGAAATTATCCAAAGCAGTCAAACTCACATGTTTAAGTAGCCTGACATGGTTAGTATAAAAGAGCCATTCTCAGAGGACAAAGATCTAAATTAATTCATACATTGGGAAGAAGAACTACAGATAGCAGCTAAATATTAGGAGTTGGGCAGTTAAAATTGGAAGAAAGCTTTTCTCATTTCATGCAGTGCTATTTACTTTACATGTATTTTACAAGTCCTGTATTAAATAATTATAGAGCAACTGAGAAGCAGTCAGGTCAAGAAATATATTATTAAAAAGGGTTTATACCTTTGAAGGTGTGGTAGGGAGATGAATCATTCCCCAAAGATGTCCACATCCCAGTCTCCCTAATCTGAATATGATACCTTACATGGCAAAAGGGACACTGCTGATGTGGGTAAGGCAATGGACCTGGAGATGGGGAGATTATCCTGGATTGTGTGGGTGGGCCCAATCTAATCACCCGAGTCCTTAAAAATCAGAAACCTTTCTGGTTAGGTCAAAGAGAGTTGTGACAGTAGAAGGGTCAGAGAGATGTGATGTTACTGGTTTAGAAGATGGAAGAGGTAGGACATGAGCTAATAAATGCAGGTGGCTTCTAGAACCTGGAAAAGGGAAGGAAATGAATTGTCTTTTAGAGCTTCCACAAAGAAACACAGCCTTGCAGTCAGCCAGTGTATATGTGTGTATGTATATATACACACACACAAATACACATACACGCAGAATAATTGGGATTTAATGTGTTTATGTAACAGCAACAACAAAACTTATTTAAAATTCCTACTCTGCTCCAAGAATGGTGGATTCCATTGATTGTAAAGCCTTTTTTTCCCTGGGCTCCTTAATAAACCCATCAAGGAATACATTTATACACAATCTTATATAGCTACCAAGCCAGAAACTTGGCAGTCATCCTAAACATCTCTC
The DNA here is from genome assembly GCF_000001405.40 of Homo sapiens. Classification (NCBI taxonomy): domain Eukaryota; kingdom Metazoa; phylum Chordata; class Mammalia; order Primates; family Hominidae; genus Homo; species Homo sapiens. Next base: position 110,337,499 of record NC_000005.10, read on the forward strand.
TCTCCCTCATTCTTACCTCTAATTCATCATCAACCTCTGCCAGTGTTGCCTTAAATATTGTGCTCGACCATTTCTTGCCATTTCTAGTACCACCCCCACATTTGCTTAACCACCATTATAGTCTACCAGGACTATAATTAGCTTCCTGTGCTGTCTGATTTTGCTCCCACAAAGTAGATCTCCACATGTATCACACATGCATTGAGAGTTATCTTTTCAAAATGCATATCAGATATAATCCTAAGTAAAATATTTCAATGATTTTTGTATTGCTTTTAGGATCAGGCTAAAATATCCTGAATTTCTCCAAAAATGATCTGCATCATGTGACGTTTTCCTATTTCTCTCTGCGTGTGTGTGTGTGTGTGTGTGTGTGTGTGTGTGTGTGTGTGTGAATGAATATTTCGACTAAAATTTGAAGTGTTGACATTTTGGTCTGGATCACTATATACAGCAAGGAGACAATGCAAGAAAACTTTCCCATGAATTAATTTAGTCAGAGATGCCCCTGATAAAAATGCTTCGTATTTCTCCTTTTTAACTAAATTTTATATGGTATGCATTTTTCTGTTTCATTAGAAGTTTTTCACATGCAGTAAAGGAGAGTAAGAGAGACATTGGAGGTTGGCATGATTCAAGTGAGCCCCCATATGAGATGGTAAATAACAATGGAATCTATAGATCTTATTGTCACTGCCCAATGGGTTTACCTTGCCCGCTGCCTAGACAGAGCCGATTTACCAAGACAGGGGAATTGCAATTGTGAAAGAGTAATTCATTGCAGAACAGGCAGTGCGGGAGACCGGAGTTTTTGAGGGTCTCAAATCAGTCTCCTGGGGCATTTGAGGGTCAGAGTTTTAATGATAATTTGTCTGGGGCTTGGGAAGTAGGGACTGCTGATTGATTGGGTTGGAGATGAAATCATAGGGGGTCGAAGTGAGTTCTTCTTGCTGACTTCCGTTCCTGGATGGGATCGCAGGACTGGTTGAGCCAGATCGTAGGTCTGGATGGTGTCATCTGCTGCATCGGAATGCAGGGTCTGCAAAATATCTCAAGCACTGATCTTAGGTTTTGCAACAGTGATGTTATTCCCAGGAGCAATTTGGGGAAGTTGAAACTCTTGCAGCCAGAGGCTTCATGGCCTCCAAACAGTAATTTCTAATCTTGTAGCTAATTTGCCAGTCCTACAAAGGCAGGTTGGTCCACATTCAAGAAGGGTTTTTTGTTTTGTTTTGTTTTTGGGAAAGGGCTATTTATCAATTTTGTTTCAGAGTTTAAACTATAAATTAAATTCCTTCCTAAGGCTAGTTTGGCCTACACCCATGAATGAACAAAGACAGCTTAGAGGTTAGAAACAAGATCGGGTTGGTTAGGTCTGATCTCTTTCACTGTCATCATTTCCTCAGTTCTGATTTTCGCAAAGGTGATTTCATTGTCAAAACAAACCCTAGGATTCTGCAGCTGCTGTAGTTGCTGGTGTCTATGAAAACCATTTCACTAATTAATCTCATGAAAGTTTTCCTCTTCCTGCCAAAACAAAATGAAGAAAAATAAGCTGCCATTTATTAAAAGCTTGAGTTGTGCCAAGCACTGTGACATTTGAAGACTATCTGAAGTACGTAAGAAAAGATAGTAACTCTAACCTCTGTCATTCTGCAAAAGATGAAGCTAGGTCTGCATTTGTCATTCCTCTTAAGAGGTATAAACCAAAAAAGTATCTGAGACAGGTCTCAATAAATTTAGAAGTTTATTGTGCCATGGTTAAGGACCATGACCCATGACACAGCCTCAGGAGGTTCTGAGAAAATGTGCCCAAGGTGGTTGGGCTACAGCTTGGTTTTATACATTTTCGGGAGATAGAAGGTACAGGCAAAGATGTAAATCAATACATGTAAGGTATACACTGAAAGAAAGGAGCAGTCTGGAAAGAAACAATGTCTCAAAGCTGGGTTGGCAGTTGGGGGCGGCCTTCCAGGTCATAGGTGGATTTAAAGATCTCCTGATTGGCAATTGGTTGAAGAGTTAAGTTCTGCCTGAAGAGTTGAAATTAGCTTGAGTTAAGGTAAGGTTGGAAGGAGGTGCTGTGAAAGCCAAGGTTCTTATCATGTAGATGAAGCCTCCAGGTAGCCAGCTTCAGAGAGAATACATGTTTAAGATTCTCTGGAGAGACCTAGTAAGGGAAGGTGATTCTCTACAGAATGCAAATTTCCCCTATAAGAGATAGTTTTCAGGGACATTTCAAAATACGTCAAATAATATATTTTGGGGGTAAAATACTTTGATTTCCTTTTAGGGCCTGTTATCTGTCCTGTGTTGCTGTACCCAAATCAGGTTGAAGTTGGTAACTTATTGCTACAAAGAGTCTGTTCTGTCTGTCTTGGGATTTCTATTTTACTGTTAATGCTGGTCAGTTGTGTTACCTGAACTCCAAAAAGAGGAGGGTATAATGAGGCATATGTGGCCCCTGCTCCCTTCCTGTGGTGATGACCTGAACTTGTTTTTTTTCGGTTTGTTTGGGTCCCCTTGGCCAAGCAGGGGGTTCATTCTGTCAGTTGGGGGGAGTTAGAATTTTGTTTTTGGTTTGTAGAGGCAAATTCACGGAAAAGCCAAGGGGCTAGGGAAGATTACTAGGGTAAAATTCCACACTCCAAGAGAACTAACTGGCTGCCCTTCTTAATCAGGGACTAGAAGCAAAGGGTAAAGAACTAGAAGCAAGTAGTTGAGAGTCTTGTGGCGATGGTCTTGCAGTCCCTTTGTCAATGACACATTGATTTGATGAGTGTGGTCCTTATATTTTCAAATATTAATTGATTTATTCCATCTTGTTTCAGAAAGGTTTTATGGTAGTCTGTAAGCTATGTACATTACAAGATAACATTTATTGAATGCAGGTAAAAAATTAAAAAGAACAAGTTGGGAGGTCATAAAATGAAATGAGGAATAAAGTAGAGAAAAATGATTCCCTAGGACATTTTTAGATTCTAAAGCACCAAACGCTGCCAAGAAATCAACTGTCCCTGGTGGTGATTTAGCCTCTGATAACGATAGGCTAGCAGGGTTTAGGCCAGCAGTTGGGACCTCTATTTTTGGAAGGCTCCCAGGTAGACACATTTCTGTCCTGCTTGCTCCTCAAGCATCTCGCACTATCTCTTTCAAAAAATTCAGCATACTTATGGTTGCCTACATACTGTCTGGTTTTTGTGTGTATTTAACTATGAGTTCCATAAAAATTGGTCAGGAAGTTTACTAGTATATTCTATCATTTACCACAGAGACAACAACAACAAAAAAAAAAAACCCAGAAATATAGGGGAGTGTTAAAGTGGATTTAATCAGAGCTGGGAATAATATTTCTTCTTCAAAAATGACACTTCATAGCTGTATAATATGCAATCATGTGGATGGTGCCAGGTTGTGTTTAAACAATCTCCTATTGTTGGACATCTTGTTTATTTCCAATATTGCCATGCTGAATATCCTCACAAATCTTTACTTCCATCACATTTAGACTGGATTTCTAAAGTGAAATCATTGTGTTGAAGGATATGAACTTTAGAAATGAATTACTGCCTTCTTTCCAATGAGTAACTGCCTTACAATTCTATCTGGCTGTTTACACTCTACTATTTTTTGTTATTCAGCTTCCTGCTTCATGGATATTTTTAATCTAGTGACTTTCCAGAAACTTCTGCATATTTAAGAGGCCTCTGACCCTATGCAGTGACCCTCCTGGCTTTGTATCCACCAACATGACACACTTGAGGGCGACAAAATAATGTTCCCACCCCACCACCTCCACCAAGATGTGCCTGTCCTAATCCCCAGAATCTGTGACTATGTTATGTTGCATGGGAAGGGGAAATTAAGGTTGTAGATAGAATTACGTTTGCTAATCATTTGACTCTAAAATAAGATTATCCAACATTATCCAGGACACAGTGTAATCACAAGAGTACTTATAAATAAAAAAGAAAAGCAGAAATGTTAGTGTCAGAGTCATGTGATATGAAAAAGATTTGAATGGTCATTGCTGGCTTTGAAAATAAAAGAGGGTCACGAACCAAGGAATATGGGGGCCCTCTAAAAACTGGGGGAAAAAAGCAAGGAGACAGATTCTCCCCTAGAGACTCTAAAAGGAACCAGGGGTGCCAAAACTTGATTTTATCCCAATGAGACACATGTTGGGCTTATGATCGCTAGAATGTAAGATAATAAAGTTGTGTTGTTTTAAGCCACCAAGTTAGAGGTAATTAGTAACAGCAGCCACAAGAAAGGAATATAACACTCCAGCATCCAAGTCCCCAGCTCTGTTTCACCTCACCTATACCCTCTTTATCTAGGAAAAAAACTTTTTCTATTTCAATAGCAAGTACTCAGCCAATTGTCCATGCTGCTGTACCATCTGTTTTATGGCTGTGTCCCTTAAGACATGAAATAAAAAAACAAATACAGAGGCATAGGATTGTCAGATTCAAGCTCAAAACTCTAATTTGGAATTTACATTTATTGATTTCTGACCAGAAGATCATGCTGATACTGACAGACACCAATCCTTGGCCACAGCCCCATTCCTTTGGCTCTTGTCCAGAGCTGCGCCTGCATTGATAGATGCTAATCAGTACTTATTCTCTAAAGGCGAGAACAATCTATTAGCACATTTAAAAAAAAAAAAAAAAAAAACCTGTGTTAGAAGCATGGTTCTTCTCCTTCACAGACTCCAAACTGAAAAATCCTTACACATTTTCAAATACAAGCAGCTGACTTAGGTATAACAGATGACTTCAAACAAGGTGATTGCTTAGCTAATGTTTATAGCATCCTCTCTGTCAACAAATCTCAAGGAGGGGATCAGGTCTTGTTTGAGTCTCCCTGGGAAATAGATTTTGTTTTACGGGACTCGTTGTTGCAAATCCCTGTGAACTCTAACATCACTTATGGGTAGCAATTAAAGTATAGGAATTTAACTTATGCACACAGTTCTTGCCTGTCAGCAATGCTCTTGGTTCCACTGCTCAATCAATAATGCTAATGTCTGATCCAAATTCAACTCATGTTTGATGACCACCATAGTGTAACACTGTTACAGGAACTTTCACATTATCTCATTAATTCTCACAATCACCCTCATTTTACAAAGAAGAAATTGTGATTCATACGGGTTAAACAGATTTCTCCAGTTCACATAAGCTAGCAAGGGACAGAGCCAATATTTGAACTTCTGGTCTTTTGATGTGTATTGAGTGCTCTTTTTACTGAACATGGTCCTTACCTCACAACACTTAGACTAGGGAGGCATGAAGCCAGCTCCCCTCTGCAGCCTAGCCCAGATAGCCCTGGCACTATCTAAGTCCTCTTTCTGTTAATTACCCTACTCATGGGGCTCCCATGGGGGTTAACACAGGGCAGAGACGATTGGTGTACACCACAGGGAAGAAAACACAAATCTTAGCAGCTGAGAAGCAGGAGGTATGCCAAGAGAAGGAAAGAACATGATGTTTTGCAAAGGGGAAACTGATTTTTCAAATTCAGCTGCAGAGGAGGAATTGTGCAAGTATTTTACCATCAGTAATAGAAACAGTATTTAAATAAGTGGGACTAGAATCACAGTATTACAGAACTGGAGAGGACCTTATACATCATCCAGTTCCATTCCTCACTTCAAAGATAAGAGAGCTAGGGATAGGAAATATTAAGACTTATGGTCATAATTTTACATGACAGAGGCTTGGAAATCAAACAAAGGTCTCCCACATTTTAGGACAATGTTTTTGTTTACATGATGTCATGTCTTCTAAAGAACTACTGTTGTAAATAATAAAAATACATAATTTATCTATATATCTTGCATGTATTTTAATGAAAAGATAGATATCATTTCTTCATAGTAATATATCCTATTAAAATGACTAAAGACGTAATAGAGCTCTTTGTGAATTTGCAGCCACTTATTATAAAACCCAGAGTACAATTGTAAAAAACAGACAGACTTGATTTGTCTACATGAATGGAATCCTCTGACTGTATTCTTTCTTCGAAGAAAACAATTTTGTGAAAATACAGTCTGGGTCTTATATTTAAAGACAGATATATCTTATCTTTCATTAAGGTAGAAATCACCACTGTTAATGAGGATGAAATGGCAACTGAAAGTATAAAGATTTTGTTTCCAAAGCAGCAAAATTGCCAATAACTTTCTCTCCAATCTTTATGCTTGCTATATGTAAATGTACAATGAGAAAAATAAGCCAGAATAAAGAACAGGCAATCCTAAAACAGTTTTTGAAAAAACTCAATGTGGCCATCTATCTTCTTAAGTTGACTACAAAAACTTCCACTGTGGATTCCATCATTGATCTGTATTAAGGACTCTAATGGCTTCTGAGTGGAGGCAGTAAAAATAAAACAAAAACTGTGAATAATGAAGACGAGAACTTTTCATGGTACACTATATTCTGTTAAATTTAATGTAAATGGCTACTGAATTTTTCTACAGTTCTGATTTAAATGCACATTAGAAATCTTCATCTTCTTCAGGTATACTATTTGGAGTTTGTAAAACAGAATGTTAATGGTAATTTTCGTAAAGCTGGTGGTAAAAGCTTGTCCGGGAATATAACTCTTATAACTTTATTTTAATGAGGAAATAAATTTTCAACTCCACATAATTCTAACTTGGAATATTTCACTTTAAGTATATAACTTGCTTTAAGCTTGATGAACATTTGTACCTGGGAACGTTCCAGGTCCCAGTTCACTAGTAAGTGGTTTATTCAGATGTCTATCTCATTGTTGAAGCCCAAGAATTTTTGTTCAGAATTTGCTTTAATCTAGATAATTTTTATAATCAGAACTTCTCCAGGATGGCAACATCCTTTTCCTTTATTCTCTGTGGATAACAGTTTTCAGTCTCTACCCACTGGGATAATTGTCTGCAATCGAGATGAGCAGGGCCCATTTATTAAGACACTGCTGGCCAGGCGCGGTGGCTCATGCCTGTAATCCCAGCAGTTTGGGAGGCCAAGGCGGGTGGATCATGAGGTCAGGAGATGGAGACTATCCTGGCCAATATGGTGAAACCCTGTCTTTACTAAAACTACAAAAATTAGCTAGGCGTGGCTGCTGGTGCCTGTAATCCCAGATACTCGGGAGACTGAGGTAGGAGAATTGCTTGAACTGGGAAGTGGAGGTTGCAGTGACCCAAGATGGTGCCACTGCACTCCAGCCTGGCCAAAAAAAAAAAGAGACTGCTTGCGGAATTCCTTGGTTTGGAAATAAGCTATCCTAAACTTGATGCAGGTGAGGATTAATCCCTTGTACATGGTGAGCCTAAAATCTATTTTCTTTCATCTGAGCCTATAGAAGATATCAGGCAGTTACTTTCCTTTCAGATCAAGTTAATTCTTTCTAGATGAAATAGGTAACAGTATTTAAATTAATTTAATTAACATAGTTACAAGCAGACTCTTACTACCCAGTAAAATGTAGATCAGTTGCAAGGAAAACTGGTCCTATTCAAAGCCCAATATAATTGAATGCAGAGCTCAATGGCATTTTACTTTTTATTCTTAATGAGTCAATGATAACACGCAATTGTATCACCCTCCAATTTGGAATTTACATGTACGATGTTTGCTATAGTTTGGTGATATGCATGGATACACGTATATGTGTGGGCCTGCATATCCTGGATATCCAGGATAGTCACAAGTGTGTGTGTGAGTGCATGTACTTCAAGAAATATATATCTGTGTGTACATTCTTCCATATCTGGTAAACATTAAGTTAAAATGTGAACTTGAAAGCATGCTATGGAGTCTCGCTCTGTCATCTTGGCTCACGGCAACCCCTGCCTCCTAGGTTCAAGTGGTCCTCAGGCCTCAGCCTCCTAAGTAGCTGGGATTACAAGTGTGCACCACCACGCCTGGCTAATTTTTATTTTATTTTTTTGTATTTTTGTACAGATGGGGTTTCACCATATTGGCCAGGCTGGTCTCAAACTCCTGACCTCAAGTAATCCACCTGTCTCAGCCTCCCAAAGTTCTGGGATTACAGGCAAGAGCCACCGTACCCGGCCCCCTTATTTATTATTTCCAGAATCCTTGTAATTTTTTTTCAGTTTCTTCAGTATCCTAGTGAGGCTGCTGTTGTTTACCATCTCATATAGGAAACAAAGTAAATATGGAGTGCCTAAGGGATGTAATTACATTAAATGAAAGGGAGATGGGATATGAGGAGTCAAGCTCTTTTTGCTGTAAATTCCTGGTAGTGCCAGGCTGAGTCCTAAGTCTTGGTGGAATGGAGACCTATTTGGCAAGGGTCTGTCCTTATGGTGCCAGAATAGGAGAGCAAAAGAGTGAAAGTAGATAGCAAACACTCTTCTCTGGGGAGTTCAGCTCACTTCTTTGATTCCTTTTTTGGCTGGACCTCTTTATTGGCTCAAAATTTTATTTTTATTTTGGCATGAATGATTTATGACTTAGAAATTTTGAAGGTATTATTCTAAATATAAGAAGGTAGTTTAAGATGTTTCTACTGTTTGGTGGCAAGAAAACACTAGAAATGTCCATAAATAAAACATAAACAGAAAATGTTCTTCAGTCATTAGAAAGAGAAAACAGATTGTGCTAGTATGTGTGTATTTATAGTCACTCTATTAATTTATTGCCACACTGAAACCTCAGAGGTATAGGTTACAGATGATAATCCACCCAAATTAGGAAAGTCTGTAACATTCTTATTGGGATAGCATTGAAGTAAGAAGACTAGAAAGAAAAAATATCAGAAAAACATTAATAAAAACTACTCAAAAAACCACATTATAGTAAAAATAAATAAAATCACAGCATTCTGAATTTGCAACACTGTGGGATAAATAACTGGAATATGTTTCCCACAGAAAACATCTAAAATAGCTGGGTATACTATAAAAATATGAATAAAGGATAGTTTGGGTAGTCATACTAATTTCAGACCAAATAGAATGCAATAAAAAAGTCATTAGTAGAGATAGAGTGACACTTCCTAATGATAAAAGGTTTAATTCACTGAGAACATATAACAATCTAAAATTTTTATGCACTTCTTAATGCAGCTTCATATTTTTTAAACCCCAAAGTGTCAGAACTACAAGAAGAATTAGACAAGTCCATAATTTAATTTAGAGGTTTTTAACATATCTCTCATCCTGACTGATAGATCAAGCAGAAAAAATAAATCTATTCTAAGAGCATAGAAATTTTAACAGGACAACTAGCAACCTCAAGATAACAGACATATAAGGACATCCCAACCAACAATGACAGAGGCCTCACTATTCTCAACAACAGGTGAAACTTTTATAAGAAATAACCATGTACTGGACTATAGAGTAAGGCTCAACAACTTTCAAATGCTTGGTTAGAAAAAGGATAGCAAAATAAACTCACACAGAGAAGTAAGAAAATAATATGCATAAAAATACAAGTTTGTAAAGTTAAAAGAGCCATGCAATTGGAAAGACCAATAAAGCCAAGGTCAGCTCTTTGGAAAACCACCAGCAAAAACAATAAATACCTCTCTTGTCTCTCATTCCTGTAAATTATGCAATTTGGACTCTTGGACCCTTGGCCAGCAATTCCTTTGTCACTGGACCTTCTCTTCCCTACTGGTCCTTCTTATCACTTATGGTCTCATTTACTCTTGGAAATTATTTGGGTAAAATGTCTGTCTTTCACACTGGTCACAAAACTCTTTTGAAAATAGTGATGAAGACATATTTGTTAGAAGACATAATTTTTAAACTTGGGTACAAACACCATTATTCATGGTGGCTTTCAAAGGAACAACTGCCAAAAACCTGTTTCACTTCTTAATTTCTCCTGAACATACTTCTTTGTTTTGTGGTGGGGGATGGTGGTATTGATATCTTAATGTTTACCTCCCATTAAGTGATGCCACACTACATCTGAGAGGCAATGTATAACAATGAAAATAGTTCAGGATTTTGAGCTACTTGGAGTTTGTCACTTAAGGGCTTTCTCCCCTTTGGGGTAATTATAAAGGTATGAGTCTCAACTTTCTCAACTTTAAAATGATAGTAGTAGCAGTTACCTTGCAAGGGTATTGTGAATATTATATTAAGCAATGTATGCCTAAGACCTGGAATGTAGAAACTGCTAAGGAAACGGTGTCCATGCATTTTATAAGAAAAAACATTTACCTTGCCCATGTTTCAAAAAAAGCCCTCAAAAAGCTGTTCAAATATATCGAAGATTTGGAACATAAGTTTATATTCAATTTATCCCTAAGTTTTGTGGTTTTATGTGATTTCAAATTTTTTCTGCTTCTGCCCTGTGCTTTACAGTCTAAATACTACAAATATTTAATACCAAGAGATTCTACTCCTGGTTCTTCAATCATTGTAAATTTCTCTATTTGCATTCTACTTTTTGAGCATGATAATGTCAGTTGCTGCTGGATGGTGAGTTCACTAAAGTTACTGGAGCAGCTTCAAAGTTCAGAAGAAGAGCCAAAGGTCACACAGATTCTTTCCCATATATATTTTAATTTAGGTTTTACAAAATCTCACAGTAGCCAAATGGTAGCCATGTAGTTTGTTCAAATGCTATCACTTTTCAAAAATATTTGTAACAATTGGTTGGTGTTCTGATTATTAAAATCTTCATTATTTATTTATTTATTTTGGGGGTTTGTGGAGTATACTAATATATGTAACTTAGCCAAGTACAAACTCTTCCAGAAAGGCCGACAGTTAATATTCCTCCAATATTCATTCACAGTTCCTAGCAAGCATTATATATAATCAGTGCTCAATAAATACATGTTGATTGACAAAGGACTAATCAGACACCTACTAGACTACAGCAAGGCAGGTTAAGAGGAAAGGGTGAGAGCTGGAAGGCAGTATACAGAGGAAAGGAGACTGAAAAAGATTTCAAACACTGAACGTTTTGGAAAATCCTGCAAATAACTGTGGAATTGTGTGCTGGTGAGTGATTGTTTGCAGGTTGCTGATGATGTGGAGTGTAGGTACAGTATAATCCAGAGCTGCCATCAGGCTGATTTAATTTTTTTTCATTAGCAGTGGTACCGACTATAAAATGTTTATATTCAAATTCTAACTATGTATGCCTGGAGTAAATAAATAATTTACTGTATAAGCAATACATTATTTACTATGTTATTCTAAATATATATACTATTTGCATTTTACTGAAAATAAAACAGGTAGACTGATGATCTCTTAGGGTTCCAAAATAAAAAATGAGAGAAAAAAAAAATCAAGACCTCAGCTGTAGTGGGATTTTCTATAAAGCAGGAAGTAATAGCAGAAGATAGCCCCCAATATATGGAACAAACAAGAAAATTAGCTTTCTTATAGAAAATACTAATTTTACCTGACACCCCAAATACTCAACCATTAATTATCTGGATTTTCTTGGAAAATTTTGAGTTGGGCTTCTGGATTAGAAAAGTCAGCACCATAGACAAAAACGTTTCGAAAATTATTTAATTCCTTAAGAATTGTTGGTGACTTCAAAGAAGTGAGCAAGATAATACCCTATTTGGGTTGGATGCTCAAATAAAGCATGACTATATGGGCTGGTTCATTTTTTGAAATCACTCTGCTGGTTGCAAATCCCCAGCAATGTCTTGGAGGAAAGCTTCTTCCCAAATAAACTTGCTTTCTCCTTAAGCATATTATCTGTTGGCTGACCAATCAGTTCAGACTCATTTCTTGACAAGCAGAGTTCTGAGTCAGAGCCATTTTTGGTCCCATCTATTCCCAGCATCAAGCATAGAATCATGTCTTCTTGTCTCCACATGCAGGCCTGGGTGTTCCCCCACCACGGCTTTGGGAGTTAAATCTGGTGATTGAGAAGTGGGTCCAGTCCTTGAGATACAACATGGATATTAACTTGGGAATTAGTGATCCTTCCTAATGTGCAGAAAGAGCTTATTTCAGCTGCATACTAACAAGGACACGGGTTCTAGGGGCAGACATTCCATGTTGCCTCCTCCTGTTTTACCTGTGTGATGGGGACAAATTAACCTCTATCTGCCTCAATTTCCTCATCTCTAAAATGGTGATAATAATATTACATGCCTCCTAGGTTTGTTATGGGGATTAAATGAGTAAAAGTACAAAAACAAAATCACTTAGAGGCTGGGCATGGTGGTTCACACCTGTAATCCCAGCACTTTAGGAGGCAGAGGCAGGCAGATCGCTGGATGTCAGGAGTTTGAGACCAGCTGGGCCAACATCTCTACTAAAAATACAAAAATTAGCTGGGCATGGTGGTGTGCCTGTAATCTCAGCTACTTGGGAAGCTGAGGTAGGAGAATTGTTTGAACCCAGGAGGCAAAGGTTGCAGTGAGCTGAGATTGCACCACTGCACCTCAGCCTGGGTGACAGAGAGACTCCATCTCAAAACAAAACAAAACAAATGAACAACAACAACAAAAAAAAAAAAAAAAAAAAAAACAAGTTCAGCCCCCTCTTGCTCTCTCTAATCCTCTTTGCAATTCTGCTATGTTATGATACAACAAGAAGGCCCGTACAAGATGCTAGGACCTAAGTATTGAGCTTTTCAGCCTGTAGAACTTTGAGACATGAATGTTTTTCCTTATAAATTACCCAGTTCGTGATATTCTGTTATAGCATCACGAAAACATCTTGATAATTTATGTGTCTTTTAGCCAGCTCCCTTTGTCAATATTGAATAGATAAGCAATTAATTTTCTTCCTCCCACTTTGTCTAGAAATTGAAAAAATATTGCTCTGATATCCCTATGCCATAGGCTGATGCATTTACCTAGTAATTTGTAAAAAACAGTGCCCTCTGAAAAGAGAATCTCCTGAACTTCTTGGTAATCTTTCTATGGTACATTCATTTTTGGGTTTCCCTTACAAGCTTCCTACCAGTGAAAGCTTACTACAGACAGTAATCCTTGGATGGTAGGATGATTGACAGCAGAGCTCTTTCCTAAGAACGACTGTACTCACCTCTTTTTAGGAACTCTAAAATCACTATGGCTTCTCAGTCATTCATGGGACAATAATAACACTGATAGCAGAAAACCCTCTAAGAACATAGAATCCGATGGGGGTTGAGCTGGTTAGCCCTTGTGGCAGCCAGTGGGGGATAACGGGAGCAGTGGCAATATTTCTCCCTGGGCTTTCCATGGGCAACCCAGGGCCCAGCCTGGGCTTGACCTGCTCCAGTTGCTAACCTATGAGTGGGCAGGGTGAGGGGCTGCCTGCACCACAGGCAGGCATAGGTGCAAAATCTGTGCTGCCAGGTGAGAATCATTAATGGAGGGGAGGGAAGAAGCCCACTTTAACCAAGGTCTGCAGTATCCGCAGCTTGAGTGTAAGAGGTGAGGGTAGATGTCAACAACAAATAACCTGTCCTATTGACAGCCCAGACAGAGACGTCCTTGCCCAGTCCAGGCCTCATATCTACAAGAAAAAGGGGATTGCAGAGGAAAAGCTTAATAAAACATTTTGATCTGTTCTAGAAATCACTTTTGGCTTTTAATTTCATTCTCTCCTTGACATTTACCCTATTCTGTGCCTCAACAAGTCAGTATAGGACTGGCCAAAAAGGAAAAAGTAATGGATGAAATAAGGAGCGAATGAGGCTCATGGATGGGATGGAGCAGGGAGCTCTGCTGGGTATAATATTTCATGGTACTAACTATGTTGACATTTTGATGTAAATGACTACCATGCCAAAAAGCCCTGTGTCAATTATTTTTACTTTTGGTGATGAAGTATCTGAAAAGAATTTATGTAATTTAATATGTATTCGTTAGTAGAGATGATGCTTATGTTATTCAATTATTTTCCACCTAATTTAGAAATCAAAGTACTCATATCTTTTTGCCATCTCTTCTTCTCTTTTTCCTTTTTAAATATTTGATCTGCAAGAGTTAAAATTCTTTAAGGTAGAAATGTTTTTTTTTTATTTTCTTTTCTGTGCTTTTATATACTTTCTAAATATTATACAAAGGACTTCCATCATTTCAGTAATCAGAAAAAACTATTAAAGTCATAATGAGAGTGCAAAAGAAAAGCTCACAATACTTCCCAGGAGGTCCTCATCTGGCTTTTTTCCATGAAAACATTTTTTCTCTGCATGTAAGTCACAAGAAATTGCTCAATGTTTTGTTATTCTTATTTCTATCAAGTCTGTCTCTTTTGCATAACTCTCACCTCATCCCCTTACCACTGTTTCTACTGTTGAAATAGGGTAGTTCATGGAGGGGAAAATGAAGATGCTATTTTTTGATGGTGCTATGAAAGACTTCTTCCAGTATTATGGCATTGATTCTTCTTCTGAACACTTACAGCACCTCTTTCCCTTACCCCATTGGCCCAATTCACATTTTGTGGCCAAGCAAGAACTTAAAAAGGAAAGGTATGCACTTTTTTCCCATCTCCCTCACCTTAAGTGGCATCTCTCATCTGGCACAGGATGGGCAGGGTGATGCTCTAAGTCATGCTTAGTATCTTCCTCCCACTTCCACAATACATAGAAAACACATCTCATTCTTGGTTGTACTCAGGACTAGTTGTTAGTCCATGGCAACCTATTTTCTATCTTTTTATTTCTTTCCTAACAGTTAAAGAGAGCAAAGATGCCTTTTTCTATACTTCTTCACCTTTCTTTTTCTGCTGCTGATTTAATGTCTGGGCTGAGAGTTGCTTAGGGGAAGGTTGCTGCCTTGTTAAGTTTCTTTTTTTATTATTATTATTATACTTTAAGTTTTAGGGTACATGTGCACAATGTGCAGGTTAGTTACATATGTATACATGTGCCATGCTGGTGTGCTGTACCCATTAACTCGTCATTTAGCATTAGGTATATCTCCTAATGCTATCCCTCCCCCCTCCCCCCACCCCACAACAGTACCCAGAGGGTGATGTTCCCCTTGCTGTGTCCATGTGTTCTTATTGTTCAATTCCCATCTATAAGTGAGAACATGCGGTGTTTGGTTTTTTGTCCTTGCGATAGTTTACTGAGAATGATGATTTCCAATTTCATCCATGTCCCTACAAAGGACATGAACTCATCATTTTTTATGGCTGCATAGTATTCCATGGTGTATATGTGCCACATTTTCTTAATCCAGTCTATCATTGTTGGACATTTGGGTTGGTTCCAAGTCTTTGCTATTGTGAATAGTGCCACAATAAACATACATGTGCATGTGTCTTTATAGCAGCATGATTTATAATCCTTTGGGTATATACCCAGCAATGGGATGGCTGAGTCAAATGGTATTTCTAGTTCTAGATCCCTGAGGAATCGCCACACTGACTTCCACAATGGTTGAACTAGTTTACAGTCCCACCAACAGTGTAAAAGTGATCCTATTTCTCCACATCCTCTCCAGCACCTGTTGTTTCCTGACTTTTTAATTTAAGTTTCTTCTCTGCTTTCTCCCTAGTCTTTCTTTTGAGAATCAGTCCTTGACTGGAACCTCACTCCATGGAGCACTCGGGAGGGGGTGGGAGGATCCCAGTTTCTTTGGTTCCTCTCATTCTTTTTTCCTCTACATCTTTTAGAAAGATATATAACGGGTGTGGTGGCAGGCGCCTGTAATCCCAGCTAATTGGGAGGCTGAGGCAAGAGAACTGCTTGAAACCTGAAGGCAAGGTGGCAATGAGCCGAGATTATGCCACTGCACTCCAGCCTGGGCAACAAGAGCGAAACTCTGTCTCAAAAAAAAAAGATATATAACGTGTGGTTTTTCTCCCATTGAAGAGTTTTCACAGACATTAGGAAGGTATTTCATAATTACGTTTCCTGGGAGGAAAGAGAGAAGAGCTGCATTTAGAAAGGCGTGGTGGCTTACGCCTGTAATCCCAGCACTTTGGGAGGCCGTGGTGGGCGGATCACAAGGTCAGGAGTTCGAGACCAGCCTGACCAACATGATGAAACCCCATCTCTACTAAAAAAAAAAATAAATTAGCTGGGCGTGGTGGCACACACCTGTAATCCCAGCTACTCAGGAGGCTGAGGCAGGAGAATCGCTTGAACTCAGGAGGAGGACGTTGCAGTGAGCCAAGATCACACCATAGAGCAAAACCCCATCTCAAAAAAAAAAAAAAAAAAAAGACTGGGAGAGCTACATATACTGGGGACCTAAACATTCCACACTGTAATGCCTGAAAACCCCTCTGAGGGAACAGGGTCCTGATCCTCTGTTTAAGCGACATTTTACCTCATAGCCATGGCACGATCAGAGTAGAGTGGTCTACCTTTCTGTTGGAACACTGTCCTCTCACTGACTCGCCTGGCTAATTTCCACTCATCTTACAAGAATCAGCTCAAAAACCTACTCTTCTTGGAATTAATCATGCCTTCCTGCCGTAACTCAGGTGAATGCCTTTCTCCATGGTCTACTCCTATTTAGCAAGGTGACCATCTTCCAAACACCCACAACACCCTCTTTACCATAGTCCTCGTCTTGCATTGTATGAAATTATTTACTTTTGCCACCAGACTTTGAACACTTTCAGATCTTTTCAGCACTTTATTTTCTTTTCATCCTGGAAACCTAGCATGGAGCTTAGAGCACAGTAGGATCTAAGTATTTGTTGAATGACGATTGAGGCTGTGGTCATTCTCTTGCAGCATAAAAAGACATAGAACCCATGGTAGGGGACAAACATCATACTGTGTCTTAAAAGTTCCTTCCTGTGACTCAAATGGCCAGTGAAATTTTTTTCTTGTTGAAAATGTAAGATGCCAATAGAGTGTAGTTTTCCTGAAAATGAAATCCCCATATAGTGGCTGGACCTCCACAGCAAAGTGCCCATCGTGGAAAAGGCTAAACTGTACCACTGAGCTCTTCATCTTCAGTTGTCAGCCCTCAGCCATCTCATGCAACTTTCATTTTTGTAGTCTTTGTGATTCTTAATCTCTCCTGTTGGCAAAAAGAGGGTGAGCAAGAAAAATGTCTCTGATGTTCCCCCGCAGCTTGGCAGTCAGTCACAGCTTTGGGAATCCAAAGACTGTCCCAGTGTTCTCTGTGCAGTGGCGTAGCTCCAAGTATTTTAGCTCTGAAAAATGAGTGCAGTTTCTGTCTGTGGGCTAACATATGCACTTTACACACACTCTTGCATTAACTATGTCAAGAGAGTGTTCCAGAATAAAAATGCCAGAACTGAACAGACTCCTTGAGTTCATACTCTCATTTTTCAACAGAAGAATGTGAGTCAGAGAGGTGGAGTGATTTTCTCAAGGTCACACAGCATTCAGCAATAAAAATGGGAGTAGGAATAGGAGCCACGTCCTGTACCCAGTCTGATGTTTGTTCTAAATACCACACTACTGTCCTTTCTAGTCTAGAGAACAGCTGATGACTTAGAATTTTGTGGGGAGAAGGGAACAAATTTCCCTTTACATAAAGAAGTGGGGTGCTTAATTCTGCAAGGAATGGTATGTGACCTCAAGCAGCTATGAAACCTCTCTGATCCTCAGTTTCCTTATCTTTAAAGTGGAACTGACAATAGCTACCCTACCAGCTGCTTTGGTGATTCGGTGAAATCATGTCAGCTCACTGCCTGGCTCAGAGCCTGGCCTTAGGGGATGCTCAGTGAACAAGAGCCGTTATTACAAACAAGCATGTTGTCCAGCCCTTCTCCCATTCCAGATCCAGAAAGCTTCCCAGTGGGCAATCAATGCAGTAAGCCGCTGGCTGCGGGGCAATCGAGCAGGACACGTTTGAGAAAGGATTGAGAGCAAATCTAGTATGTAAGAAAACAACCAAATTCCCATAAAGCCTAATTATTTGCGCTGTTTATTAATAGCCCTGTTCTTCCCCCTCTCCCCCAGCAACAAATTAGGATCTGACTTGAGGTACAGCTCTGATTAGGGAGAGCCTAGTGCATTTCTGCAGGGGGTATCTCCTGCATAATGTATCTTGGCATCCAAAGGGAGCCTGGATGGCTGCCTGCTCTCAGCTTCCCTTTGTATCTCCCATCATTGCCCATAAAAGCCTTCATTATGATCTGGGTCCCCTTTATTGCACATATAAATAAAATCTGACAGAATTGTACGTAAATCCTTTAGTGGCAAAAGCTGATAGAAGAGGGCAAAAATTAATTTTATGCATGAAGAATCTCATTAAGTAGCTTCATGGAAACAAAAGGAGGTGGCATCAGAGACTGGAGGGTGTGGGCTTCTCTAGGCTGCATCTCTCACAGCTTTACCCTGGAAAAGACAATCCGCTTCTGCTTCCACTGTTGACTCCAAGAGTCACAGGTGGTGGCAGAGCTGCACTTTCTGGGAAAGGCTTACGTTTCTGAGGCAGGCAAGGCCCAGCTCCCTTAGGAGCTTCTGCCTTCCACTCCTGCTCTTAGAAGGGGTTCCAGGCACCCTGAGTGAGGTCCTCATGCAAGGCAGCAGGCATTGTCCCTGGAGAGATTGCATTCCCTGGGCTAAGAAGCCACATGCCTTCAATATACCTGGCACCAGCTTTAGATCCTCCTGTGTAGGACCCTCTAGTACTAATGTTAACCACCTAGGCTGCTCTCTCCTGAGAATGGGATGAATGAGGTGAGGAGTGGAGAAGTGGAGGATGGCTCCAGCAGAGCCAGGATCCATCTGCTGGGGTAAGGAAATGTACAGTTAGCTCAGATGCTCTGGCAGTAAGGCCCAAGTTTCAATGGTTGATTCTATATTCATTCTTGATTGGTTGATACCATGTTAAATCACTGCATTTTTCTGCTTTTGATTCATATTGTGTGGAATCAATGATCCGTTCTACATGGCCTGTTTTCCCTCCTAGAAAAGAAGCTGCTGACATAAAGGCAAAAGTCATCTGTTCAGTCTATCTTCTCAAAACATCTTTCTGTTTTAAGCCATTGTATGCCCCGGCCTATGCCATCCATCAGTATACGATAGGCTTACATCTAGATGTAAAATAATTCATTAAAAGTTACTTGTGATTTCAGAATACAAAGATCATCTCATACAGAAATAGCTTATTGCAGATAAGTTTGATTGGTCAACTATGAAAGAACAATACATTATAAACACACTGAAATTATGCAGAGAAGATACAGTTTTAACAAAAGATTACATTCTTAACTGATTTTCCAGCATTGCTGAGTGTCTCATAAGGAAGAAGCAATCAGATACAATGGGAGCTGTATTAGTTATCAGAGAAAACAAGCAACCACAACAATAATAAAAACAAGGAAAATAAAATAACAGGAAAAACATCCCTTCAATAACAGTCCCTTATTGGTGTTAAACTGCTTCATGTAATTCCATCTGTTATATGGTTTGGTTGTGTCTCCACCCAAATCTCATCTTGAATTGTAGTTCCTGTAATCCCCATGTGTCCTGGGAGGAACTCCGTGGGAGGTAAATGAATCATGGGGGAGGTTACCCCATGCTGTTCTTGTGATAGGGAGTGAGTTCTCATGAGATCTGATGGTTTTATAAGGGGTTTCTCCCCCTTGCTTGGCACTTTTCCTTCCTACCACCCTGTGAAGAACGTGCATTTCTTCCCCTTCACCTTCTGCCATGATTGTAAGTTTCCTGAGGCTTTCCCAGCTGTGTGAAACTGTGGGTCAGTTAAATCTCTTTTCTTTATGAATTACCCAGTCTTGGGTATTTTTTCATAGCAGCATGAGAACAGATTAATACAGTAAACTGGTACCACAGAGAGAGGGGTGCTGTTATAAAAATACCCAAAAATGTGGAAGCAACTTTGAAATTGGGTAACAGGCTGAGGTTGAAACAGTTTGAAGGGCTCAGAAGATATGTGGGAAAGTTTGGAAGTTCCTAGAGACTTGTTGAATGATTTTGACAAAAATGCTGATAGTGATATGGATGGTGAAGCCCAGGCTGAGATGCTCTTAGATGGAGATGAGGAACTCATGGGAACTGGAGCAAAGGTCACTCTTGCTATGCTTTAGCAAAGAGACTGGTGGCATTTTGCCCCTGCCCTAGAGATCTGTGGAACTTTGAACTTGAGAGAGATGATTTAGGTTATCTGTCAGAAGAAATTTCTAAGCAGCAAAGAGTTCAAGAGGTGGCAAGGCATAGAAATTTGGAAAATTTGCAGCCTGACCATGTGATAAAAAAGGAAATCCTATTTTCTGGGGAGAAATTCAAGTTGGCTGCAGAAATTTGCATAAGTAATGAGGAGCCAAACGCTAATTGCCAAGACATGGGAGAAAATGTCTCCAGGACATGTCAGAGACCTTAGTGGCAAACCCTCCCATCACGGCCAGGAGGCCTAGGAGGGAAGAATGGTTTCGTGGGCTGGGCCCAGGGCCCCACTGCTCTGTGCAGCCTAGGGACTTGGGGCCCTGTGTCCTAGCCACTCCAATCATGGCTAAAATGGGCCAAGGTACAGCATGGACTGTGGCTTCAGAGAATGCAAGCTCCAAGCCTTGGAACATGGTGTTGAGCCTGAGGGTGCACAGAAGTCAAAAATTGAGGTTTGGGAACCTTCTCCGCTTAGACTTCAGAGATTATATGGAAATGCCTAGATCTTCAGGCAGAAGTTTGCTGCAGGTGCTGGATCCTCATGGAGAACCTCTACTAGGGGAGTGCAGAAGGGAAATGTGTGGTGGCAGCCCCCACACAGAATCCCCACTGAGGTAGTGCCTAGTGGATCTGAGTGAAGAGGGCCACCGTCCTCCAGACTCCAGAATGGTAGATCCATTGACAGGCTGCACTGTGTGCCTGGTAAAGTGGCAGATACACTATGCCAGACCATGAAAGCAGTCAGGAGGGGGCCGTACCCTGCAAAGCCACGGGTGGAACTGCCCAAAGCTGTGGGAGCCCACCTCTTGCATCAGCATGACCTGGATATAAGACATGGAGTCAAAGGAAATAATTTTGGAGCTTTAAGATTTGACTGCCCTGCTGAATTTCAGACTTAGTCTTGCATGGGGTCTGCAACCCCTTTGTTTTGGCCAATTTTTTCCATTTGGAACAGGTGTATTTACCCAATGCCTGTACCCTCACTGTACCTTGGAAGTAACGAACTTGCTTTGGATTTTACAGGCTCATAGGAGGAAGGGACTTGCCTTGTTTCAAATAAGACTTTGTACTTGGACTTTTGAGTTAATGGTAGAACAAAATAAGACTTTCGGGGATGGTTGGAAAGGCATGATTGTGTATTGAAATATGAGAACATGAGATTTGGGAGGGGCCAGGGGTGGAATGATATGGTTTGGCTATGTCCCCACCCAAGTCTCATCTTGTAATTTCTAGTTCCCATAATCCTCATGTGTCATGAGAGGGACCCAGTGGGAGGTAACTGAATCATGGGGGCGGTTACCCCATGCTGTTCTCACGACAATGAGTAAGTTCTCACGAGATCTGACAGTTTTATAAGGGTCTTCTCCCCCTTTGCTGAGGACTTCTCCTTCCTGTCGCCCTGGAAAGAAGGTGCCTTTCTTCCCCTTCACCTTCTACCATGATTGTAAGTTTCCTGAGGGCTTCCCAGCCATGCAGAACTGTGAGTCAATTAAACCTCTTTTCTTTATAAATCACTCATTCTTGGGTATTTCTTCATAGCAGCGTGAGAATGGAGTAATACAATATGTATACTATGGAAACACACTAGAAAATACTAAACATGCTAACATTTCCCTGTACTTGCACGTCAACAGGGCAGAAAGCATGTTAGAAGAATGATCAGAAGGGCATCAATTTCAGAAGCAGCAGGAAGTGACACAACTGAGTTTGAATCCTGATTTCATCTGTTATCAACTAGGATACCTTGTGTAAAATAGCTAATCTCTCTGGGCATTGGTCTCCTTATAGTTCCTTTGAGGATTGCAGAAAGCTATCCAGTGCAGTTTTAATACAGACTCTCCAAAAATGACAGCTCTTATGAGCCTTTAGGGAGCCGAGATTGGATGTATAAGGTGAGCCAGATTGTAATCTCTGGGACTTTTCCATCTGTGTGCATCTGACTACTCCTTCATCTCACTGAATATTTTTGGTTCCATATGTCATGCCTTCACTTTGATAACAGTACCAAAGGGACTAGAATAAAGAGCAAATACATTTTGAAATGTCAGACCAAGAGCATTGTTTGGATATGGTTTCCAAATTTCTTTCAAAGAATTAAATTTTCTTTCTTAACTATGCTTGCTGATCAATGCACCTTCTTCATTGGTTGGGAACGCCTTTGACCTTATAAAACTCCATCTTCATCAAAAGCCCAAACTTAATTGCCTTGTCCTCAATTGCTGGATTTGCCTTTTGTTTTTGTGGTTTCTGAAAAGATAATATTTTAGCTATTAAGACCTTACTTAAAGTGAATTTAAAGTGAAAAAAATCTAGCTGTTGCCCCTGCAACTTATCAGGGAATTATTCATTTGTCATTAAATAAAGACAGTTTTGCTTAACACTTTGAAAAATGTGAGGTTTTTTTTCCAAGTGCTTTTTCATGGCTCTTCACCTCATCAAATCATTGTTTGACAGAGCTAGAAGGAATGTCATGGTTTTTCGAACTTGCTGTACATCCCACCTCTTGTGGGACCTTAAAAAATATAGAATCTTGAAACTTACCCCTAAATATCTAGCACTAAGACTTAGGGAATTCTTTTACATTACCTATGTGCAGGTATCCTATAAACTTGTATAGTCCAAATCCCACATTTCACAGTTGAGAATATTAAGGAGCAGAGGAGTTAAGGCAACTGTCAAAGTCACAGAGCTGGATAATGGCAGAAAAGCCTTCTAACTATCAGGGCTGTTCTGAATGCACCACTTGAATACTGTTCCTAGGAACACCTTGTTTGATGCTATCTGTATAGGATTTTTAAAATTATTTATTTAACATATGACTGAAGATTTAGACTATGTAATGCATATCCTCATGGAAAAGATACTACAATATCAAAAGGGCAAAATACCTAGGTGATAGTGGAAGATGCCTCCAAAAGAATACAAGTCTGGAGAGGATGGCATGACAGGAAGTCTCAGTTTTTCTTTTCTAGCAGTTCCTTAAACGTACCTTCTTTAGCTGACTGACATATTGTGCCTTAGGCAATGTATAGCCAATCAAGATATCTTTGCTTATTTAGCAACCACATCTGACTCCTGCATTGATGATCCAAATACCATAGAACTAGTTCTGTAATTGACCACCAATGACGTGACTGATTTTGCTAGGAAGAGGAACCAGGGATGCTGTCTCTTGGCTCTTTGAGAAGTCAGATCATTCCAGGTGGTAGAATCTGGGCACTTTCCCCACTTCTTCTTCCATTTCTGCCTTCTCTTCTTCTCTTGAGACTGGATCTAGGAGAAGTAGCTGGGATAGATGTAAGTGCCAGAAATTGTTCGATAGCCATGGAATGCCTGGAGTTAGAGCTGATGGAAATCCTTGATCCCATCCTCAGACTCTTTATGCACTCTGAGTTGGCAACTGTAAACTCCTGTACTTTGTTCTTCTCCTCTTTTTCTCAGGTGTCCTTTACCATGATGATGGCAGAAACTAATTCCTTCATTATGTCTTCAAAGTTTGAATGGTTTGAGTTCCCCTGTAGAAACTCAAAGACAATTTTTATATTAAAAGCTTATTAAATTTGGAGCCTCCATTTCCTCATTGGCAAAATGTGAGAATTCAGCTATTAGTACAGTGCTTGGATACAAATACAAATAAAAGAAACTTCTAATAACCCTTCAATGTTATTAATTATATTAACAATTTTGATGCAGAATTTTTTCTTATGAAAGACTCTAAATCCTTTCACCATATGCAGAAACAGATATGCTCAGCCTGCAGAGTTAGCAGCTTTTTAATCTACATTCCCAAAGCATCTTGTGTTAAAAGAGCATATTTCCATCACTATACTTTTCACAATGCATTGTAGTTACTTGTTTTGAGGTCCTCCTGACTTTGAGCTCCTCAAGGGCAAATGCCATACCTTATTCACTTCTGTATCCTTGTCATCTAATGCAGTGCCTGGTACATAGTAGGTGTTCAGGAAATGCTGAACAACATTTCATTCAGGAAATGTTGAATGAATGAAGAGGACCTCTCAGGCTCAAGAAGACACTGAGTAGTCATGGCAACCAACAGAAGGCTCCCAGTTTAAGAACCATAAGCACTCTGGACTTGGAGTTTTGTTTTTCCAAATTACAAAGGATTGATGATCAGCTTTGTTCTCCTGCCTGCCTTGTGACTCATGCTGCTGTGGGTTAGATGCCTTGGCAAAGATAAGGCAAAAAGCTATTTTGTCAAACTTGGCAACTTGCTGTAAGTATGGATAATGAGTCCACTCAGGTTTTTTTTTTTTTTTTTTTTTTTTTATAAGGCAGACTGGGCTTTCTCTTGCTTTCATTGGAGTCAGATAGTTGTAAGTTTTTTTCAGGCTTCATTTTACTCCCTTCTGTTATAAGGGAATAAGGAAATCATTGTAGTGGGAACTTACATTAAGCTGGTCCTCTAAGGCTATGTGGCCACTTCCTACAAAAGGGATTGTTTGCAAGAAAGCTTTTCAGGATTTAGAGCTTTCTGCATAGACACACTGTATTGGCTCCTTGGTTTAATAGTGATACTAGGAAGGCACAACTGACGTATGCATTTGTTCAATAAATATTTATTATGGTTTCAGTAAATTAGGCCAAGATTTTCCCCTACAGTTACTTCTGAAGACAAAGCACCAGGTAAGTGGAAGAGCCTTAGCAGTTCTCTAGAGATTTAGCAGATATTCAATTCTCTTTTGCCAGTGTAGAATCAGCAAATGTTGCAAAGTAGATTCCTAGAATCCATCAGGGGTCACATCCTAGGGCTTTGGCAGGCAATAGTGGGCTGCACTAGATGATGTGAGGGGAAAAAAGCAAGCAGTGCCCTCTGCCCTGCTCGTGCTCCACCCCAAATGCATTTATGCACGTCTTGCTGACTCAGTATGAGCTCAAACAGAGCCTGCCCATTTTGATTAGCTCTTTTCTCTTAATGATTTCCAAAGGTAACAGGAGAATTGCAAATAAAGGAACAAATGAGGAAAAGAAGATACACTCTAAGTAGTTTTTAAACAATTCATCTGGAAAGCTTATGCACAGCTGCCTATGAGTCTGAAGGCCATTACCTGTTCCTGGAAGGATAAGATCTCCACTTCCTGTTCACTGCATTTATCTTCTCTACTTGGCAGGAGAAAACCATTCTGCTTTGCCTTGCAGGAGACCAGGGACCAATTTTCATCTCACCTGCTTTCATCTACCACCTAGTAGGGTGCTGGGCATGTAGTGTTCAGTAAATATTTGTATACTTTACTCAGTGGTGCTATTTTCCCCAGCACTAATCAAAACAAGACAAAGTCATTTGAAACTGAGATATCTGAGGTAGGCTCTATTTAGAAACGGTGGCTTTGAAGATGCTAGGCATCCTTAGTGTAAGGATGTACCCTACTAGCTATGTCATAGTTATCATTTCACATTACGTGAGTATATTAGGTTGTTCTTGCATTGCTATAAAGAAATATGTGAGACTGAGTAATTTATAAAGAAAAGAAGTTTAATTGGCTCATGGTTCTGCAGGTTTTATAGGAAGCATGGTGCTAACATCTGCCAGGCTTCTGAGGAGGCCCCAGGAAGCTTACAATCATGGTAGAAGGCGAAAGGGTGACAGGCACATCACATGGTAAAAGCAGGAGCAAGGGTGGGTGGTGGGGAGAGGTGCCACACACTTTTAAATAGGCAGATCTCAAGGGAACTCACTGTTACAAAGACTGTGGCAAGCGATGATGGATCTGCCTCCATAATCCAAACACCTCCCACCAGGCCCTACCTCCAGCATTGGGGATTACAATTCAACATGAGATTTGGGTGAGGACAAGTATCCAAACTCTATCAGTGAGATTGTTTATGACCACAAAATTAAAACACTTGAACAGTTGCTCTCTGCTGTTTACAATAGCCTGATTGCCATTTGTGATGATTGGTAAATAACAGAGCATCTGATTAGGCTCCTGTCCTGCTGCTACATGACAACAGAGAAATTACTTATCTTAGTTGGATATTTATCTTTTATATGTACACTGAGAAGAAGGTTGTAGTAGATGATCTCTAATACCAGAATGGCTAAGGTTTTCTGTGGGTCCCAACGCCACTCTGTTAGCAAGTCGTGCTTAAAGTGCAGTGCTGTTAAAAGTTGGGAGGCCTCATTCTGGCTCAGAAAATGAATGCCTAGATTGAATACTGATATATGTTGTCCATGGAAGGTTGAGTTTGCAGATTGAGGGCTATGCATATGTCAGCCAACCATGTTTCAGTCCTCACTATCTATGTGGCTGTGGACAAGTTACTTAATTGGTTTTCTCATTTGTAAATGAGCATAATGTTAGAACCTAACTTGTGGAGTTGTTATGAGAATTAAATATGGTGATACATATAAAGCACTGTGACTGAAACTTAAAATGTACTCAGTAAGTGTTAGCCATTTTTTTTGTGGTTGTAATTTTATATTTCGATTATATACCTAATATCTCTTTGAGCTCTGATATTTAATTATGATAAGCCAACACTTGCACTGGATGAAAAGTAGTAGATTGGCCTTATGCTGTGCATTGAAACACTTAATGTTGGATAATCTGTTAAGGAGTGTCATTAGTGGTTTGCCACTGGGGCTCAGGAGCAAAGGGATTCAAGGGAGTACAAAAATTAGATATAGAGAATTATTTTCTCCTTGGTGACAAAGGTTCTTTGCTTGGCCACACTTTTGTCAGGCTTTTGAACTTTCCCCCTAGCCCCATCTGTGTACTTGCTTGAAAAATCAAGTTTTAGCAAGAACCCTGCTTAGTTGGTTTAGTGGTTTAGCAAGAACCCCCCTCCTCCATCCTCAGTGTGTTATCTCTCCTGATATCTGATCAGGTCCTCATCCTCTACTATCCCTCCGGTGATGACCAGTTACCCTGGCCTGTCTTCAGCAAGAATCCTGTGAGGTCAGTTTAGCCAGAATCTCCCTTACCCTTGAAGTTTCCTCTTCATAGTTTTCCATCCACTGACCCCTACACTGCTCCTTGGCTATAAATTCCCACTTTCCCCATCCTGTATTTGGAGTTGAGCCCTATCTGTTTCCCCCACTGCAAGACCCCATTGCAGTTGTCCCTATTTCTACCGTGATGGTCCCGAATAAAGTCTTCCTCCCCGTCTCTACTAAAAATACAAACAATTAGCCAGGCGTGGTGGCGGGCGCCTGTAGTCCCAGCTACTCATGACCCTGAGGCAGGAGAACTGCGTGAACCCGGGAGGCGGAGCTTGCAGTGAGCCGAGATCGCGCCACTGCACTCCGAGTGAGACTCCCTCTCAAAAAAAAAAAAAAAAGAAAAAAAAATCTTCCTTACCGTGCTTTAAAAAGTATCATTGATAAGTTTTCCTGAACAATAGGAGGTTGCCAATAAGTAAATACTATTTCTATATCAAGTAAACTTTCAAGTAACTTCTACATCAGGTGAACTTTCAGGAGTTTCAGGACTTTCAGGTAATGGGTTCATTTTCTGCTTCTCATGTATTTAATACATAAAATACATAATTAGTGAATACCTCCTATATTTCAGACACCGTTGTAGTCACTGGAGATGCAGTAACAGTTAAAACAGACAGGATCCCTATCCTCAAAGAGCTTAATTCTAGTGGGAGCGATAGGCAACAAACAAGCAAACAGATGAAAAAAATCAGTCTCAGACAGTAATAAATGCTATGATGACAATAAAGCAGTCATGTGATAGAGGACACTTTACACTGGTGGTCAGGGAAGGCTTCTCTGGGGACAAATATTTACATTAAATACTGACTTATAAGTAGAAATCAGCTACTTAGGGATATGAGAAAGACGGTTCCAGTCAGAGGGAACAGCATATGCAAAGGTTTTCATCTGAAAGCTTAGTATAATCGAGGAACAGAAAGAAGCCCAGTGTGGCAGGAGCAGAGTTAGCACAGGGAAGACTGGTGAGGGCTGAGATGGGGGGTTAAGTAGGGGCTGAACAGGCTTGCACATTATAAACCCTGGTAAGGAAATTTGATTTTATTCCACAAGTATTGCAAAGACATTTGAATGTTATAAACAGGGAAGTGACACAATCTGATATACATTTCTAAAATATCACTTTCACTTCTTTGTGGGAAATAGATTTTAGTATGCAAGAGTGACATCAGATTAACTAGTTACCACTAATCCAGGCTTGGAAGGTAAAAGAATGGATGGATTTGGGGTATATTTTCACCAGTGGAGGTGAAAAGATTTGCCTCAGACAGTGTTTAACATCTTACCTAATGTGACATTTGACCCACGTCTGTAGACTTCTCTAAGGCCCTAAGCCCACTGTTTCCTCATGTACTTAAAGTATTTAACTTGGTGGTCTAAAAGCCTGCATGTGTAAATGCAACTTTTCTATTTGTTTGGAAACAAGAAGTTGCTCACCTGCGGCTAGCTCACACACTGAGGAATGGAATCAATAGGTGCTGCCAAAATAAATGTCATTGTTTGGTGTCTTGGAGATGTCACTGTGACTCTTATTGTTCTTCCATATGAAATAAATTATTTAATGTTTACAGCATATAATTAAATGCCTACTAAAATCTTCACTTGTTAGAGAGGGAACATAAAGGAACCTGAGTTCTTAAAGACCTCCGAACACTTATAGCCATCCCCCTGCTTGGCTGTTCCCACATGTGTGCACTCCTTGCTTCCTATATTCCTTCAGCCCAAGAGAGATTAAACTAGTCAACTTGAAACCCGACTTCCCCAAAGGAGACTTTAATCACAATATTCAGTGCTTTTGTCCCTGCTACACTGACTTTAAGTATGTTATCTGGAATTTCTGCCACCCTGGAGGAAGGATTCAGAGCTCCAGTTCTTTTTCTTCCCATTTGAATGTGGGATACAATTCTACTTTTTTTTTTCCTTTTGTATCTTGTTTTATGCTTTGTTAAAAAATTTAAAAAATATTTTTAATTTAATATTTTAATTGACACACAACAATTGTACCTATTTATGGTGTACATGGTGATATTTTGATATATATAATGATAGTGGTCACATCAGGGTAATTAGCATACTGTGCTTTTATCTGCCTGTTTTATCTGATTATGTTTACATCTATCTGTAGGCATGTTTCTCCATCATTGTGTGATTTTCATTGTGAGCAAAGCTTGGCTGTTCATTTATAAAGTACGGAATGCATAAAATATAGTTGAAGAATCAACTAATCAGTATATGTATTACTCAGACATTTAAATTTATGTTTTAATCTCTAACCTTTCTAATAGAAGAAGACAGACCATTTTGGAAGGATAATGGGTAGTTCTTGGAATAGAAGGAATGACTTGGAAAATGAAAAGCTGAGGTAAGACAGGCGATGAGGACTACTGCTGAGATCACACCTAGGAGGAATCTGGTTGGAATGCCACCACCTGCACTGTCCCTGTATCTTGGCCCCTGTACCCACATTGGCCCCACTGCTGCAGGACTAGCAGACAGTAAATACCACTGCTGTCCTGACGCCTCCTCATACAGAGCTGCCACTGCTTTCGTGATGCTACTGTTTCTGTCTCTGCTGCTTCTGGACTATTCTTTGTCTTTTGTGTGTGTGTGTGTGTGTGTGTGTGTGGTTTTTGTTGTTGTTGTTGTTTTTGAGACAAAGTCTTGCTCTGTCACCCAGGCTGGAGTACAGTGGTGCAATCTTGGCTCACTGCAACCTCCGCCTCCCGGGTTCAAGTGATTCTTTTGCCCCAGCCTCCCTCATAGCTGGGATTACAGGTGCGTGCCGCCATGCCCAGCTAATTTTTTTTTTTTTTTTAGTAGAGATGGTGTTTCACCATGTTGACTAGGCTGGTCTCAAACTCCTGACCTCAGGTGATCCACCCACCTTGGCCTCCCAAAGTGTTGGGATTATAGGCATGAGCCACCACGCTTGGCCTGTTCCTAGTTTTTTATGTCACTATATCCACATTGACAGTTCCAGGAGGCAGCACCCCATGCCTCAGATGGCAGGAATTATGAGAACTAAACTGGTATTTTTGGCTTCTGTAGTGTTAGGCAGCACTTTGCATCTCAGTCTTTTTTTCTGGGATGTTAATATGTCTTTTAGATGTTTGGTGAAAGTCTGTTGGGAGTAACTTTTTTAGTTTAACGTTGTCTCTATTTTATATTCTTTCTCTAACAGTTGCATAGGAATATAATTGACATAATAAGCTGCATATATAATTTAATACATTAATATATTAATATATATAAATATACATAATTTAATACATTAATATATTAGTATATATAAATATAATTTAATACATTAATATATTAATATATATAAATATAATTTAATACATTAATATATACAAAATATATAATTTAATACATTTTGAGGTTTGTGTGTGTATATATATATATGTACATATTGATTACCCTTAAAAGATTCCTTGTGCTCATTTGTATTTCTTCGTTGCTGTCCCTTGTGGCTCCCCAAAGCAACCATACAGATTAGCTTGCATTTTTTAGAACTGCATGAAAGTGTCATCACACACTATCTATTGTTTTATGTATGAATTCTCTCACTCAGCGTAATTATTTCAGATTCATCCATGTTGTGTGTATTAATAGTTCTTTCTTATTACTCAAAGGTATTGACTCAAATAAATATACCACAATTTGTTTGTCCATTTATAAGATTATGAACATTTGGGTTGTTTCCAGTTTTTGGCTATAAGAAATAAAATTCTTATGAAGGTTTGCTTTGTGAGCACATATGATTTTATTTTGTTGGCCCAGGAGTAGAATGTCTCAGTCATATGGTGGCAATATGCTTAACTTTTTAAGAAACTACCGAAGCAGGATATTTCCTTGACCCCTTTGCTGGTAGGAACTGGAATGCAGGGGCACTGGAACTAATCAGCTGCTTTGGGGCCAGCAGGAACGAATTCCACTCACTCAAACCCATTGTTCTTCACCCCTCGTGGGAGGGGGAGCACACAGGTGAGTGAGTATAGGAGCTGGGGTGAGCGCTTTTGGACACTGGCAGGAGAAAACTCCATGTGGACCCCATGACAGCATCTGGGTGAGGGGGATGCCCACTCCTCCTGAAGCCCCAGAAGGAGTGTTACAGTGCCCTTTTAGCTTTGCCATCTCTGGACAGCTTAAGTGTTAGTAGCTCAGTGGAGGCTCACTGTGACAGCCTTTTGCACCTGCGTCTAAGTTCTTGTCTGCCATCCAGAAGGAATGAGGTTGCACAAACGAACTGAAGATGGTAAATGCTGGGGATTTTTTTTTTGCCAATGAAAGTGGCTCTCAGTGGAAGGGGGAGCCAAACAGGGGATGGAGTGGGAAAGTAATCTGCTGAAGTGTCGCCGTCCCCAGCCAGACTCCTCTCTGAAGCTACGCCATCAAGCTGTCCGTCTGAAGTCAAGCTGCTTCTCTCCAATGTCCAACCATAGTTTCTAACATCCAGCTGCTTCTACTCTCTCTGCTGACTGAGCCTAGGGCTTTTATGGGTACATGATGAGGGTGGGGTGGGCCATGAGTGGTTTTAGAAAAGACAACATTTGAACAGGAAAACAGGGATATAAGTTCTCACTTTGGACCATGGTATCAGGCTTTTTGGCTTAGGGGTGGGGTCCTTGCTGGAGACCAACGCCCACTTCTGCCCAGAATTTCCCAGACTCCTTTCCCTATCACTACCAAATTATTTTCAAAAACATTTATACTATTTTACCACCAATAACAAATGAAAGTTCTAGTTGCTCCATATCCTCCTCAACACTTAGTAATATAAAAAATTGGTATAGTCAGGCTGTCACAGCTCCGGAAACACTTACTTACAGTTCATGAGCCAGTAGAAAAGATAGATTTCCTTTCTAATACCACATATAAAATATTACAATTCTACTATTGTGCCAGTCACTGTCCCATGATGTTTTTGGTAAAGACAGGAGAGAGACTTTACCTGAATGTTCCATTATGACCACAGAAAATGGGGAAGGAAAGTTCCCCATAAGAATGGAAAAGTTGTTACCAGAGGAATGGAGAGAAATTCCAGATAAACCAAACACTAGATGTTTTACTATTCTTTCAAGTTTAAGGAGTGTGAAAACTGAAGGAAACCCTAGTGAGAATATCCAGTAAAGTTTATAAATAATACATAAAGTAGACATAAAGTATTATTTATGTATAAATAATACATAAATTTGGCATTTTATGTTCACAAGGAACACAGCAAGAAGGGGAAGGGTAGTTCACAATAAAAAGCCTACAGTGTATAGTGCCACCTAATATGAATCCTGTGTGCTGACCAGGAAGTGTTCAGTGGGAGGTAAGAAATGAGTCTTAAAATAATTCTCTGAGCCAAGGAAAAAAACAATACAATGGCTTTTAGTATTCCCTGAAAACTAAAGAGTGCCTGCTGGGAGTCCAAACTTCATTACTTAATTGATCCCTATTAGTAATAATTAAAAGGTTCTGTCAGTGAATCATGTATGTAACATGGAAAACAAAAAGTTTAAGAATGATTTAATTACATCCAAATTAAAGCAGTCCCAGTCTTGGCCTTCAGAAATCTTCTGTGTCATATCTGTATAATTACAACATTTCTTTCATTTTTTTTTTTTTAAGAGTCTCACTCTGTTGCCAGGCTGGAGTGCTGTGGCATGATCTTGGCTCACTGTAAACTCTAACTCCCTAGTTCAAGCGATTCTCCTGCCTCAACCTCCCAAGTAGCTGGGATTACAGGCATGTGCCACTATGCCCAGATAATTTTTGTATTTTTAGTAGACACAGGGTTTCACCATGTTAGCCAGGATGGTCTTGATCTCCTGACTTCGTGATCCACCCGCTTCAGACTCCCAAAGTGCTGGGATTACAGGCGTGAGCCACTGCACCTGGCCACATCTTTTCATTTAAGTCTAGTGCTTCTTTAAGAATATGCTCAGCTAGTGGGGCTATATTGGTTATATAGTTTACTCAGTACAATAGATAACTCTGGTGATTAGGGTAGTATTCAAGTAGAAATATGGACTGTTATTTTGAGGTACTAATTTGTCTTCTGCTTCTGTAAGCCTGATTTTCTTTCTGTATATTTTTATCTTTAATATAGCAGTGACAGGTCTAATGTTGTTGTTGTTATTAGGTAATTACAGCTTGCTGATGCTTTGCAGAAATAAAGCCCATTGCATGATGGAGTAGAGATTGGTGTGGGATATTGGTGTCTCTCAAGTGTTTCAGAACTTAAGCCTATTAAATTGTTCCCATTTCTTATGAGGTTTAAGTTATTATCTCATGAAAGTTATATGCAATTGTTGCTGTTGTTAAGAAGTATTTCATTGACAGGTATTGTGAGTGTCTGAGTTCTGAAACAAAGGTAGAGAAAACGATTTGACTTACAATGTATCAAATGAACTGGGTTGACATAGAAATTCTTTAGCTCTGTCTTATCCACCTGATTTCTCTCTATCTCATTAAATTGCTGTGATAGACTTGCTTACTTTTAAAAGTCTTGTCTGAAAATACAAGCATTGCTCCCAGGTTCTCTCAGATAGAATCATTCTTTATAGTCAGGCTTAAGGGCCTTGGCTTTCATTGCTTCCTTCGTCCAAAATTCCAAGGCCAGTGTTTTGTCACATGACTGAAACAGCCTTCAGTTACAGGGGCTAGATGGCATGGCCATAACCAGACCACAGGGACTGAAAAGACAAAGGTATGTTATTTTATGTGCTCTAACTTGCTTGGTTGATTCTCTTATTCATTGCACACTGAGTGGCTTCTTTGCTTTGAACTTCAGGCTTCAGTGAATCAGAACAGAAAGTTAGATCTGACATAGAAAACATTGTGCAAATGACTTCCTAAAGGAAAATTACAACTGCAATTAACACAAGCCTTCCAAGGATTTCAACAATCCCTCTGGAAAGTTATGTCAAACAAAAAAGGTACTTCTAAATAAACCCATTCCAGGAACACTAGTGAGCAAAGTCTTTGAACTGGATGTCTCAGGAGTTGAATTTTCTCAGTAAAAGCCATCAGCAGTTCATAGAAAATTTTCATATAAAAGTTGAACATTACAATGATACTTTTCCCCATACATTTCATTGAATGATCAAAGATGCTTGTTACCTTTATCATATGATGACTCAGCTAAATATTTCTCAAGGTCTATGTGCTTAAAATGGATACAATTGAGGGAGTTGAAAAAAGTAGAAATAAAAACTATTCCCTTATAATCTAGTAGTAAAGCTGAAATAAGAACAATCAGAAAAACAAGGAACCAATTATAGTAGTGTAACAGTAAAAGCATGGAACTGGGATTCAAGACCTCTGGGTAGAGCTTCATGCTCTGCCAGTTTCTTGCTGAACAGCTTTGGTCAAACTACGTCATCTTTCTGAACCACAAGTTCCTCATACATAAAATTAGAGTGTTAGATTAACATTATGGGATTGGTTTCCTCATGCAACCATATTTCTTGAGGCACAGACAATAAAAAGTGAGGTCCAACATATTTTTGTTCCCACGTCATTTCTTACGTGGATTACCAATAGCATCCTATAACCTAGGAGCTTAGCTTCATCCAATTAGGTTATATTCTGACATTTCCCAAATGACACTATCAGGACAAGTAACAATCACTGTTGACAAGGCTGACACCATATCCTGAATCTTCTCCATTTCTGCCTTTATTATAGCCTGCTTCTTCCTCAGCTTCCTCCACAGCCAGAGGTGGTCACGTTACTTGTCTGATTACCAGACCTGCCACCAGAAGTTTAGTGGAGTTATCTGGGAAAGTTTTCTTTCCTTCTTGTACTTCCTTCTCCCCTTTCATTGCTGTTTTAAACACTCACATGATGCCTGAATCTGAGGCAACCATCTTGTTTTATATTGAGTCACTAAACCTACCAATGGTCACCTACATCCATACTTGCTGTTGTGTAAAAGAAACAACTCACCTGCTTTTATACCACTGTAAATTGGTTTTTATCTTACTTATATTTTAAACTATGTCTAACTGATATAGCATACTATGAAGTAATATCCATATAAAACTTTTCATTATCTGAGGGTAACTGGTACTTAAAAAAGGACACTTAAGGGGAAATCATATAAATCAGGGACATAATATCACAGTGAGTAGGGATAAAATGTTTAATTGGGATTTAACCTTGGCAAATGAAACTAAAAAAAATGGTGAAAATAATTAATAATTAACATTTAGGTTATAATTTAACTATAGGCAATGAGACCATTGTGATTTTAAAAACAGCATTATAGGAATATAATTAAACTATCACAAAATTTCTCCATTGTAAATGTACAATTAGATAATTTTTAGTAAGTTTATACTATTGTATAATTATATCCATAATTCTATTTTGGAACATTTCCATCATTCTAAAAAGAAAGTTCCTTCATGCATGTTTTCAGTGAGTCTCCACCCTTGCCTCAATTAGCTTTTTGTCTCTACGGATTGGCTTTTAAAATTTTTTTTAGAAATTGTATGTAAGTTGAATAATATGTAGTTTCTTATTTGTAGGTTCTTTCATTTAATGTAGAGTTTCTGAGATACATCTATGCTGTTGTTGCATGTATTAGAAATTTGATCTTTTACTGAAGAGTAATCCATTGTTTATATGTACTACATTTTGTTTATTCATTCATCACTACACAGGTATTTAGATTGTTTCTATTTTTGAGTTATAAAAAACACTGCTATAAACATTTGTGAACACGTCTTTGTGTAGACATGTTTCCATTTCTTTTGGGTAAATACCTAGGAGCAAATTTTCTGGGTTACATGGTTAGTGTATGTTTCAATTTCAGAAACTGCCAAACTGTTTTCTAAAGTGACTGTACCAGTTTGCATTTCTATTAGCAAAACATGTCTTCCAGTTTCTCCACATGCTCCCTAAGGCTTTTGACTGGCTGTCTTTTTGTTTTAGGCCATTTTTGTGAGTTTCTAGTTTTGTCTTGTGGTTTTAATTTTTATTTCTCTAATGTCTAATGATGAGAATTTTTTTATGTACTTATTGTCCATTTGTATGTAAATTTTGCCCATTTTAAAATTGCTTTTTTAAAATTTTTGAGTTTTAAGAGTTATTTATATGTTTATACAGGACAAAACATTTAATAGATACATAATTTGCAGATTTTTTTTTCCATTTTGTGGCTTGTCTCTTCATTTGCTTAATGGTATGTTTTTCAGAGGCTATGCTTTAAAACTTTTTTGATAATGTTCAATTACTCAATATTTTCTTTTATGAATTGTTCTTTTGGTGTCCTAACTAAAAAATATTTCTTTAAAGTAATTTCACAACAATTTCCTTCAATATTTTATTCTAAAATATTTATAGTTTTAGCTCTTTCACGTAGGTCTATTATCCATTTTGAATTAATTTTGAGTTTTGTATGAGATGAGGATTTAAGAGGAGTTTAAGTTCTTTTTTTTTTTGTTCAGATGTGGCTATCCAGTTGTCCCAGCAGTTTGTTGAAAAGAGAATTTTTCCCCATTGAATTTCCTTGGCACCTTTGTCAAAAATAAGTTGTCCATAAATATTAAGGATTTATTTCTGGACCCTCAATTCTGTTTTATTGATGTACATGTCTGTTCTTATGCCAGTGCTACCTGAAATAGACTGTGTGTCCTCCAGTTTTGTTATTTTTCATAATTGTTTTGGCTAACCTAGGTCTTTTGCATTTCCATATAAATTTGAGGACCAGCTTGTCAATTTCCACAAGAAAGCCTGATGAAGTTTTGATAGAGATTGAATTAAATTATAAAATCAATTTTGGGGAAAATTGTCATTGTGAAAATATTTGGTCTTCCAATATTCTAATACGGTATGTCTATCACTTTTTATGTCTTTAAAAATTACTCTCAGTAATGTTTTGTAGTTTTCAATGTACAGGTTTTACTCTTTATTTAACTTTTAAGTTCAGGGGTACATGTGCAGGTTTTTTACATAGATAAATGTGTGTCACGGGGGTTTGCTTTATAGATTATTTCATCACTCAGGTATTAAGCCTAGTATTCATTAGTTATTTTTTCTAATCCTTTCCCTCCTTCCACCCTCCACTGTCTAATAGGCCCCAGTGTGTGCTATTTTCCTCTATGTGTCCACATGGTCTCATCTTTAGCTTCCACTTACAAGTGAGAACATGCAGTATTTGGTTTTCTGTTCCTGAGTTAGTTGGCTAAGGATGATGGCCTCCAGCTGCTCCATCCATGTCCTTGCAAAGGAAATGTTCTCATTCTTTTTTATGCCTGCATCGTATTCCATGGCACATATGCACCACGTTTTCTTTATCCTGTCTATCATTGATGGGCATTTGGGTGGATTCCAAGTCTTTGCTATTGTGAATAGTGCTGCAATGAACATACATGTACATGTATCTTTATAACAGAATGATTTATATTCCTTTGGGTATATATCCAGTGATGAGATTGCTACGTTGAATGGTATTTCTGTCTTTAGGTATTTGAGGAATCGCCACACTGTCTTCCACAATGGTTGAACTAGTTTACACTCCAATTCTTTTTTGTTGGAAATTTTCCTAAGCACTTTATTCATTTGGATGTTATTTGAATATAATTTTCTTGATTGAACTTTTGGATGTTTCTTTTGGATTCCTAGGAATGTAATTACATATTACATTCCTAGGAATATAATATGTATTGATTTTGTATCTGGCTACTTCGATTTTGTTATGAACTCTACTAAGGGGTGTGTGTGTGTGTGTGTGTGTGTGTGTGTGTGTGAATTCTTTAGAATAGTCTACACGCAGGAGGATTATGTTATTTTACATACAGAAAATTTTAATTATTCCTTTTCAAAATATATGCCTACAATGCCTTTATGATCTGACCTGGGAAAACCTACCCCATTGTCTCCTCTGTCCATTATACTCATTAGTCATTACTTTCTGGTCACACTGACCTTTATTTCATAAGGTGTATCTACTCTCATTTCTCTCTTAGGGCATTTGTATATGCTATTCCTTTTTCCAGCAACACTCTTTACCCAAATATTTTGTAGCTGCCTCCTTTCATCACTTTCATCATTTATGTCTCAAAAATCATTACTTCAAAGTTAAGTTCCCCGGCCACTTTAAGAGAGTTTCACCACTAAAACCATTCTACATCATTCTGTAAACCATTTTATTTAGAGCATTTACAACCCCCAAATAATTTTATTTATCCTTTTACACATTTATTTTTGATCATATTTATTTTACGCAGAAAATAAATGTGTAAAAAGATAATAACCTTCAACCTGAATATAATTTCCTTTAAGACAGTGACCTCGTCTATCAATTCCACTGTTCAGTCCCAGGGCTTAGAGTAGTGCCTGAATCATATCGGATGTACTTCCCCACTCCCTTTTTACTATATGATTGACAGAAGAAGTAAAAAGAGAGAAAACATTAAAGCATACAGATGAAAACTTTTCAAGAGAGTGACGTGCATACTTTTGTTTAGTTGTTAACTGTGAAATTAACTGGAAATTATCACATGAATTAACAATTCTGAAGGGAGAAAATGGCGTCATATAAAGGCAACCTGACACATTTTGATTATGTGTTGGAGCTTAGAAATATGACAGGATATAATACCTTAGTGTGCTCATGCATGGTCATGGGGATTGTCTGTCACACCTTAGAGTTTTAAGGGAGGAATACACAGTTGCGTCTGTGCATCTGTGCAGATTCTTTTTGTGAATAAGTTTAGGAGTTAAGAGTGCAAGCTCTAGATCTGGAAGTTTCTGTAAAGCGCAGACCAGCTCATGACATGTGGGCCTGTGGCTTGACTTTTGTTCCTCTGACCTATACCCATCATTTTCTGGCTGCTCAGCCTGAAGCTTAAACAAAGTATCACTGTCCTGGGATGCAAGGCCGCAGGGCTAATGCTGCTGACACAGAGCCTCAGGGACTGCTCTAGCACACCATAGCATCCACTGTCGGGCCCACCAGATTATTTACTAGTTTCCTTGGTGTCATTGTCTTGACAAGTAACTCTGGGAATTCAGTGCATTTTTCCCCTTCAGCTAGATGCCGCCAGAATATTTGACTCTCTGGATGTGTCGGGCAGGCTCTGTAATTAAATGGCTCAGCATTTCTGTTTGTCAGGGTGATATAAAATAAGGGGAAAAAATGTTTGCTTTGTGAAGCTCTGCCATAAAACCTTCAGGAAGGATTATACATCATCAGGCCTTTGGCTCCCAGAGGAAAGTGCTCTGAAAGACAAAACATCTTTAGTGTCAATTTTCAACTAGGAGAAAATTGAATGAAATGAAGTTTGACATATGGAATGGTTTTCATAAGCTGTTTCAAATGTGAGTCACAAGAAAGGTCACTTTGAGGATGTGGCAGAAGATCAGCTGAGATGTTTCTAATAATTTGAATAGAGCCTAGAAGCTGACTTACTATTGTGTGCTCATGGGCCATGCCATGGACCACATTCAGTTAGGAGAGAACTGGACCCATTAATCATTTGTGACAGCAGAGTTTGAACTTGTGTCTTATGGTTGATTCTATAGAACAGGAGGCTGAAACTGGCTTGGAAAACATTCGGGTAGACTATATCTATCTTCATTTACCGAAGGGTATAACTTAAAAATAGCCCTTTCATTGAATACTTCCATCCTTGCATAATTAAAAAATTCTCCTACACCAGCAACTTTTCTATATATGGTTAATACCATAGAATAAAATACAATGACTGCAATTGCATTTTTAAGTCATATTAGAAATTCAGTCTGTTACAGTAATGATGATATGCTATGATGAAACATAGTTACTGCACAAAACCAGATTGTAAGAAAAGTGTATTTTTTTAGGAACTATTGCCATATATACATTTTGGGGGTATTAATAAATTCATATGATTAAGACACAATTTCATAAGGTGTCTATATTGGCTGTAGCCCCAGATTCATTTTGAAAAGGAATTAGGATTTCGCAAGCCTAGTGCCATGCATTTCTTTGCACAGTTGCAGATCAAACTAATATACCCTCTTCCTCTTTACCTCCTCCCCAATTCCTAACCACCGTTTTCCCCAAACACACACAATAATATGTGGATTAGTTTTCTGTTTTCTTGCAGTCCATGGAAAGTTCAATTAAAAGAGATGACAAAGTAGCATAATAGCTGTCATTCCCAACTCATGACCTCAGCAAAAGCAAGAAATGAGTGAGTTAATCTTCCCTTGGAGAGGTGTGGCTAGTAGCTGGAAAGGCAGACTTCCTTCCAGTAGGCTGGACATAAGAAAATAAAAGGAAGATTTTCATCTGATACTTATAAACATATTTTACTGTCCCCTCTCCTAAGGTCTGAGCCATTATAGTAAGCATAAAAGGAAGAACCTTCCTTTTTGGATTTTTAGAGGTCTTAAGGATAACTTGTTTTCCAGGTGAAAGAAGCCCACCACCACAGGCAGAAGTAAAAACATGCAAAGATACAGAAGTGGATTGGCTACTTATGAGAGCTCCCTGCATCGTATTTCTTGAGGCTGGGCTTTTCCTGTAGTATCTAGAGCAACTCTGTGAGAGCCTCTGTGGTTGTGTTTCAGGCTCTCCCATGGCCCAAATGCTAATCCTCAGTAGATTTAAAGCAGCAGGCCCTTTAGTATTAGTCATGCTGATCACTTTTAATTGAAAAAGAGAAAGCACTCATTTTGCACAGTGTGTCACAGGGTATATCCACTAATGGAGCTGCTAGCAGGGAAGCCAGAGCATTTTCTACATGTTTCTCCCCTAAGAGACCTGTCCTCCTTTGATGGAATCCACATTCTTAGAGGAATACACATAGAGTGGAGAGGAAGAAAATGAGTCACTGGCCTGCTAGCTAGAGCAATCAGATCATCCCTGATTGTCAATGTGCAGAAGGATGTCACAGCCCTATGGCACTCACTGCTGCCTCCCTTAAGGGAAATCAAGCTATTGGACAGTGGCTTTTATTGTGCTATACTAACAATATGTACCATTTTCTAAACAGGGAGACTAAAGTTTCTCCATATATGATCCCATTTCCTCCTCATGGTGGATCTTAGTCCTGGGCCTATATGGCTTGTGCCTACCTTCAATATTATCCAAAGAGTTTCCCTCACCATGCTCTGGCCAGGTTGATCTTTCTTGAAAAATGCCTCTAGCCCTCTTTTTCCATCTCTTTCCCTCTTTCCCCTCATGGTCTTGGTACTTCCAGTTCTCTTAGCATAGAAATTTTTCTGCATATTTATGCATAGCTGGTCCCTGCTTTTCTGTCCTTTGCTCACATAGCATCTTCTCAAAGGGCATTTCTGGACGACCTGATCTAAAATCGTCTCTTTCCTCACCATCACTCATGACCACCTATTCCTTTTATTTTCCTTTGTTTCACTTTTCATAGACTGAAATTGTCTAGTTTGTTTACTTATTGTCTGCCTTCCTTCTCAGAATGTAAGCTCTGTAAGGGGAGAGAGTTTATCTGTCTTCTACCTCACTAGTGTGGCCCTATTGTCACAACTTTGTCCTGCACATAGTGTTCATCTAACATTTGTGGCAAAACAAATCTGCAAACGGGTATAAGTATTATCAGTGAATAAAGTAGGAAATCGCATTTTATAGAAGCCAACTGACTTGCTTATTACCACTAAATGGCAGTGAAGGAATTTGAACTGAGGTTTAGCTAGACCAGATTCCAGGTGTACAGGCTGATTGCAGAGCTAAGATCCTCTTTTCTCTCAGAATTACCTTGCCATTTCTCCGAGAAATTTAATTCATTCATGTAGCCTATCTGCTGAAAAAAAATGGGATCAGCAGCCAATTATTTATCTAAACAATTTGTTTTAGAATTCTCAGAGCTCTATCTGAATGGTATTTTTCTCCAGTGACTTGGAATTTTAAAAAATAAATAAGAAATAAGCAAATAAATTTTAAAACATTCTTCTCTCCTGACTTTTGCTTTTGGGATTTGTAAAACCCATAATACTTCTGTTCTTTTTTTATTTTACTGTATTGATACATAATATTTTATATAACATGGGGTACATGTGATTCATAGAATGTACAATGATCAAGTCAGGGTATTTGGGGGTATCCATCACCTCAAGTATTTATTATTTATTTCTATGTGTTGGCAACATTTCAAGTCCTCTCTTCTAGCTGCTTTGAAATATACAATACACTGTTGCTAACAAGTCACCTGGTTGGCTATCAAACATGAGAACTCATTTCTCCTATCTAACTATAAGTTTATACCCATTTACCAACCTTGTTTTGTTTTGAATAACAGCTTTATTGAGATAGAATTCATATACCATAAAATTTATCATTTTAAAATCTTCAATTGAGTAGTTATTAGTATATTTACAGAGTTTTGCAACCATCACCAGTATTTAAAATTTTCATTACCCCTCAAAGAAACTCTGAACTCATTAGCAGTCTTTCCCCGTTTGCCTTTCTCTGCAGACCCTGGAATCCACCAATCTACCTTCTGACTCAATTCTGGACATGTAATATAAATGGAATCACGTTATATGGACCTTTTGTATCTAGCTTCTCTCCTGTAGTATATTTCCAAGCTTTATCCATATCAACATATTTCAGTATTTAATTCCTTTTATAAGATCAAATGATATTTTATATGCCACGTTTTGTTTAGCCATTCATCAATTAACACCCATTTTGATTGTTTCCACTTCTTGGCTGTCAGGATGTATGGTGCTGTTAACATTTGTATACAAGATTTTGCATGGACATATGTTTACAATTCTCTTGAGTGTATACCTAAAAGTGATTACCGGTCATATGGTAACTATATGTATTTACATAGCCAATCATTTAAGGAAATGCCAAGCAATTTTCTAAAGCAGCTACACCACTTTATATTTCCATTAACAATGTATGAGGGTTCCAATC
Organism: Homo sapiens; assembly: GCF_000001405.40. Taxonomy (NCBI): domain Eukaryota; kingdom Metazoa; phylum Chordata; class Mammalia; order Primates; family Hominidae; genus Homo; species Homo sapiens. Next base: position 110,380,358 of record NC_000005.10, read on the forward strand.
TCTCCACATCCTCACCAGTGTTTGTTATTGCCCGTTGTTTTGTTTATAGCCATCCTAGTGGGTATGAAGAGTTATTTCATAGTTTTGATTTGCATATCCCTAAAGACTAGCAATGCTGAGCATCTTTTTATGTGTTTGGCCATTTGTATATCTTCTTTAGAGAAATAATTATTCAGCTACTTTGCAAGATTTAAAATTGGTTACTTGTCCTTTTTAAGTTTTAAAACTTCTTTATATACTCTGAATACAAGTTCCTTAGCTATACAATTTGTAAGTATTTTCTCCCACTGTGTAGGTTATCTTTTTATTTCTCAAAGAAAGATAATTTTTCAAACAGTTTTAGGTTCACAGTAAAACTGAGCAGAAGATATAGATAATTCCCACATATATACTGTCTTCTTCCACCCTTGCATAGCCTCTCCTGTTATCAACATCCTTCACCAAAGTAGTACATCTTTTACAATTGATGAACCTCCATTAATATATTATAATCACCCAAAGCCCATAGTTTGCACTGGAGTTCACCCTTGGTGTTGTATATTCTACAGGTTTGGCCAAATGTATAATGATGTGTATCCACCGTTATAGTATCTTGTAGACTAATTTTACTACCCTAAGAATCCTCTGCTCTCTGCCTATTTATCCTTCCTTTCACACTAACTCCAGGAAACATTTCTTTGTTTACTGGTCCCATACTTTTGCCTTTTCCAATGGGTTTCTTTCACTTAGCAAGTAATACGCTAAGTTTTCTTTATGTCTTTTCTGGCTGATAGCTCGTTTCTTTTTAGTGCTTAATAATATTTCATTGTCTGGATGTACCAGTTTATTTATCCATCTGCCTATTGAAAGATATCTTGTTGTTTTCCAAGTTTTGGCTGTTATGAATAAACATCCATGTGCAGGTTTTTGTGTGGAGATGTTTTCAAATCATCTGGGTAAACACAAAGTGGTACAATTCATGGATTGTATGGAAAGAGCATGTTTAGTTTTGTAACAAACTGTCAAACTGTCTTCCCAAGTGGCTAGACCATTTTTCATTCCCACAAGCAATGAATGAGTTCAAATTGCTCCACATCCTTCCCTTGGTGTCAGTGTTCTGGATTTTGGCCATTCTAATAGGTGTGTAGTGGTATATCATTGTTGTTTTAATTAACATTTCTCTGATGACATATGATATGGAACATTTTTTCATGTTTATTTTCCATCTGTATATGTTATTTGGTGGGATTTCTCTTAAGGTAATTGGCCCATTTTTGAATTCGGTTGTTGGTTTTTTTTACTATTGAGTTTAATGAGTTCTTTTTATATATTTAATAATAGCCCTTTTCCAAATATGTCTTTTGTAAATATTTTCTCCCAGTCTGTGGTTTGTCTCCATTCTCTTGATAGTGTCACAGAGCAGAAGTTTTAAATTTTAACGAACTTCAGTTTATCACTTCCTTCTGTCATGGACTGGGCCTTCAGTGTTGCATCTAAAAATGTCACCATCAAACCCAAGGCCATCTAGATTTTCTCCTGTATTATCTTCTAGGAGTTTTTTAGTTTTCCATTTTAGATTTCACTGGTCCATTTTCAGTTAGTTTTTGGAAGGTTTGTGTCCAGATTCATTTTTTTTTTTTTTTTTTGCATGTGGATAGTCATTTGTTGAAATTACTAATTTTTTTCATAGTATTGCCTTTGTTCCTTTGTCAAATATCATCTGACTATATTTACTTGGGTCTATTTTTGGGCCCTCTATTTTGTTCCATTGATTTATTTGTCTATTTTTTTCACCAATACCGTATTGTTTTGATTACTGTAGCTTTATAGTAAATCTTAAAATATGGTAGTGTAAGTCCTCCAACTTTGTTCCTTTTTTCCCTTCAATATTGTTTAGCTTCTTCACATAAACTTTAGAATAAGTTTGTTAATATCCACAAAATAACTTTCTGAGATTTGGGTTGGAATTATTTTAAATCTATAGATCAAGTTGGGAAGAACTGACATCTTGACAATATTGAGTCGTTCCATTCATGAACATGGCATATCTCTCCAATTATTCAGTTCTTCTTTGATTTCTTTTAACAGAGTTTTGTAGTTTTTCTCATGTAGATCTTATATATATTTTATCTGATTTATGCCAAAGATTTATACCAAAGTATCACATTGTCTGGGTTGTATTTTCACTTTTTTTATTGTGTCCTAGGAAGTACAAAAGTTGATTGTTTCTTTTTTCTTAGTGAAGTCCATGTGTCTACATTTTTTTTTTTTTTTTTTTTTTTGTCGTTTGCACTTCTGGTACTGTATCTAATAAATTATTGCCTAATCCATTGTTAAAAAGTATGTACATCTATGTTTTCCTATAAGAGTTTTACAATTTTAGCTCTTACATTTAGTTCTATGATTCATTTTCAATTAGTATTTTTAATTAATACAATGAAGAAGTCCAATTTTCTTTTTTTATTTCTTTTTTTGGGGGCATGTAGATATCTAGTTGACTAAGCATCATTTGTTGACTATTTTTCTCCATTGAATTGTCTTAACACCCTTGTCAAGAATCATTTGACTGTAAAAGTAAGGGCTTCTTTTTCTTACATAACTGTTTCTTATCCTTTTATCTTCTCAAACTTTGTTGACTTTAGAGTAACAAGTTTGAGATCTGATATGGTTAGGCTTTGTGTCCCCACCCAAATCTCATCTTGAATTGTAATGCCAGATGTTGGTGGGGAGACCTGGTGGGAGGTGATTGGATCATGTGGGTGGTTTCCCTTATGCTATTCTTGTGATAGTGAGGGAGTTCTCACGAGATCTGATGGTTTTATAAATGGAAGCTTCCCCTGGCCTTTTCACTCTCTCTCCTACCTGCCATCATGTAAGATGTGCCTTTTCCCCTTCTGCCATTATTGTAAATTTTCTGAGGCTGCCCAAGCAATGTGGAACTATGAGTCAGTTAAACCCCTTTTCTTTATAAATTACCCAGTCTTGGGTATGCCTTTATAACAGTGTGAAAATTGACTAATACAAGATCCCTCTCCTGGGAATTTCAAACCACATTCTCTGTACAAAAAATACTTTATTACTAGTTTCTCAAGTTCTACCTTCAGTTGGATTCTCCCCAAAACAGACTCTAAGAACAGGGCCTAAGTCCAAGTTGCTTACTTATGAGGTGTAGAAAAGAACCATTGGTTGAAAGCAGGGAAAGGACACATGGAAGGAAAAGCAAACAATAAAAGGGTATTAGTAAGTCATCTACCAGAGTGGGCAACTGGAGATCAGTATTATGGGGAAACACTGAGAAAAGCCAAAACATATTTTTCCAAGTTATACTACTTAAGAGATGAGGAGGCCAGGCGCGGTGGTTCACACCTGAAATCTCAGCACTTTTGGAGGCCAAGACAGGTGGATCACCTGAGGTCAGGAGTTCAAGACAAGCCTGGCCAACATGGTGAAACCTCATCTCTACTAAAAATACAAAAATTAGCCAGGAGTGGTGGTGCACACCTGTAGTCCCGGCTACTTGGGAGGCTGAGGCAAGAGAATCGCTTGAACCTGGGCAGCAGAGGTTGCAGTGAGCTGAGATCACGCCACTGCACTCCAGCCTGGGTGACAGTGAGACTCCATCACCCCCTGCCAAAAAAAAAAAAAAGATGAGGAAAATGGGGGTACTTTATACAATTTCTGATCACCACTGATAGAGGCTTACTCCTGAGGATATTAATTCCCTTACATTTCCAGCCCACTGTGAACATGAGCAAAGTGGTTCTCTGCACTTCTTGAGGAAACTTTTAGGCCCAGGGATGCAGATATTGTCAGTTAGAAGAAGGTTGGAGCACACCAAAACGGTAGGGTGAGAGGGATATGAGAAAGGCATTGACAGTGTCTGTCCATGAATAAAAGAGGTTTTCTTTCCCACTGAATGCTTAAAACCCAGGCCCTCCCTAAACAAGCACAAACATCAATTTCTGGAGGCAGCCAGAAAGAATGGGAAGAAAGAAAATAATGTCAAGATATTACACTGTAGCAATATACCATTCTGAACTAATTGCTAGAGAAAATAAAGCTTATTTCAAATGCAATGCAGCAAGAGGATGAGATGCCTTTATATTTAAGGTCATTGTTTAGTCAGGATTCTTGGGTTGCAACTGAAAAAAAAAACTATATTTGCTTAAAGGAAACATAATTGTATTGTCTTATCTAATAGAAGTATGAAAAGAGTAGGGGGAAGCTGGCCTATGAGACATTTGGAACTAAGGCGTCAGATATAATTATAATTTTGTCTGGGCATTGTGATTGTGGCTTTTTAAAATCTTCAGCTCCTCTAAGCAGAAGGAACATGAATTTCTGCTACTTTTGGCTCACATCTTTTTAGCTACCCAATTAGAGAGAAATTAGGACTTTCTTGGCAACTACAATTTACAACAGTCCCAGGGAATAACCCAACTTGCCTACTTTGAAAACATATCCTGTCCTAACTATTCTGTCCATGCTACTTTGATGTGGTTCATGGTCCTATCTCTGTGGCCAGAGAGTAAAGCCTGTTACTGGAAGAAGAGAAGAAATAAGACTGGGCAGTTGAATCAACTGATAGGAAAAAAAATTGTTGATACCTGGAGGCAAAAGATCAAGGGCTACACAAAAACAAAGAAATAAACAAAGACACCTTTCTGTCCCCTGAGTCTTTTGTGCACGACTATTACATCTCAGGAACCTTAGCTTACCATGGGACACTATTTCAAGTACTTATAGAGAGATCCTTCTTCTACAACTCCGATCTTTCTGTCAAATCACAGCTCTAGCAAGGTTACATCATGCCATGGGACAGCTCATTTCTTTGATAGGATTGTAAGGGGGGAATTAAAAATCTTAACAACATGAACCAGTCTCATCTATTTTTACCCTTTTTAAACTCCTCAGATACTGGCTCATTTGAAAAGAAGTTACAAATTTCAATGATGCCTAGTTACCAAGAGCAATTCAGCTGTTTTAGAAGTCAGGGAGTGACATCAAATATCAAATAATCAGTCCTTGAGCAAACATTAGGATGAGAAAGCTAATAATGCTTGGGAAACTCTGGAGGGTTCCTTCATTGTTTCAAGATAATTATCTCTACTCATAAACCTCAGGAATCCACCATACTGCAACAAAATCTACCACCTTTTTTGAGGAAGGGGGAAGTATTATGACCTGAATGTTTGTGTCCCCCGAAAATTCATATGTTAAGACCTAATCCCCAATGTGACAGTATTAAAGGGTGTGTAAACTAAAAATAAAATTCTAAGGCATCCCCCAACCATCTGAATGGACCCCTCCTCTCAGTCAAGGGCATTTCAAAGTTAACCTACAAAATCTGTTCAGGCCGTAATGGAAGGGGGTGGGGCAGACATGCCTCATTACACCCGCTTCCCTTTTGGAATTTAGGAAAAGCCAACCAGCATTAACATCAACACAGATCTTAAGTCTGATAAGGAACATTTATAATCTATTGTCTCTGAAGCCTGCTACTTGGAGGTTTCATCTGCATGATAAAACCTAGGTCTCTACAACCCATATCATAACTCATACATTCCTTTCTATTGATAATAAGTTTTTCAACCAATTGCCAATAAGAAGATTTTTACATCTACCTGGAAGCCCCCTGCTTTGAGTTGTCTTGCCCTTTCACATCAAACCAATGTAAATCTTACATGGATTTAATTGATGGGTCATATCTCCCTAAAATGTATAACACTAGGCTGTGCTCTGACCACTTTGGGCACATGTTCTCAGGATCCCCTGAGGGCTGTGTCACAGGCCATTTGGTCACTCATATTTGGCTCAGGGTAAAATCTCTTCAAATATTTTAGAGCATTTGATTGTTTTTGTCAACTGGTGGGACCTTTAGAATGTGATTAGGTCATGAGGGCAGAGCCCTCACGTATGGTATTAGTGCCATTATAAAATAGACCCAGGGGAGCTTGTTTGCTGCTTCCTATGATTTTGTGAACTAGGAAGTGGGCTCGTGCCAGACGCTCAATCTGCTGGCAACTCAATCTTAGAGTTCCTAGTTTCCAGAACTGAGAAATAAATTTCTCTTGTTTATAAGCCTCCCAGTTTATGGTATTTTGTTAGAGCAGCCCAAATGGACTAAGGCTTTGCTTGTGAGGGAGAAATCTCAAGTAAGAAAAAATAAGAACGTCAAAACTACTTTTACCAGTGATGTGACAAACATAGCAAGTAGTTACATGCTAATTCAGGCTTTCACTTTTAATTAGGACTTGAGGAGGCCGAGTTCTGCTGTCTTCAGTCTTCATAAATGAGCACTCATGATCAAAGAGCTACCTCCTTTAAATAATTTAAATAAATATCCATTTTAATTAAAGTAGATATTCAATATTGGATATGAAAATAGTTTTTTAAAAAATCTTTAGATTTCATGGCTGCTGCTTAAATGAATAGGTCCCTGTATAGAAGAAAATGACATTTGGCATAGTCCCTGTTCAGGGCTAAGGATCAAGTGTGCACTCAGCCAGAAGCCTTCTGTGATCCCAGAATCTCCCTGGGAGAGAGCAGGTGGGAGGGAGTCCCTTCCAGTGTTGCCTGGTGGGTCACTCCACAGATCTTAATAGCTGCCAGAGGACAAACCAATCTGGTTCTGCTCTTCTGAAAAAGGGCTAGTGTTCTCCCTGACCTCAAATGAGAGTGCTTTGGAATGCAGCAAAGCATTTGATGAATCATTAGACAGACCTTCAAAATTGTGTGAAAAGGTCCCTGCTGAAAAGATGACATATTGAAACTATGCAGAGGCCTGGATGTGGCCCACCTATACCATAAGAAGCAATAAGCCTGCCCTACCCTGACTTTTAGGGTGACCAAAGAAGCCTATAAGAAAAGTTTGGCAAAGAACCACTGGGTGCAAGATTTCAGCTATTCTCCAAGTTTTCAGTAGTTACCTCTCACTTTGTACTTCATTATAGCACTCTTTCTCTCAGTTGTCTGGTACTTTCTGTTTTGCTCCCAGATCTCCAGGCCTGTAGGACACAGAAGCTGTAAACAGCAAATCCAATCACAATCACATTCAAAGGGAAGTTCAGAGAGAGAGAATTGTAAAGGAAAGATTAGATATCATAGAGAAAATTTTATTTAGTTATGTTTTCTGATTCCCATATGCCCATAGACTTCACTGTAGGCTTCTGAAAAAAATAAACTACGACTTTTTTTTCTTCTTTTTGAAAAATGTTTACAGATCCACCTTAAACTCACCAGTCAATGGTGATTTTATTTATCTAACATTCCATTGAAGTGGAAAGAATAGATTAAATATTATTCATTTTATGGATGGCTTCCATTAACCAATGAAAAATATTTATAAAAATCCATAAAAATCAATCCATGAAAATACCCTTCTAGATGTTTTTAAAAAAAATTGTACAGCATACTGTGGTCCTTTGAAGATTCTCATTGAGCTCTCATTCACTGGATTGGATTTGCCTGTTGTCCTTTTCACGTTCTTTGTCCAACTTCTCCTTGGCTCTATAGGTCAAACTCCTTTTCGCTGATTAATGTTTGGCTATCCATCACCAGCTTTACTCTTGGAAAATTCTCTGAGAAGGGCTTTAACATCTGTTTCCTTGTGAAGTGGCATCACTGTCTGGGGTAAATACCCAGGGCTCATCATCTAGTGCCAAGAGGATTGAAGACACGAACACATGTGTGTGAGTTAAGGAGCGGAAAGTTTAATCTGTAAAAGAAAGGAGAGAGGAGAGCAGCTCTCTCACGGGTGCACAAGAGAGGCGTCTGAAAAGGGAAATGTGGCAGACCGCAGCAGATTTTATTGGCAGGCTTCGGGAGGCTGTGTCTGATTTACATAGGGCCCACAGGTTGGTCCGACCAGTTGTGACATTTATAGAATGTACTGGGAAGGCTGGTCACCCGATCCTAAACTTATTATACAAGTGGGCTTTCCACTTGGCCAGCACCATCTTGTCTGTGCCTTACTGTGCACGCGGCTGGCAAAAAAGAGAAGATTGAGCCACCATTTTGAACATACCTAGTCCCAGGTAGTATATTCCTATCGGCACAACTGCTGGCATTCGCCTGTACAAGCTTCCAGTTTGCTTGTCTATGTCTGAGGCTCGATTTTACAGGCTGCTTTTTGTCAGAAAAGAAAATGATTTGGGGGTTGCTTTTTATTAAAAGGAAAACCTTACCAAGGACTTTCGTACCCTCACTATCTGCCTAAGTAATTTCTTTTTTAACTCCTATATCACTTGCTTCATGCACTATGCATATGGGCAAGAGTTGCTACATCTTTCAATCACATCTTCCCAATCCAGGAAGCTTCTTTATTTCCCTGCCTGGCCCTAATCCCATAGAAGGGGGATCTCATACAAAAGGGTTGAAGGCCATATAAATAGCAGTATTGTTCAAGGAAAATAAAAATACATAGAACCCAAGACTCTTAAGCAGTGATAGGTAAAGCAGTACATGCAGAATCGGGGTGGGGGCAGGCAGAGGCAGAAAACTACTGATGCAGGAAAGATGAGCAAGGTATTTTAAGGATGACAGTCATTTAGGCTGGGTACTTTCATGTGAGTTAGAGGATGGTGCAAGATTACTTGTGTTGGAGGAGAGAAAAATAGTGGAGATGAAAGAAGTTGTCTTGGGGCCGGGTGCAGTGGCTCATGCCTGTAATCCCAGCACTTTGGGAAGCCGAGGCAGGTGGATCATCTGAAGTTAGGAGTTCAAGACCGGCCTGGCCAACATGGTGAAACCCCGTCTCTACTAAAAGTGCAAAAATTAGCTGGTCAAGTTGGCACATGCCTGTTATCACTGCTACTTGGGAGGCTGAGGCAGGAAAATCTCTTGAACCTAGGAGGCGGAGGCTGCAGTGAGCCGAGATCGCACTACTGCACTTCAGCCTGGATGACAGAGTAAGATTCCATCTCAAACAAACAAACAAAACAAAACAAAAACAAAAAGGAAAGAAGTCTCTAAGCAGAGGCGTATTTACCATTGGAAACATTAAACAAAATTTTTAAGAAACCTAGGAGGCTGAGATATGAACAGATAGATTGGGGTTGCATACTTTTCCTAACACTGGCAAAAACCAAATTAATGCGTGGCTGAGCAAAGAACTCACACATTCATGGCCAGAGGATAAAGAATTTGAGAAAATTCTCTTTTGAAACAGATTCAAGACACTTGATAAACCTCGGTGAAAAATTTGTGTTGAAATCAAAGTAAAGTTGTTTGTTCTAACAATTGCATTGGATTCTGACATAAATCTCAGCTGACATAAAAATTCACCATCAATTGCACACAAACTTATTGCACGACCTTGCATTAGAATAAGCCTTTCAAAGGACTGAATATACTGTAAATTGAGCAAGATCAAGCTCTTTTCTAGATGCCAATATCAGACAGGTATGAAGATTACCATGTTTCCACTGGAGCTTGGGAAAACACAGACACTAGAAATAAATGGCCCATTGGCTGTCACTGCTCAGAGCTCAGATTCATTCGTTTCTTTGCTACGGTGAAATTCTTAATAAAATGTCAACAAACATGAAGAGCAAGAAGTCAGGTCTGCCTATATCATGTGCAGAATAAGAGTCCTCTGTGACGGCACTACTCTCTTCCCCCAAAACATTGACAATTCTGGTACATATGTGTGTCTGTCAGAGAACGGATCATCCTGTGAGAGAGAAGGACTGAATTCTGCAGAATTTTACCTCCTGACTTTGGGGTATACCAGGAAATAAAATGTGGCTATATCTTCTCTCACTACACCCATAACCAATTGAGCTTTTTATGTCTAAACCACCCTCTTTCCCTCACTTTCCTAGCTACTGCCCTCTCCCACATTCCATGAGTGTTATTTCTCTATCAAACATCAGAAGAGAAGAATGGGAATTATAAGGTTTGACTGATACAATCTCACTGCAGGAGTCGTACCTCACAGAAGAGAATGGTCAGATACTTGGCCAAAACAATTTTCTCTACTCCCTGCCAGTGAAAAGATTTGGAGGACAAGTCACAATCTGCCGCTTCTTACACAATATAAAGTGACCCTTTATCACCATCTCTGGAGATAGACCAACCTTGGCATGGTGTCGCAGTCCAGCCGAAAATCAGATCTTTTACATGGGAAAATCTGAGCTGAGTCCAACACATCAGAGGCTATTGATCTCTCTTGCATTCTCTTTACAACTTCAGCATGTCTTTTTATGGGCACTAAGGAAAATGACGAAGTAGATAGGATCGTATGATGGGTGATGAGGAGTGGCCAAGAGAGTAATTGAAATATTCTCTTGTGAGTGCCTTACCTGTAAGTCATAGAAAAGCCAAAATAAGAATCCATTGAATATCAGAACCTGCTTTTGTATAACATGAACAAACTTACCTACTCTGTTGGCCTCACAACTCTGAATTCCTTTTAAAATACATGGTTCTGATCATTTGATATTTTGGTAAAAATGGTACTTTGGTGATTATAGCGTGATAGCACAAAAAGCCACGTCCCTGACTAAAGCAGAGAACGTGTGCTGACAGTGCTCACCTTTGGGAAGATTCATCTATCATTTGCATGTTAACAAGTTTCAAAGAACTGGCACCATTTCCTCCCAGTTCCATTATAATACACACACTCTAGGCATTCATTGCCTCTGACCGGAGTTAGAACCAGTGGGGTTTCTTCAAGACACTGCTGTCACAATGATGCCACAGTGGTTTAGACCTTTTGTTTGTTTATTAGTTCGTATATGTGTAGCACTAGCTGCTTGCTTTATTTTATTCCCTCTGTTTGGCAATAAACTATCATGGCAGGGATGGCCTTTTTGCTGCATAGCTTGTAAGTATGTCCTGAGGCTAATAAGCATGGCATATCTAATGAATAAGATGAGATAACTCTGTCAAACACTGCTGGAGAAATGCTGGTACATGTCTATTAGCAAAGAAGTCTGAGGCTCCCGTTTGAATGTGTGTGTGTGTGTGTGTGTGTGTGTGTGTGTGTGAGAGAGAGAGAGAGAGAGAGAAACCTCTGTGGGACATATCCATATCCTGCATTCATTAATTCATTTATTCCCTCATGCAATAAATATTTATTGAGCCGATGTGTCAAGAACTGAGGATAAAATGAGCAAAAATGAGTGATTTTCCATATCCTTATAGAATTTATCATGTAACAGAAAATATTACTCAAATAATATAAAGGGAATAGGTAATATTAATTGGACAGGAAATATAGCATGCTGAAGTAAGATTGGATCATAGGTTAAGTAATAAGAATGAAGTTAGTTAAAGGATTTGGGATGGAAAGTTGTAGTTATGGACTAAAGCATATTTAAGAATATTGTACATATCGTATTTTCTTAATAAAAATAGAATCTATTGATTCAGTATAATTAGATTGTTTCATTCAGAGGAAGAACGTGTCTTGACCATAAAGATATTTAGAGATCAAGTCAAGATAAAAGTGTACAAATAGTACTCCACTTGTAAAAACAGAAGAATGAAAATTACTGAGCTGGACTATACAGCAGTTTGGACAGGGGTAGAGTAATAAATCAAATAGCGAGGTGCTTAGTGAATAGATAAGAAACATGCAGAGTCTGCAGGCTTACTGATAAACTGAGCTTGGTACATGACATTGTATCTCCTACATATGCATCATATGGCATATGCATTGTTACCCTAACTAGAGAAATGGAGAGCTCATATTTCTTTGTATGTTCTACTAGTTATTTCCACTCTTCTAGACTATTCTAATGGTATTGCTATTGCAGAAGTTTTATTACTTCTGATACTGAAAGGTAGCAGGGACCATTCTTTCCAGGTGGCATGATCAACTTGGGGTTGCTAACAATTTTGTCAATTTGGTGCCTTAATTGCTCTCCCAGTCTCCTGCCTCCCAAAAGAGCACAAGGAGGTATGGGAGGAAGGAGAAGAGTGAATAAATAGACCTGAGTCAAAACCTTGGTAAAAGGAGCCAATGAGCAAAAGGAACAAGGCAAGCCTAAGAAATCAAGCATCTTGGTAAACGGATAAAAATGATTTGGTAGAAGGAAAAAAATTGAGCTGGTGACTCCCTCCAATTTGGTAATATGCACTGATTTGTTAGTCAGTTCAGGCTGTTATGACAAAATATCATAGGCTGGCTGGTTTAAACAATGGAAATTTATTTCTCACAGTAATGGAGACTGAGAAGTCCAAGATCAAGGTGCCTGACAATTACATTCCTGTGTAAGGCTCTCTTACTGGCTGCAGATAGCTGCATTTTCACTGTGTCGTCACATGATGGAGAGAGAATGACCTCTGGACTCTCTTAATCTTCTTATAAGGATATTAATGACATCATGAGGGCCCTACTTCATGACCTCATATAAACCTATCTCCCAAAGGTTCCACCTCCAAATACCACCATATTGTGGGTTAGGGATTCAAAATATGAATTTCAAGGGACATGAACAGTCAGTCAGTAACAACAATTTAAACCTTTCAATGACCTAACATGGAGTCCCTTGGTCAGCATAACACTCTATTTGTATGTCTATATCTAGGAGAGATATTGCTTGTTGTCCCACAATATCTCATTTTCTTTCTGACAATAATAATGCAATACCTAATATTTAAAAGTGAGTCACTTAATGTTCATGAATTTGGTGATTTTCTAGATAGTTCTCTCTCATTGACTACTAATTTAATTCTGTTACTGTGTCAGAACACTGAATAATTTCAATTATTTTAAATTTATTGATGTTTGTCTTATAGTACAGAGTATAATATGTTGGGGGAATAGACATGTACACTTGTGTATTCTGCTGTAATTGAGTAGAATGTTCTAGAAATGTCAATTAGGTGAAGTTAGTTGATAGTATTGTTCAAGTCTTCCACATCTTTACAGATTTTCTGTCTACTTGTTCTATCAAATGCTGAGAGAAAAGTGTTGATGTATCCAACAATAATTTTAGATTTTTCTTTTAATTTTAGTTTGATCAGATTTTATGTATTTTGTAATTTTGCTGTTAGGTGCATAAACATTAAATTGTCCTTGAAGAATTGACCTCTTCATCATCATGTAATATACCTCTCTATCCTGCATAATATTCCTTTCTCTGCTGATATTAATATAGCTACTTTAGCTTTCTTTTGCTTAGTATTTGCATAGTATATCCTTTTTCATCTCTTTTATTTTTAGCCTATGTTTTTATAATTAAAATTGACTAACTATAGATAGCATATAATTGAAACTTGCCTTTTAATCCAATACAACTTTTTAAATCCATAACCTCAACCATTTATCCTTTCTTTGTCTTACATACAATCCAATTATACTCTTAGGTTATTTTAAAATGTAAAATAGGCTGGGTGCAGTGGCTGATGACTGTAATCCTAGCATTTTGAGAGGCCGTGGTGGGTGGATCACCTGAGGTCAGGAGTTTCTGAGCAGCCTCACCAACATGGTGAAACCCCATCTCTACTAAAAATACAAAAATTAGCCAGGCATGGTAGGCGGGCACCTGTAATCCCAGCTACTTGGGACACTGAGGCAGAAGAATCACTTGAACCCGGGAGGCAGAGGTTGCAGCGGGCCACAATCACGCCACTGCACTCCAGCCTAGGTGACAAGAGTGAAACTTCATCTCAAAAAAAAAAAAAAAAAAGGAAAATAAATTATTGTTGACTGTAGTCACCATGTGGTGCTATGAAATACTAGATCTTATTAATTATATTTAAATGTATTTTTGCACTCATTAACCATCTTTATTGCCACTTCCCTCCCCACCCAAAACCTTCCCAGCCTTTGGTAATCATCATTCTACTCTCTTTCTCCATAAGTTCAATTGTTTTAACTTCTAGCTTCCACAAATAAATGAGAACATGTGAAGTTTTGTGTCTTTCTGTGTTTGGCTTATTTCACTTAACATAATAACCTCCAATTGCATCTATGCAGTTGCAAATATCAAGATCTCATTCTTTTTATGTCTACATGGTACTCCATTGTGTATATGCACCAAGTTTCCTTTATGAAATCATCTGTTGTTGACCACTTAGGTTTCCTCCAAATCTTGGCTATTGTGAATAGTGCTGCAGTAAACATGAGAGTGCAGATTTCTTATCAATATACTGATTTCCTTTCCTTTGGTTATATACCTACCAATAGAATTCTGTTTTTAGTTTTTTGAGGAACTTCCAAGCTGTTCTCCATAGTGGTTGTACTAATTTCCATTCCCATCAACAGCTTTTGTAGACACTTACAGCTATAAACTTTACTGTTAGTACTGCCTTGACTGTATCCCATAGGTTTGCGTCTGTTGGGTCACAACTGTTTGTTTCAAGAAAATTTTTTCATTTCCTATTTTATCTCTTCGTTGACCCACTGGTCATTCAGGAGCATATTGTTTAATTTCCATGTGTTTGTATAATTTCCAAATCATCTAGTGTTACCTTCTATTCATCATGTGTGCTGGTTTGCTAGAGGGCTTTTTCTGAAAGAGGAAGTGTCTGTTCCACCCTCAATTTTGGGCCTTCCCAAAAGGCCCTCTATGCCTCCAATAGGGTCTCTCTGCATGCTCTTGCTCCCCTTCAAGCAGTAGTCCACTGTCACTCAAAGCTTTCAGAATGGTGAGGGAAGAAGTGTGGGGGTAGTTTGGGGCATTCTCTGTTGTTTTGCTTAAGTCTCAGTGTTCACCTGGCATTGTTTTTCTGAGTCTTGTGGGTTAGGTAATTCTAAGTGATCTTGTCTCACTCCTAACTGTAGGTCTGAGACCAACAAGTTTTTCTATTCCTCCCTCAGGGGCATAGAGATTTATTGTTGCTGTTCCCCTCCCATTGCATTTTCATTAATGCACTAAGAGCATCAGATTTTGTTGCTCTCTTTCTAGAAGTTTAAGGCCTTTGTTTTATAGAAGAGACAGGGGAGAGTAATCTGTGCTTTCTCCTCAGTGGCCCCACTGCCCCAGGCCTGCATCAGCAGGGACACATTTTTCAGGATTTTTACTGATCTTCTGTGTGAACAGAAAAGTCTGTGATGAGTGAATTCTTCTGTCTTTGTGCCTTTCAGGGGTTCTATATTCTCCTTTCAGCCCACAGTTGACCTTTAGCAAGTAATTTAAAAATTAAGCTCGATTCTTCTTACCTGTGATAAATAGTGTCTATCCCAGTTAAGCAAGGTCTCATGTCTCGACTCTTATTTGATGTGCCTGACTTTCCTTAGATTTCATGTTAGTTGGTACTCATCAGTTCTCTGCTGGGTCCAAGAAAACTTACAAATTTTCAGATTGTTTGGTGTTTTTGCTGATGCTGCTGTTGTAGTTGTTACTGAAAGTATGGGAGTGATACTCTTTATAGCATTCTACATCCTGAGCGGAAACTGAAAATCCCAGAATATATAATATTTAGCTGGGCATGTGACAAGTTGAAATCAAGAATCCATTTTCTGGCCTCTCTTATGACTAGATCTGGCCAATTATACGTACATGGGAGTTGTCTGTGCAACTTCCGCAAATGTCTTTAAAGGGAGGGAGCACACTTTTCTCTTTCCCTTTCATTGTCCTGCTGACTCAAATTTAGGTGAGAGATCTCGAACTGATGCAACTATCTTACACTATGAAGTAAATTTGGGAAAAGAGGCCACATCTGATAATATAAGATAGAAGGAGCCTCATACAAGCACTGTGTATTAGTCCATTTTCATAGTGCTATAAAGAATACCTGAGACTGGGTAATTTATAAAGAAAAAAGGTTTAACTGACTCCCAGTTCTGCATGGCTGGGGAGGCCTCAGAAAACTTACAATTGTGGCAGAAGGCAAAGGGGAAGCAAGGGCACATCTTATATGGTGGCAGGAGAGAGAGAGAATGCAGGGGAAACTACTGCTTTTAAACCATCAGATCATGTGAGAACTCCCTCACTATTTTGAGAACAGCATGGGGCAAACCACCCTAATCACCCAATCACCTCCCATCAGGTTCCTACCTGGACATGTGGGGATTACAATTCAACATGAGATTTGGGTGGGGACACAAAACCAAACCATATCACACTGGTTTACCTATATAGATATTCACCTGGGAGGAAAAAAAAGTTATAATTTGTTTAATTTACTGTCATACTGAATATTCTCTTTAGTTGCTGCAGTAAATCCTAACTGTAAACTGTATACACATTTATACAGTGATGAAGACATGGCATAGAGATGTGAGGTATGTTTTGGGGCATCAAGCTTCTGGTTAGCATTGCTTGTGCAGTAGGCTTTCTCCCTCCTTTACCCACCTTCAGCACCCAGCACCTATCTGAGGAGCTCACAAATCAGTGATATGTGATAAATATTCAATAATAAAAAATGCAGCCATATCATCTGACTGATTTCTCCAGGCTACAAATTTGCAGTGCTGTTTTGTTACATTCTTTTATATAGTGATGATTTCTAAGTACCTCCTTACTTACATTATTTAATCCCACATTGAGTCTTTAGCCAGAGTTACATAGTTAACAGAATGAATTATTTTTCTTTCTTTTTTGGTTTTTGCCTTGCTAGGGATGTAAGGAGAACTAGAAAGACAAAATCATGTCCATAGGAGAGAGGAAGATGAGAAGCAAAGAGCTGAAAAACTCGTAACTCGAAAAAGTGGCCTCTGATAACTAGGAAGAGGCTATAGGTTATCTACTCAGACAACTCTTTATCTCTGATTCTGGCTGAAAGTCAGGTCATGAGAGTATTCTTGGAAGAAATATTTCCTTTCCTTTCTCAGAAAGACACTATCTTCCCGTTATTTATATCCCATGCTGAAGAGGAAAACATTAAGACGGTTCTACAATCTGTCACTGGACCTTGGAGCAAATGCTTAAACCTCCTATGAAGTAGCCAAATATGGCCTTAAAGCACCTGAGTCAACTTGATTAAACTCTTAGTTCCTCAAGACTAGATATATGCCATCTGTTTAAAATTTAAATGTTATACCATGAAAAACATGTATAACATACTTCTTATACCTATGGTAGCTATTACTGCAAAAATACCCCAAACTAATAACTAGAGGGATTTAATAGAGAATGAAGGAAACTGTATAAGAAATATCATCTCCCTATGTAGGGAGCAAAGAGAAAGCATGTTTCTTTTCTTTGTGTATTATTAGAACTTGTATGCCCTCCTCAGTATATTAGCGCTAATAGTGCTGAAGTCTATGAAAGATAATTGCCTTGAGTCATTCTCTAGCCATGGAGAAGGTAAGATTAATAAAGAACACTTGTTATAATTTTGCAACCAATTTATGTAATGGAACTCATAATAAATAACCACATTTAACACAATAATTCATCAAAGCCAATTTATACATCAATTTGTTCACTATGTGTTAAACCACCCATTTATAAGAATAAGTTGGTTTCTTTCTGTGTCCTCTGTTCTTTCTGTTAAAGTAAAAATTATTGTTAGATATGGTAATTTTTTGGCTCTTACAGAGGCAGCATTGATGTGATATATGTTGTCTTCTCAGCTGCTGTAACATGATGTATAATTTTGCACAGCATGTTGCTTCTGTCTGGAGTAAGAGGAAATTATTGTTTTAAAAATATAAAACCATTATTGATAGTCTGTTCTTCTCTCAATAACTTGTCACTCTAGGTGAATACAATTCACCATAGGAGAGGCTGTAGAATTCCATGGACTGTCAACTCTTAATTATTTCCAGAAAAGGGGACACAGAGAACTCAGTAAATTAAAATTCACAAACTATCTCCAAGCATCTTATTAACTCAGTTTTCAAATTACCCTATTACCAACCTTTAGTCAATATCATCATCTCTCCCTTTTTATCTACCCACTATTGCAAGGACATGACAGTTCTCACCTGTGTATATCCTAGAAAATTCTGCATTATACAATAATTTACAAATCTGTGGAGAACGAAAAATGGGTCCACAATCTTATACTGATGGGAAAAATTTGAAGTCAGAATTGTCACTAATGTGTATAACAAACCTCTACAAAAGAAAAACCAAGGTATTAAATGGTTGGTAGTTTTCATTTGGGTAGACTGAATAAAGGACAATGGCTCCTAATCTTGAGTCAAAGACTCCGTGAGGTCTATTTAAGTATCGCGTGCAGGTTCTGTAGATGCCCAAAAGTGCTCCAGGTTTGAGGATAGGAGCAGAGGCTATGGTTGGTGCCACAGAACCACAGTCTCTATCACTTCTTGCCATGGACAGATCTGCATAGGCCACCCCTTAACCCATCAGCCCTGATGCCACATGCTAGTTATCTTGGTTTACTTTGATTATGTGCTATATGCTCAATGAGATTGTAAAGGGTATAAGAAGATGCAATAGTCTCAGAACATGTCCAGATGCTGAAGAGGTAACATCTCTCTAGCCACATGGCTGCATTAAATCAAGAGATTAAAATTACTTTTTAATTTCTCCTCAGATTTCTTAATACAAAATTTTTTTTTCATTCCATAGAATTTCTCCAGTAAACATTAGCTGTAATTACTAGTGGTGTTGTTTGATAATATAGCAAGAATATAAGCTATCTACTTTGTTAAACAAAAACAAATAAATAAGATAGGGGGCAAGATGGTTCTGGTGTTGGCAGCTGTTATAGTAGTTTCCAGTGTGGCAGAAGTAGCAGCATCTTTGGGGCCCATTACCCATTGTGGACATCTGGGGGTATTTCTGGAGGCTCAGGCTAGAATCTGTTTTTTCAGCCCTCCAAATATTCTGTGAGCCACTTATGTACTTTTAATTAATCCCTTTCTGCGCAAAGTAGCAGGTTCTCTGGTCTGCCACGAAGAACCCTGAATGACACACCATCTAAACTAGAAAAAAAAAAGCTTACACAGCACAAAGAAAGAGAGGACAACTATAAGAAGTAAACTTTTTTTGACAGTTGGTTTTCTTCTGAGCATAGCCATTAATCCTGCTGTCAGGAGGAATAAAGATACTTCCTGAGTAAGGTGTAAGGAGTTGAGCTGGATTCTTGTAACACTGAGCAGTGGTGGCATGCAAATGTGCATGAGCCTTCAGAGCTCTCCTCCTATTTGTTAACTCTCCTCCGAAGTTTTTTGAAATCTGTGGTGAAATAGCTCTTTTTTTAAACAAAAACTTTTAACCCAGAGAAAATATGCTTAATCCCTTTGGGAGACAATGAGGGCATCAAATATCTGAGATATTTTTATTGATTGATTTCTTTTTTTAAAAGGCCTTCCTCTCACAATAACTGCTTTATCCTTCTTCTAAAATCAGTCTACACTCCTTACTACACCTCTGAAAACCATCTCCAAATCATCATGTGTCTGTCACCCCTTACCCTTGTCCTGGGATTCTCCCCAGCCAGTGCTCTTTTTTTCAGGTTATTGATGTGGGAAGATAGGTTCTGAAGCTTTTAAGCTCTTCTTGATTTCCATCAGCTTCGAAATGACTTCACATCAACACACAGTAAACAGAAGTTCCTTTATGCAAGTTTAGATCCAAGACAAATTCCCTGGTTGCCCTTCCTTACCAGATTGCCACCTCAGGATCTTCTTTTCTAGATATTCTAAAGCCACTACTGAATTATTATCGTAGTCTCCCCAAAGTCTTCATATTTCATGGTGCTGATGTTTGACAGGACACCTTCACCAGCCTGCTTCTGTTAAGAGACCACTATGAGGGGTCCATTGCGGGGTGGAGATGGAAGCACACACAGAAAGCACTCCTTGCTCTTAAGTTCCTGGCATGTACATGCTTTTACAGTGGAAATCTCATGACACGGCCTATGGCCTGCTTTCCTTAGCCTTGTGCTACCATAAATGTTTAAACAGTAACTACTATATTTAGAATAATTCCCCTCTTATAGGTCAGGTCTTACTCATTCTGCCTTAGGTTGGTATAGCTAAGTGAAAAATGCACAATTTAGAATCTAGCAGAACTAAAATTCTGACTGTTCCACCTGTAAAACGTGCGATATTGAGCCAATGATTTAAATTCTTCATATGACAGTTTTCTCAAATGTAAAAGAAGTGACGTGTCATGATTTCACTGATATTTTGATGTGAGAAATACAATTTAAATAACATAATGAAGAAAATGCCTGCCACATTACAATTATTTGCTCAAATAATGAATCTAATTTTTCTTTATTAATAAGAAATCAGACTTACTCTCATAGAGATGTCATATTTCACCCCAATAATAGAAGCTTGAGAAAATAAGATCAATCCAGATTAAAAAAATATAAGACATACATCAGATGTCATATGTGTATTACACTGCTTCAGTGTCTCAGTGGGCAGGGAAAGTCAAGTTTATAAATGCCTTTATTTCCAGAATCCAAATTAATTACGTTCATTGTAAATGCAGATATGTAGAATACCTGGGGTACAAGAAAGTGATCATGTAGAATTAATAAAATATAAAAACAGTGTAGTGGCATTTATGGGAACAATGATTTTCAAGAATAAACAGCTTCTACTTAGACACACTAAAAACTAAGTGGTATTATTTTGGGGCGGGGGAACATCCCTGGTTATCATACTGGTTGATTTCTTGCTGTATCCTTTTGTTCTTTCATTGATTTTAATCTAGCTCCTAGGTAAAATTGTTTTTTTCTTCTCTATAATCATTAGGATATAGATATGTATTTTGTCATTTCACCTTTGTATTTTGTCATTTCACCTTCCACTTCCAATCCTTTTCCTAAAAGCAATGTATATCAAAACAACTTTCTGCCTTAGTATCTTTGTACCTTGCATCACAGCAGAAAAATATCCAATGTCTTTTGTTGCTGTTGGGTGTAAATGAGGCTGATGTATTTTGGAAACTACCTGTCCAAAGCCACGGTAGTTTGACTAATGGATCTGAACAGTAATGTCAATCTTATTCTCTTCTAAGTTTGAAGATGCTTAGTGGCAAAGAGCGGTTCATTTTTTTTAAGGTAATGCATATAGTAAAACACAATAGCATAAAGGCAACTTGACACAGACACAACATTCTTTTTTTTTTTGGAGCACTTAAGATCTGAAATGAGTAAGTTGCACAAATTTCAAGTGTCAATAATGGATTTTCTTTAGTCCGTTTCTACATATAAGAGGTGACTGGAACAACATATCAAGCCAGGTACGACATGCCTCTCTGGCCAAGCAAAGTGTATCGACATACCCTCCTGAGCTACTGGCAACACAAGAGTTTTCCTTCTCTAACTTATCTTCCATCACTTGCTGGGTCCTGCAGGATCCCATTAGGCCACCCCTGGGAATTTATTTTATGCTGTGGTAGCTTGTTCTGGCTTAAGAGTTTGATTTTTTAAATAAATTTTCCTTTGCTGAAGTGGTGTGCTTAATAAGTGTTTGCCATGCCTCAAATCCATATCAAATATCACAGCCCAGCTTCTCATGTAGGTCAAGAGCAGAATGTATATTTTTTTTCCTGGGCTCACCCAATATACTTTTAATTGAATTAACTGCCAATATGTAATAAATAGATTATTATACATTTAATAAAAACATTAATATTTCTGACTACTTTAGAAAACATCAGAAGATATAGGCAATACTGAGCCAGCCGTCTGACAAGCGGTGATTGTCCAGAGCTGAGGAGTGTTGCCTCATTTAAAGGGCATATATTCTTCAGCTCTGAGTCCTCATGATTTCTATTGTTTCTTTGAGAACAATGGCGAGTTTCAGTTGTTACCTGTCATTGCACTGGCACTGGTGTTTTCCTTAGTGGAGCAATATGTCTTTGGCACATGTCTCTATCAGAGGTGGAAACCGAAAGGAGAAACCAAAGAGGCTGAAGAAGAAAAATCAGCTAGATTATAATTCTTAATGAAAGTGAGAAGTATCCCAGATGACTCATCCGTTTGCATCATTGCTCATTTCCTACAGATATTTCAGTTTGCAATCCCCGTTCTAAACCCATCTGGATTTAGGGACACTAGAATTGCACTGCCTTACTGATCCATCATTTTTTCTGCAAAGAAGATTGCTGTTGTTGCTTAAGATTGTTTCCTGAATAAATCTTTTACATCTTGCTGCAGTCTTACAAAGTATTGACTTATAGAAATGGCTCTTTCAGGACTTCAATCAAAATATTAAAATAAATGTGTATATTATTAGAAACACAGAAGCATATTATGGAATGGCTAACTACTCATAAAAATCATCTACCATCTGACTAACTTGGAACATTTCTATTAGTTGAATTTCTTTGATTGCAAACAATACAAACAGACCCTGGGTAATTTAACCAAAAGAGAATTTATCAGAAGACTAGGGGATGGCACCACAATCAGTGACAGGACTTGGGAGAACCAGTCTCAGCACGATGGGAACAAGTACAGCTTAGGGAAATTGGATTGCAAAGTAGAGTGACAGTTCTAACAACATGCTGCTGATGACAAGCAACATCTCCAAAAGGTTTTTGTTTTCTTATTCTTTCATCCATTGACTCAAGACTCAAAGTCCAGATGTCCAGATAGCCTACAATGAATGACACTTGTCCCTAGGGGAGGTCAGTGTACCTTGATTGACAGCTTCACAAAGACTACAAAAAGTGGTGGAGAGGTAATTCTTTAAAAGAAAATCCAGATCCCTATGACCAGAAGGAAAAGGAGAAGGTTGCCAAAGAGACAGCAAATGACCACTACAGAAGCTGTTCACTATAATCTAATGTCTTTAATTTCTACAGTGTTTTGCAGAAAACAAAAAGACAAAAATAAGACAACAAGAAATAAGAAACAAAAAGAAAAAGAAAAGAAGACAACTCACTTTGTACCTTTGACACATTCTCTACAGATTGCCTTTCATGGATATAGGGCCATTTGCAGTCAGCTACATTCCCTACAAAAAGGTTCAAGGCCCTAATATGAATAGGTAAGTCTCAGTCTTGGTATTTCAATTCCAGAGAAAATTTTTTAGTAACAAAACACTTAGACTGTGAGCAGAATTGGGAAGCCTACCTAAACTACTATAGGGCAAAGAAATAGATCAAAGTGTTAAAATATATTTGAGCAATACCCCCAATGTGAATGGCTCTATTTACCATCACTCTCAGCTAGATAAAACCTTCTAATCCATTGTGGTGCCTCAGGATAGAACATTCATTTCCCCTTTAGAGTTTGCTGGGATATCTAAGGACGTCCCATATTCTTATTTTGATCTGTGCAGCTTCGGCTATCCATAGATTGTCAGAACTAAAATGATTGTTTGTCAGAGAGTTGCCAGGGACCATTCATAGCTCAGAAGATTTTAAAATTATATCAGAAGATATCTAAAGCTTGTGATGCTGCAGACCTGCTGCAAAGATTTGTTAGAAGCAGGGGAATTCTTTATGCTGGAGGGAAGAATTACAATAGAAACACATAGGGATTTGGGCTGATTAAGTCAAAATCTAGTTGAGTTTCATATATATTATGATCTCCTATTTGTTAATATCATCCAAAAACCTTTGAAAATCAGTAAGCCAGAAATATTCAGTATGCAGCTTGGGCCCATCAGGGAGAGTTGAAGAGACCTGTAAATTGATTTTCAGTTGTGTGTGGGGTGGGGTGGGGAGCAATGTGAGGAGTGAAGGTGTGGAAATGAAGAAATGTGCTGAGCAGCATTGGTTATAACTTTAAGCAAATTCTTCATGCTAGGAGATAAGAGAGGCAAAGAAGAATTAGTTATAAGATCAAAATGGTGATGTGGGTGCGGGGTAGGACTTTTCAATGAATTTTCCTTCTTAACTTGCCCCTTTACCACAGTCTTACCTTTCTCTCTTCACTCCTCTTTAATACCAAACTTGCCACAGGATGCCTGCACCCTCTTCCCATCTCGCCATTTTTATTTCAAAATGAAATATGGCCAATTTGATGTATAAATTTAATTTTGACATTGAAATTTTCTAGAGGCTTAACTTATAATGTCAAATATAAATATACTTCAAAATTGTTTTTTCTTTCTCTAATGTCCATCCAAATTTCTTGCCTCCAACATAGTCTCATCCTTGCTTTCTGAGCCTACTGTGTTGTTAGGACATTTTATCCTCATCTCTATTTCTGTTTCCTGTGTAAAGAGAAAGGAGTAGAAGGTGGCAAGGAAAAAGTAAAAGATAACGGAGAAAAAAACTATTTTATTCAGATCCCATGTAATATTTATCTTATGTCTATCTTGCTGTCTCCTTGGTTTTAAAAACTCTACTCTGAAAAAAGTGTTTTAGTTTATTCAGGGCAGATCTAGATATGTGAGCCCTAAAGATTAGGCAAATTGGGGGAACTTTTATGGAAAAGAATATAAAACCATGAATAGAAATTTAATGATGAATATTTATCTGGCTTCCACTTCCAGTTTATATGAAGAAGAGCTAAAAAATCTTTTCAAATCATGGTAAAAACAACAAAATTGACAAAATGGATAAGTAAACCTTATTTTCTAAGGGGCGAAAAAGGAATTGTAGATATAATAAAGCCTTGATGAACTGAATTCCAAAGAAAAACAAGTGCTTCCTAGTTAGAGTACCATGGCAACTTCTCTACCTAGGGAACAGCTCCTGGTCTGGATACGAGTGGGTGGAGGTGTAGGCCTGATGTTGATGAAGAGACTCGGCAGGGTTAAAAAGAAAACAGATAAGCTTTAGATGACACAGTGATGGCAGGAGATATTTGAATCTGGAAGATTCCAAGCAAAAAACAAATTTTTCAGCCAATAAGTTTCTCTGTCTGAATATTATCAAGAATTCAGCCATGAAAGAGAAGCTGATAAACAGAAAGAAATAACATATTTTTGTGTTGCTTCTATTTTGAAGCCCTGACCAAATTGAATCCAAAGGTGAACTAAAAATATTTTAAATTGCATCTCAACTTTCTCTCATTTGGAATATAAAGCAAGATAAAAAAGAGACTAGTGATACTGAAAAAATGAAGCAGGCTGATCACAGGTAAAGTCAATGCTGTGATGTAGCACAGGCTCAATTTGATTATAAAGATTCTGAATGCCAGTACCTTCCCTTAACTTTCAAACAGGGGCAGTGGCTTGCATTCACTGTCAAAGAACCAAAACAAATTAAATTTTTATAGTATTATTTTATACACCATATTCATAATACAATAAAAGATTAGAAGATATGTGATGAAGCAGGAAAACATGTCCCATCACCAAGAAAAAAAGTCAATATAAATTGAGCTAGAAATTTCCGGGTATTAGATTAGGCAGGTCCAGAATTAAACATAACTGTGAAAAATATATTAAGTAATTTATAGGAAAAAATGGATAAAGAGATGAACTATTGTGGGAGAGAATTGGAAGTTGTAAAATAAAAAAAATTGATTAAAATTCTAAAAGTTAAAATTATAATATTTGAAAATAAAAATTTGTTGAATGGGTCTTCAAGTAAATTGTAAAAGAAAGATTCAATGAACTCAAAGATGGATCAATATAAAACATCAAACTGAAGGACACAGTTTAAAAAAAAAAAAAAGGAAAAAGTAAACAGGCCATCTGTAACTTCCTGGAATTATCAAGAAGTTTAGCACGCTTGTATTTGGAGTTCAATAAAGAAAAAAGAGAAAGAAAAAATAGAACATATTTTAAACATGACAACCAAAATTTATATTTTACAAATTTTATAAAAAATTATCAATACATTGATCCAAAAGCTTAACAAACTACAAGTAGAAAGAAGAAAAACACACATAGGCATGTTATAGTCAACTGCTGGAAACCAAAAAGAAAGAGAAAATCTTAAAAACAGACAGGGGAAAACAGAAACATTATATACAAAGAAACAGCTACAGGAATTATGACTGACTTCTCATCAGAACACTGCAAACCAGTAGACAGCTGAATGGCTGATTCATCTAAATATTGGTAAAGATATGGACTGAATAGAACTCTCATACATATCTGAGGTAGCTATAAAATGATATGCCAATTATGGAAAACATTTGAATTTTTCTTATATAATTCAACTTTCATCTACCTATGACACAGATATATATACACACACACACACACACACACACACACACACACACACACATATGTGTCTATATATAATATTTTCTGTATCTATTCATGTGTTAATGGACATTTAGGTTGATTCTGTATCTTTGCTATTGTGAATAGTGCTGCAATAAAGATTAGAGTCCAGATATACCTTTAATATATGGATTTCTCTTCCTTTGAATAAATATCCAATTACTGATTCATATGGTAGTGCTCAAATTAAAAAAAACTGCAACCTCAGAACATCATAGCCAGCAAAACTGTTATTCAAATATGATGGATAAAGTCCTTCACAGACAAACAGAAGCTGAGAGAATTCAGCACCACCAGACTCATCTTGCAAGAAATGCTAAAGGGAGTACGTTTCAAGGTATGAACCCACTGGTAAAATTAAGTACATGAGCAAACCCAAAATACCCTATTACTATATTTATGGTGTATAATCCACCCATAACTCTGGTATTAAGCACAAAAGACAAAATATATTAAAAATATCATAGTTACAGCAACCTGTTAAGAGGTAATTTTAAGAATGTAAATTGAGAAAACTGAAAATCAAAATGTAGTGGAAATGAGGTTAGATTGTAGATTTTTTGCCTTTGCTTATTTCTATTCTTTGGTGTTCTAAGATAAGTTGCCATCTCTTTAAAATAACTTGTTATGTCTTTAAAATGTTTTTTGTAAGCCCCATCGCAACCACAATGCAAAAATCTGAAATAGATTCACTAAAAATAACAGTAACAATTTAAAACATACTATCAGAGATAATAACTACAAAGGAAGACAATAAGAAAGGGAAGAAGAGGAAAGTCTCAAAACCATCAGAAAACCAGCAATAAAATGATAGTAGTTACTTATTACTTATCAATATAACACATATTGGTATAAGTAATAAGTATATACCTTATATAACTCCTTAATTATCAATAATAACACTGAATGTAAATGTGTCAATTCTCCATTGAAAAAGCAAAGAATAGCTGAATGGATAAAGAAACAAGACCTAACTACATGTTGCCTCAAGAAACCCACATATGTAGACTAAATGTGAAGGATCAGAAAAAGATATTCCCTGCAAATGGAAACCATAAAAGAGAGGAGTAACTAGATTCATATCATATATATAAACAGATTACAAATCTATGATTATAAAGAGACAAATTTACTATATATTGATAAAGGGGTCAATTTAGCAAGAGAATATCATAATTATATAAATATTTATGCACTCAACACCAAAGATCCCAAATATATAAAGCCAACATTAATAGACCTAAACGGGGAGATAGACTGCAATATAATAGTAGTATAGGGCTTTAACAGCCCACTCTTAGTTACAGGCAGATCATCCAGACAGATAACAAAGAAACAGCAGAGTTAAACTACACATTAGATCTAATAGGCCTAATTGACATTTACAGAACACTTCATGCAACTGCTGCAGAATACGCTTTCTTTTCATCACCACATGGAACATTTTCCAGAAGAGACCACATGTTAAGCCACAAAACAAGCCTGTACAAATTTTTTTAAAAATATATATCAAGTATTATCTCTGACCACAATGGAATAAAATTAGCCATCAAAAAACCAGAGGGACCTTGGAAAATACAGACAAGATTAGATGCGTTTGGGGTGATATGGCTATAGATGGAATCTTGGAAAATACACAACCTTGGAAATTAAACAGCATGCTCCTGAACAGCCAATGGGTCAATGAAATAATTACGAATGAAATTTAAATTTTTTTAAACAAATGAAAATGGAAATACAACACACCAAAATCTATGGGATACAACAAAATCTATGGGATACAACAAAAGATACAACAAAAAGTTGTATCTATGGGATACAACTAAAAAGGAAGTTTATAGCAATAGACACCTATATTAAAAAAGTAGAAAGATTTCAAAATTAACAACCTAATGGTGCACCTCAAGGAATTAGAGAAGCAAGAACAAACCAATTAGTAGAAGGAAAATAATAATAAAGATCAGAGCAGAAATAAATGAAACTGAGACTTTAAAAACAATACAAGGTCAGTGGTGGTGCCTCACACCTGTAATCCCAGCACTTTGGCAGGCCAAGGTGGGTGGATCACTTGAGGTCAGGAATTCGACACCAGCCTGGCCAATCTGGTGAAACCCAGTCTTTACTAAAAATATAAAAATTAGCTGGGTATGGTGGTGCATGCCTTTAATCCCAGCTACTAGGGAGGCTGAGACAGGAAAATTGCTTGAATCCAGGAGAAAGAGGTTGCAGTGAGCCGAGGCTGTGTCTGCACTCCAGCCCGGGTGACAGAGTGAGACTCTGTCTCAAAAAACAAAACAAAACAGAGACCCAAAAAAACCAAAAGGTGAAACAAAAAGTTTGTTTATTAAAAATATAAACAAAATTCACAAATTTTTGGTTAGACTTAGAAAAAATAGAAGACCCAAATAAGTAACATCAGGAGTAAAAAAGGAGACAACAACCGAGAACACTGAAATACAGTGAGTCATTAGAGATTATTATGAACAACAGTATTTCACTTGTTCTTTTTGCACTTTTTTTGCTATCAGCCATCACCAAAAGAACATGCCCACCTAGCCCACCACTCATCACAGGTGGAGGATGAGAGCCATGTATAGCAGAGACATGAGAAGCCAAGCCTTCTGGGTAACTCCTACCTAGACCAGTTGAACCCCAGCTTACCTGGAGACACATGCATGATAATTAGTTGTTTTAAATCATGGAGTTTTGAGATGGTGTTATGCAACACTATTGTAGCAATAGCTAACCAATAAACTCAGTAACAACATGTTACACAGCTTCATCTATTTATGGGTATCTTTAAGTTCCAGAATTTACTTTGTTGTTACTTTGCAAACAAATATGAAGTGGCAGGTATTCTTCCAATAATGAACATTTATTTCATTAATATCCCATTTATGTCCTGCTGTTGGTTTCTATGTCTGTCTGCACACAAACTCTTTTTTCAATGCCAAATCATAGTATAATCTTTTTGGAGACATTTTAAATAGCAATTCAACACAACTTATATGGAGCCAACAATGCACACAACTCATGTTAATTAAGGTTGGTTGTGAATAGCTGTGATCAAGTTCATGCACATACAGGCCCTGACAGTCATGTCACAACTGTCACTTGGCTGAGAGTAATTGTAAAACACTATCAATTATGGGAAACATCTCAATTTTAAGATGCTAAATTTATAATGAATGTGATTCTTAGAAGCATTGGAAAATGATATATCTCTGGTCAGTACATTCACAGTCTGAGTTGCTGTTGCCACAGCTAGTTTTCTCTTTCTGAAAGAGGTTTACTCTTTTCAAAATGCCTGATTTCAAGAAAGCCCTTAGAGATAACTTTCTATGTCATTCCTGTTCCCCCATCTGTTGAGTATCTTTAGCTCTTGCTACATATTCTTTTTTTTTTCAGGGTTGGGATGGTCTCTAACTTTGGATGATTTTGCCCTTTAGCTATAATTGAAAGATTTGGAATCATTTTTTTGTGCACATTGTCACTCATAGAGCAGGCAAGAGGAGCTCTTTCTCTGCGCCCCAAACGCTAGCAAATCCTGCTCTGGTCTTCTAGCCAAGGCCCTCCCTATAAGGCAAAGAGTTCACTATACTAAGGGAACACGCCTAACTAAAGCCCCATCCCCTTCCCCAACTGTACCATGCTTCAAGTCCCACATTGCTGATGTCTGTATCCGTTGGCCTGAGAAGTTGGCAGGGAGTGTCTATTTATAGGAATATAGATAGAGCTTCATCATGGGTAGGGTATGTTGACAAAATGCTTGCGCATTACACCTCATGAAGAACAGAGACTGGTGGGAGAAAGGAGGTAGGTCAGAGGCTAGAATACAGCCTGCTTTCCTTTCTCACCAAGTTCCAGCATGGAACTCTGTGTTAATTCTAAATTTGAGTGTGGCCTTCCAATTCATTGTGAAGGTATAGTTTTCAAAGTAAAAGGCTAAAACATATTTTATTTAACAGTTTATTATTAGCTTAATGTATGTTTTAAATACTCATGCATACGGTATTTTGGCCTCTAGTTGCATCCTTCTCTCACTTTCCACAAATGTTAGATTCAGGCACACAGCTTGAGGATACTGAAGGAATATCTCTTCTACAGTGGGATCAAAATTTACTTACACTACACTCAATGTACAAAAAACATTTACCTTTATCTTTTTTCACTCCTAAGAACTGATATAATATTTTTTCCTAAGCCACACTCAATTGGATGGCAGAACATACAAGCTATATAGGCTTGCTGTCTAAAGTTGGGCAACTTAGTTCTTTTAGACAATGTTGAGAAATCTATATTTAATAGTTCTCATATTCCTTTCCAATAACAATAAAAGCAAAGAATAATGACTGATGTTTATTGAGAACTACGTGCCAGGTATTGGGACAGGATTTTCAGGTGTATAAACTCATTTAATCCTTAAACAAAAAAGTGAGGTGGTAGTAGTATTACCACATTTCAAGAAGTGAAATTGAGGTACAGAGAGGTGGGTCAACTGGTTTGAGTTTGCATTGCTTGAATGTGGAGAAGACAGAAATCAAATCCCAGGCATTCTGACTTTGGAGCCTATGTTCTGTCTTTATGATGATGCTGTTCTGCTTCTCTAAGATGATGTGTGTAGGTACTATTTGTTTCTCAGGACATTATGTTAAGAATCCTTTCTGAAACCCTCTCAGCCTGTGAGACCTTCTTCATCCCTGGCCCTCTCATACTGGATAGGGGATGAGAAGTATCCTGGACTCATGCAATCAGCCACTTCCTTTGAAAATGCTGCAAAAATATCCCTGCACCATGACGAATAAAAAGGATGTAGAACTATCCTAGAGGCCCATGTTCCTCTAGTTTGCTGTAGGGGCAGCTTATCTCTGGTCTCCCTGATGCTCCCAGCTCTTCCCATACCCCTCCTGGATGTTTATGTCAGTATATGTTCCTGGAAAGGAAACAAAGATACAGGTATTGGAGCTCTCTCCCATACCAATATTTTATTTTCTGTTTTCCACTCTTTTCCAGGGGTTCAATGGTGTGATGTCTTGGGATGTGTACTTTCTTCATTTTTTCCATCAATAAGGATTATTTCCTTTCTTTCTCCTTTTTGATAGGATATTTGTTATCTCTTTTCCTTTTCAAAATATATCTTATTATTTTTAATTGTGGTAGAATACACATAACATAAATTTAGCATTTTAACCATTTAAGGATACAATTCAGTAGTGTCAAGTATATTTACATTGTTGAGCAATCTCTAGAAATTTTCATCATATAAAACTAAAACATTAAAAAACAATTCTCCATTTTTACCTCCCCATCTCCTGAAACCACCATTCTACTTTTTGTTTCTATAAATTTGACCACTACAGATATATAAGTGGAATCATACAGTATTTGTCTTTTCATAATAGTCTTATTTCACTGAGAATGGTGCCCTTAAGTTTATTCCATATTGTAGCATGTATCAGAATGTCTTTTTAAAGGCTGAGTAATATTCCATTGTATGTATATATCACATTTGTTTGTCTATTCATCCACTGAGGGACACTTGGGTTGCTTCTACCTTTTGGATATTGTGAATAATGCTGCTATGAATATGGGTGTACCCTCTTCTATTTGAGTACTGTAATATCTAAATTATGATGAAGAAACATGATTTATGAGGGAAAGAATAAAATGCACAATATATATTAGTTTCATATTTTCAAAATAACATTCATGTTACATCCTGTGTCCCATCTTCTTAGTGCTTTGATCTCAGAGCTCTTCAGAGATTTGATCTCAGAGACACAGAAATAAGTTGCCAAACAAATCCACTCAGTTTTCAAGGATATTAGTGTATAGTGAGAAAGGGGGGTATTTGTTCATCCTCCCCAAAAAGGAATATAATTTTAACATTAAAAACATAAGTCAATAGAGCTAATTACATTTGATGCCGAAGGCTTTGTTTTATCCAGCCTCTGACAGCAGGAGATAATTGGGAATTCAACCCTGAACAATCCTATCCCTTGAAAATATCATAAAGGAAAGTTATTGCCAAATCCAATCAAACCTAATTTTCTTGCCATTGATATGCCAACTGTAAAGTAAATGAAAATCATTGAAACACCTGAACATGGGCATTCTGAGAGCTCCATCATGCCTCTATTTCAATTTCCACCTTTCTCGCTTGGGTTGAAGCAATCATGACCATTGATATGTCGAATATGTGACTTAAAAAAAATCAACACCACTGTATTAACTCCATAGTTGCAAAGAAATAGCCAAACTCTTTTTTTTTTTTATCAGAATAACAATGACAAGAAGAGAAACTTCCTGTAGCATAAAACTATGTGTATTTTAATTTATAACCCATCTTTTCCCAAGAAAATTTTCAGACCCCTGACTTGGTTTTAAGGGGTTTTTGTTTTATAAATTTCTAATGTTTCAAATGGAAAGATACTAGGACCCATTGTTATTTGATACTGTAACTTATCCAAGTTGTTGAATTACATTTAAATATTTTCATCTCCTAAAATCAGTTTTATGTAGTAAGTTCTTA